>NC_000010.11:31835694-32139976 GCF_000001405.40 Homo sapiens | reverse complement strand
GCCTGTAGTCCCAGCTACTTGGGAGGCTGAGATGGGAGGATTGTTTCAGCCCAGGAGATGAAGGTTGCAGTGAGCCCTAGTTGCGCCTTTGCACTCCAGCCTGGGTGACAGAGTGAGATCCCATCTCAAAAAAAGAATGATGCTGACCACAGCTGGTTTTGCTCACATGTCTCTTTAGTCATCGGAGAGGCCAGGCCCTGGCCAACCCCCAGTCCTCCCGCTGGACTTAATGCATGTGGGCAGTTTGGTTTCTGCCAAAGGCCAACAGGGTTCACCTCAGGTCTGTTAGTGGCACTTTGGGGCTTTAAGTGCAGTCATTTTTAATTCATGAAATTCAAAGGAGACACTGAATGAGTTGGCTCTCCAGCCCTTAACAGGCTGGCCTGAGCATTTTGGGGCGGAAGCATTTTGTAAGGGATTGGAGAAGCCACGCCTTGACCCAGGCAGGGAAAAGGATGACTCAGCCTGAGCCACTGAGGTTGGGCAGGAAACAGCTGATTCTCCTGCTGTGGTGCTAGGCAGGACTGCCTCCCCGCGGGGAGCGGCAGGGGGGTGGGCAGGGGAACAGGTTGCCTTGGGAATCTGGAGTGACTTTAACTGGCAGCTCTTTTTCTTCTCTTCCTTGGGTTATTCCTGGGGATTTGGGGAAAGAGTTGAGCAACAGGCTGGGTTAAAGGAGACAAAATAGAAAGGAAATGAGGAGCTCTGCAAGGCCATCCCTCGAAATAGGCCAGCAAATTCAACTCTTGGAGCCTCTTAGGGAGTCAGGTGGAACCAGGAGGAGCACAAAACACAGGAGAGATCCTTAACACACTGTAAAACGTGAATGTGTTTTTTTGCACCTGGCAAGAAGCCCCCAAAGCTGTACTCTTCAAGGAACTGCCAGCAGCCTGCAGAGATGGTCTTGCGTAGCTTCTGTCAGTCAAGAAAAATGATGAGACAAGTCTCATTTTAGGAGGTTTATTTGCCAAAGCTAAGGACGCACACTGTGACACAGCCTCAGGAGGTCCTGATGACATGTGTCCAAGGTGGGTCGGGGCACAGCTTGGTTTTACACATTTAGGGAGACATGAGACATCAATCAATATATTTAAGAAGTACATTGGTTTGTCCAAAAAGGTGGGTGCCAGGCCTCTGAGCCCAAGCTAAGCCATCATATCCCCTGTAACCTGCATGTATACATCCAGATGGCCTGAAGCAACTGAAGATTCACAAAAGAAGTGAAAATAGCCTTAACTGATGACATTCCACCATTGTGATTTGTTCCTGCCCTACCCTTACTGATACATACATTCTGCCCCACCCTTAAGAAGGTAATTTGTAATATTCTCCCCTAGCCCTTAAGAAGGTACTTTGTATGCCTATCCCAAACCTATAAGAACTAATGATAATCCCACCACCCTTTGCTGACTCCTTTTTTGGACTCAGCCTGCCTGCACCCAGGTGAAATATACAGCCTTGTTGCTCACACAAAGCCTGTTGGTGGACTCTCTTCACACGGACCCGCGTGACATTTGGTGCCGAAGACCCGGGACAGGAGGACTCCTTCGGGAGACCGGTCCCCTGTCCTCGCCCTCACTCCCTAGGGAGATCCACCTACGACCTCAGGTCCTCAGCCCAACCAGCCCAAGGAACATCTCACCAATTTCAAATCTGGTAAGCGGTGTTTTCACTCGTCTTCAGCCTCTCTTGCTACCCTTCAATCTTCCTCTCTCGCTACCCTTCAATCTCCCTGTCCTTCCAATTCCAGTTATTTTCCCTCTCTAGTAGAGACAAAGGAGACACATTTTATCCGTGGACCCGAAACTCCGGCGCCGGTCACGGACTCGGGAAGACAGTCTTCCCTTGGTGTTTAATCACTGCGGGGACGCCTGCCTGATTATTCACCCACATTTCATTGGTGTCTGATCACCACGGGGACGCCTGCCTTGGTCATTCACCCACATTCCCTTGGTGGCAAGTCAATTGCGGGGACGCCTGCTTTGGCTGCTCACCCACCCCCTTCTCTGTGTCTCTACCTTTCTCTTTAAACTTACCTCCTTCACTATGGGCAACCTTCCGCCCTCCATTTCCCCTTCTTCTCCCTTAGCCTGTGTGAAAAGCTCCCAATGTGACTTGTCTCAAATCTTTCTTCTTTCTTTCCTGTCTGTTCGTTCAGTTTCCACCCGAAGCTCTGAGTCCTTTGAATCCTTCTTTTCTACGGACTCATCCGACCTCTCCCCTTCTCCCCAGGCTGCTCCTCGCCAGGCCTAGCCAGGTCCCAATTCTTCCTCAGCCTCTGCTCCCCCTCCCTATAATCTTTCTATTATCTCCCCTCCTCATACCTGGTCTGGCCTACAGTTTTGTTGCGCGACTAGCCCTCCTCCACCTGCCCAACAATTTCCTCTTAAGGAGGTGGCTGGAGCTAAAGGCATAGTCAAGGTTAATGCTCCTTTTTTCTTTTTCTGACCTCTCCCAGATCAGTTAGCATTTAGGCTCTTTTTCATCAAATATACAAACCCAGCCCAGTTCATGGCCCGTTTGGCAACAACCCTTAGACACTTTACTGTCCTAGACACCAGAGGAAGGCTGTCTTATTCTCAATATACATTTTATTACCCAATCCACTCCCAACATTAGAACAAGTGCCAAAAATTAGATTCCGGCCCTCAAACCCCACAACAGGACATAATTAACCTCACCTTCAAGGTGTACAATAATAGAGTAGAGGCAGCCAAGTAGCCACGTATTTCTGAGTTGCAATTACTTGCCTCCACTGTGAGAGAAACTCCAGCCACATCTCCAGCACACAAGAATTCCAAAACGTCTGAACCGCAGTGGCCAGCTGTTCCTCCAGGACCGCCTCCCCCAGGATCTTGCTTCAAGTGCTGGAAATCTGGCCACTAGGCCAAGGAATGTCTGCAGCCCGGGATTCCTCCTAAGCCATGTCCCATCTGTGCAGGACCCCACTGGAAATCCGACTGTCCAACCCCACAGCCACTCCCAGAGCCCCTGGAACTCTGGCCCAAGGCTCTCTGACTGACTCCCTCCCAGATCTTCTCGGCTTAGCAGCTGAAGACTGACACTGCCTGATTGCCTTGGAAGACTATAGGACCATCACAGATGCTTTGCGTAACTCTTACAGTGGAGGGTAAGTGGGTCCCCTTCTTAATCAATACGGAGGCTACCCACTCCACATTACCTTCTTTTCAAGGGCCTGTTTCCCTTGCCCCCCATAACTGTTGTGGGTATTGACGGCCAAGCTTCACAACCCCTTAAAACTCCCCCACTCTGGTGCCAACTTGGACAACATTCTTTTATGCACTCTTTTTTAGTTATCCCCATCTGCCCAGTTCCCTTATTAGGTGGAGACATTTTAACTACATTATCTGCTTCCCTGATTATTCCTGGGCTACAACCACACCTCATTGCTGCCTTTTCTCCCAGTTCAAAGCCTCCTTCACATCCTCTCCTTGTATCTCCCCACCTTAATCCACAAGTATAGGACACTTCTACTCCTCCTTGACGATCGATCATGCACCCCTTACCATCCCATTAAAACCTAATCACCCTTACCCTGCTCAATGCCAATATCCCATCCCACAGTATGCTTTAAAAGGATTAAAGCCTGTTATCACTTGCCTATTACAGCATGGCCTTTTAAAGCCTATAAACTCTCCTTACAATTCCCCCATTTTACCTGACCAAAAACCAGACAAGTCTTACAGCTTAGTTCAGGATCTGTGCCTTATCAACCAAATTGTCTGGCTTATCCACCCCTTGGTGCCAAACCCATATACTCTCCTATCCTCAATACCTCCCTCCACAACCCAGTCTAGATAAACCTAGCTGACCCCATAAATCCTAAATCCTTTCCCCACTCCCCTTTCCATTCCTTAAAAAACAGCCCTAAAAGCTGCTCCCACACTAGCTTTCCCTAACTCATCCCAACCCTTTTTATTACACACAGCCGAAGTACAGGGCTGTGCGGTCAGAATTCTTACACAAGAGCCGGGACCGTGCCCTGTAGCCTTTCTGTCCAAACAACTTGACCTAACTGATTTAGCATAGCCCTCATGTCTGTGTGTGGCAGCTGCCGCTGCTTTAATAATTTTAGAGGCCCTCAAAATCACAAGCTATGCTCCACTTAACTCTCTACAGTTCCCATAACTTTCAAAATCTATTTTCCTCCTCACACTTGATGCATATACTTTCTGCCCCCTAGCACCTTCAGCTATATACTCAGTCTTTGTTGAGTCTCCCACAATTACCATTGTTCCTGGCCCAGACTTCAATCCGGCCTCCCACATTATTCTGGATACCACACCTGACCCCCATGACTGTATCTCTCTGATCCACCTGACATTCACTCCATTTCCCCATATTTCCTTCTTTCCTGTTCCTCACCCTGATCACACTTGGTTTATTGATGGCAGTTCCACCAGGCCTAATTGCCACTCACCAGCAAAGGCAGGCTATGCTATAGTATCTTACATGTCTATCATTGAGGCTACTGCTCTGCCCCCCTCCACTACCTCTCAGTAAGCCAAACTCATTGCCTTAACTGGGGCCATCACTCTTGCAAAGGGACTACGCATCAATATTTATACTGACTCTAAATATGCCTTGCATATCCTGCACCATCATGCTGTTATATGGGCAGAAATAAATTTCCTCACTATGCAAGGGTCCTCCATCATCAATGCCTTTTTAATAAAAACTCTTTTCAAAGCCGCTTTACTTCCAAAGGAAGCTGGAGTCATTCACTGCAAGGGCCATCAAAAGGCATCAGATCTCATCACTCAGGGCAACACTTATGCTGATAAGGTAGCTAAAGAAGCAGCTAGCTTCCAACTTCTGTCCCTCATGACCAGTTTTTCTCCTTCTCATTGGTCACTCCTCTTTACTCTCCCACTGAAGTTTCCACCTATCAATCTCTTCCCACACAAGGCAAATGGTTCTTGAACCAAGGAAAATATCTCCTTCCAGCCTCACAGGCCCATTCTATTCTGTTGTCATTTCATAACCTCTTCCATGTAGGTTACAAGCCGTTCGCCCACCTCTTAAATCCTCTCATTTCCTTTCCATCATGAATATCTATCCCCAATCCTCCACTCTTGACTCCCTCTTGGAGTGGATAGATGATCTTTGCTGACAGGACACACTCCAACACTTTCATCCCGATGAAGTCCTATTGTTTACTTTTATACTCACTCTTATTCTCGTTCCCATTCTTATGCCACCTACTACCTCTCCCCAGCTATCTCCACCACACTATCAATCTCACTCACTATCTCCTAGCCATTTCTAATCGTTCTTTAACAAACAATTGCTGGCTTTGCATTTCTCTTTCCTCCAAAATCGCTGAGGCCTCAATTTACTCACTGCTGAAAAATGAGGACTCTGTATATTTTTAAATGAAGAGTGTTGTTTTCACCTAAATCAACCTGGCCTGGTATATGACAACATAAAAAAACTCAAGGATAGAGCCCAAAAACTCACCAACCAAGCAACTAATTATGCTGAACCCCCTTGGTCACTCTGTACTTGGATGTCCTGGGTCCTCCCAATTCTTAGTCCTTTAATACCTGTTATTCTCCTTCTCTTATTTGGACCTTGTATTTTCCTTTTAGTTTCTCAGTTCATACAAAACCGCATCCAGGCCATCACCAATAATTCTATATGACAAATGCTCCTTCTAACAACCCCACAATATCACCCCTTACCCCAAAATTTTTCTTCAGTTTAATCTCTCCCACTCTAGGTTCCCATGCCACCCTTAATCCCGCTCGAAGCAGCCCTGAGAAACATCACCCATTATCTCTCCATACCACTCCCAAAAATTTTCACCGTCCCAACACTTCACCACTATTTTGTTTTGTTTTTCTTATTAATATATGAAGACAGGAATGTCAGGCCTCTGAGCCCAAGCTAAGCCATTATATCCCCTGTGACTTGCATGTATACATCCAGATGGCCTGAAGCAACTGAAGATCCACAAAAGAAGCGAAAATAGCCTTAACTGATGACATTCCACCATCGTGATTTGTTCCTGCCCCACCCTAACTGATACATATATTGTCCTCCACCCTTAAGAAGGTACTTTGTAATATTCTTCCCCCACCCTTAAGAAGGTACTTTGTACGCCTATCCCAAACCTATAAGAACTAATGATAATCCCACCACCCTTTGCTGACTCCTTTTTCAGACTCAGCCTGCCTGCATCCAGGTGAAATAAACAGCCTTGTTGCTCACACAAAGCCTGTTGGTGGACTCTCTTCACACAGACTTGCGTGACAGTGGGGACAACTCAAAGCAGGGAGGGGGCTTCCAGGTCACAGGTAGGTGAGAGACAAATGGTTGCATTCTTTGAGTTTCTGATAAGCTTTTCCAAAGGAGGCAATATGCATCTATTTCAGTGAGCGGAGGGATGACTTTGAATAGAATGGGAGGCAGGTTTGTCCTGAACAATTCCCAGCTTGACTTTTCCCTTAGCTTGGTAAATCTGGGACCCCAAGATTTTCCTTTCACACTTCTCTAGGGCCCAGGAACTGCTGAGTTGGAGTCAGCCATTGTGACTCTTTTTCTTTTCTTTTTTTTCTTGTAGAGATGGAGTCTCACTGTTTGGCCCAGGCTAGTCTCAAACTCCTGGCCTCAATCCATCCTCCTGCCTCAGCCTCCCAAAGTGCTGAAATTACAGGTGTGAAACACTGTGCCCCGCCTCCACTGTGACTTTATTTCCATTCTTTGTGTCTCAGAATCCTCATTTGTAAAATAAAGTTAATAATAGAAGCTACCTGTAGGGCTGTTTGTGAGGATTAATGAATCAAAATGGATGAAGCACATAGAACAGTTCATGGCGCAGGGTAAGAGCTTCATAAATGTTTAGGCATTTTTATGAGTAGGTCAAGAAGAAGGCATTGGTCAACACAAACAGTTGTGCAGACACTGACTATTAAACTGTAGCCGGAGGTAAGGGTTGACTTAAAAGGGAGAAGCTGAGGTAAGTTGCCCTGAATATCCACTCCAATGTGCAGTAGTTGCAAGTGGATTTTTAAAGGCAAAAAGAGGGAGACAGGGAGTGGGCTAAGACAAAGCTGCTTGTCAGGAATTCCCATTGGTTTACAGAAATAACACTGATTAGCTATACACTGTGAAGCTTTAGGGTGTGGGTTATGGTGTCCCATGTGGCATTATTAGATTAATTTATAGCTGCCTGTGGCAATAGCAAGCCATTTCAAGAAATGAATACATAGCTCAAAGCAGGGAGTAGGGCATGATTGTGAGACAGCCAAATGCCTAGGCATATTAAAAGAGGTCCCCGGAGAATCTCCGACCTGCCCCACAAGTGTTTACATGAGATACTTTTGTGCAGATGAGGGAACCTGCCCAGGGCCTTGTCTGAGCCTGCCAACATGCGCACTGGGGGATGGGGCGGAGCCACAGGCAGTGGGAGGAGCCTGGCCTCTTCAGTTCCTGTGTGGCGGCCTGGGATTCAATCTGTGAGGTGGGGGGCCTATTAGCAGGACTCCATCTCGTTTTGCTGTTTTTTTCTTTTTTCTCTTTTCACCCAATAAAATCCTGCTCTACTCACCCTTTAATGTGTCTGCGTGCCTAAATTTCCTGGTTGTGTGAAAAGAACCCACTTACAACTGAACTAAGGAGCAAAATTCTGCAACAATTGCTGCCTGTTTTTAATACCTCTCTGGGCCCAATAATTAAAAGGACTTGTGTTCCTCAGATAAAAGTTCTTTTCTTTTCTCATAACTGAATATTTTTCTTAGTTTTAAGAAGCCATAGGAAAGACGCATTTCTGTAGGAAGTAACTGTACCTATAGCCCAATCTGGATGCAGTTCTTTCCTTCTTCCAAGCCTGGGGGTATGTTTCCTCTGTGGATGAAAAGAGTGAAACTCTGTAAAATATTTGAGGAGATTTATGCTGAACCAAATAGGAGTGACCATGGCCCATGACCCAGCCCTCAGGAGGCCCTGAGAACATGCACCCAAGGTGGTAGGGGTGCAGCTGGGTTTTATACATTTTAGGGAGGCATGAGACTTCAATACAATACATTTAAGAAATACATGGGTTTAGTTCAGAAAGGCAGGACAACTGGAAGCAAGGAGTGGGGTGCAGGGGGTGGGGGAGGCTCCAGGCTATAGGTAGATTTAAACATTTTTTTGTTAACAATTGGGTGAGTTTCTCTAAAGACCTTGGATCAATAGAAAGGAAATGTTTGGGTTAAGATAAAGAATTGTGGAGACCAAAGTTCTTATTTGCAGAGGAAGCCTTCGGGTAGTAGGCTTCAGAGAGAATAGGTTGTAAAATATTTCTTATCAGACTTAAAGTCTGTGTTGATGTTACTGCCAGAGAGGTATAATGAGGCACATCCGATCCCCACTTCCTGTCATGGCCTGAACCAGTTTTTCAGGTTAAATTTTAAGATTGTTCTGGCCAAGAAGGAAGTCAGTTCAGATGGTTGGGGGGGCCTTAGAATTTTATTTTTGGTTTACAGCTCGATTGTCTAGAACAGTGCTTCTTACTCTTGAATGGTATATAAATTACCCAGGATTGTGTAAAAAGCAGATTCTCTCTCAGTAGGTCTGGACACAGCTGAGATTCCACATTTCTTCCAAGCTCCCAGGTGATGTTCCTGCTGCTGGTTCACAAATACTGGTCCCAGGGATCCAGCACAGTCCGCAGAACTTCCGGTGATGATGGAAATCTCTACCTGAGCCACTAATCATATGTGACTATGGACCAATTGAAATGTGGCTATTGAAAACTGAAGTTTTCATTGCATTAAAATGAAGTATAAATGACTGTATGGCAAGTGGCTACCTTACTGGACAACACAGCTCTAGACTCATGCCCAGAAGGTCCAGGTCATGATCTGGATTCTTGTTAGAGACACAGACCAAACCATGTTCAGGACCACATATTACATCTTAGATAATAATGAGGACTCAGCAAAAAGGTGTGTACAGCTCTACCCAGACCATCTACATACCCAGAATGTACAGTCAACACATGTGCTCTGATATCTGTAAATGTCAGTAAAATAACTTTCCTATTTGCAGATAAACTTCCTGGTAGAGCTGTCTGACTGAGTTCCTTCCCTCACCTCTGGACCTGGGGCTAGAACCACTATTGTAGTCTGTGCGTTCGTAAAGAAAAAATAAAAATGAGGTATTTAATTAACATTATTTCTGTGATCTCCTCAGTTCCATAATTTTTACTTCTCAATTGTTTTCTTTGCATGCCTTTAGGGCATGCCCTTGATATCCACAAACAACATAAAAACAGGCATTCTCTGCACGTAAAAAAATGGAAAGTTTGTAAAATTGAGAAGAGTTAAAAAAAGATCTTTATCTGACCAGCTGTGGTGGCTCACGCCTGTAATCCCAGCACTTTGGGAGGCCAAGGTGGGTGGATCACGAGGTCAGGAGATCGAGACCATCCTGGCTAACACAGTGAAACCCCATCTCTACTAAAAATACAAAACATTAGCTGGGCGTGGTGGTGGGCGCTTGTAGTCCCAGCTACTTGAGAGGCTGAGGCAGGAGAATGGCGTGAACCCGGGAGGCGGAGCTTGCAGTGAGCCGAGATGGCGCCACTGCACTCCAGCCTGGGTGACAGAGTGAGACTCTGTCTCAAAAAAAAAAAAAAAAAACTTTATCTGACTACATTGTGAAATAATAATAAAATAACTAGGAATGTTTGATATTCAGGAATTTTTCTCAGGTTGAAAATTATTTCCAAGTGTTTAGCTTTCTTCTGGGTTGTTCCAAATAATCTTTGTGGTTTCTTTTTGTTTTTGAGATGGGGTCTTGCTCTGTCGCCCAGGCTGGAGTGCAGTGGCACGATCTTGGCTCACTGCAACCTCTGCCTCCTGGGTTCAAGTGATTCTCCTGCCTCAGCTCCCCTTTTGTATTTTTAGTAGAGGCAGGGTTTCGCCATGTTGGCCAGGCTGGTCTCGAACTTCCCATCTCAGGTGATCTGTCCGCCTCGGCCTCTCAAAGTGCTGAGATTACAGGTGTGAGCCACTGTGCCCAGCCCAAATAATCTTTGATTTCTGCCAGTGCATTCTTGGGTGAGCTGGATGTGTCAAACATCCTGGATAAATGGTGAGAAGACTTACACCCATATCAGTGACAAATAACTGACTCTGATCCAAAGCATGCAGCCAGGTTCTGAGCAGATGCCGGGGCCTGATGCCTCAGAATTGATAGGAAGAGGAAACCAGCCCTGTTTTTCACTACCTCTTGCTGAGAAATGTATCCATGCTTTTACATGCTCCTGGTGTTACATGGAAGAGATCAATTTCAATTGTCTCCAAGTTACTGTACTGATTTTATAAATGACTCTGCATTTAAGAGGACACTTCACATTTTAGCATGTGAATGGCTGAAACCTTAATAGACAACACTTTATAGTAGGGACAAAGTGAAGAGCTGTTATATTGGTTATGAGAGCTCTCTACTGCAACATAGACTGTCAAATTGAATTTAATAGCAAGGAGTTGACAGCAATCATGAAATAATAGCAATGAGTAGCTACCCTTTATTTCATGATAGTGGAAAGTTTTTTCTATATCCTTATTGCTTTTATAGGGTCTGGGTGTAGTGGTCATGCCTGTAGTCCCAACACTTTGGGAGGCCAAGGCAGGTGGATTGCTTGAGCCCAAGAGTTCAAGACCAGCCTGGGCAACACAGCAAGACCCTGTCTGTACAAAAAATTAAAAAATTAGCCTGGCATG
This sequence comes from Homo sapiens, assembly GCF_000001405.40. Classification (NCBI taxonomy): domain Eukaryota; kingdom Metazoa; phylum Chordata; class Mammalia; order Primates; family Hominidae; genus Homo; species Homo sapiens. Next base: position 32,129,240 of record NC_000010.11, on the reverse strand, counting down.
GTGGCACACACCTGTAGTCCCAGTTACTCAGTAGGCTGAGGTGGGAGGATTACTTGAGCCCAGGAGGTTGCGGCTGCAGTGAGTCGAGATCATGCCACTGCACTCCAGCCTGGGTGACAAAGAGTGATCCTGTCAAAAAAAAAAAAAAAAAAAAAAGAAAGAAAGAAAGAAAAAAGAAGTTTATGGAAATGAGATATACTGAGAAACTATCCAATAAATGCCCCCATGCTATACTGTGTTGAAAATAATATGTGTTGAATAAGAATGATTCAATTCTTATTCAAGGACAACATTGAGTTTCCTGCCATAGTGAAAAGGGGGACCCTTGAGTCAACATTCACATAGAAATCAAAGTAGAGTGTAACATTAAATGCCTTTGATGATGGACTATAAAATATACACACTTTGGACATTTTATTATGACACAGCACTTAACAGATTCAACATTAACTCTCAGATGAGAAAATGCTAGCAGCCCAAGGAACAAAGGAGTATTCTTCTCTTTTCTTTTTATTATTGTTCCCTCCCCTTCCCTAATTTCACTTTCTAGTTCTCTCTGCTTTTTAACTATTAGAAAACTTTTATTTGGTACTTTATCCCATATCTTCTTCCACTGGAAAGACATGCCCCTTCACTGGGCATCAAATGTACGCAGCACTGTGCAAGATGCAATAGAAAGGTATAAAGAACATGTTCCTTCCCGTAAGCTTATGAGGTTCCTTCCCATAAGCAATTTAGAATGTATCTGGGGAGAAAACCCTACTAATATGAAGGGGTGTGTTTATAAGGGCCATAAGTGATTGAAAACTACCCACCAATCACACAGAAAAGCTAGAGTGGTTGACTACAAGGAGGAGAAGGTGGAAAAAAAATTCCTTGAGGATTCATGATGTAAGTCTGATGGCTGGGAAGCAACTAGAGAAAACCAGGCTGATTCAGTGAGTGTCTGGGAGAGGCTAAACTCCCCTCTAAGGCTAAGAGTATCTTGCAATGATAGCTCATTTAGACAAAGCAGTCTGGGCAGACAAGGCTGCACAGGTGACGTATTCTGAAAAATTATTCTTTTTTTTGCTTTGTTTTGTTTTGTTTTTTTTGAGACAGAGTCTCACTCTGTCACCCAGGCTGGAGTGCAGTGGCGTGATCTTGGCTCACTGCAACCTCCGCCTCCTGGGTTCAAGCGATTCTTCCACCTCAGCCTCCCGAGTAGCTGGGATTACAGGTGCGTGCCACCACATCCAGCTAATTTTGTATTTTTAGTAGAGATGAGGTTTCACCATGTTGGCCAGGCTGGTCTCAAACTGCTGACCTCATGATCCGCCCACCTCGGCCTCCCAAAGTGCTGGGATTACAGGTATGAGCCACTGCTCCCGGCCCTGAAAAATTATCCTTAAGGAAGCCTGGATTGAAACCTGCTAGGGATGGACAGGCTAGCTCCAGCTCTTCAGCCATACTTGGGCCCATTGCGATCTGAGAGACCAAAACAGACACCTCTTCATCACTAAGATGGATTCTAAGGTTAAGGAAACAAAGTTCCCTGTAAGTCAAGGGTTTGGGCTTACTGACATGGCAAATTTCTAAATTCCTACAGCTTTAAGCTTCCTAGCAATGGGAGCTCGGACCCCTCCTAACTGATTTACAACCCAGACCAGTATAACTCTGTTGGACAGAGGACCAGCCTTAATAACATTCTTTTCTGATAAGCAATTACAGACCGTAAGCCAGTTTTAGCAACTTATAGAGACTGCATACAAACTGTCTTTGTGTCCTACAGTTCACCTTTTGACATAAAAGAGCCAAGTTCCTCCTCATTTTATTTTTTTATATTTATTTATCTATTTATTTATTTATTTTGAGATGAAGTCTTGCTCTGTCACCCAGGGTGGAGTTCAGTGGCGTGATCTCAGCTCACTATAACCTCCACCTCCTGGGTTCAAGTGACTCTCCTGCTTCAGCCTCCCCAGTAGCTGGGATTTCAGGCATCCGCCATCATGTCTGGCTAATTTTTGTATTTTTTAGTAGAGACGGGGTTTCACCATGTTGGCCAGGCTGGTCTCAAACTCCTGACCTCATGATCTGCCCGCCTTGGCCTCCCAAAGTGCTGGGATTATGGACATAAGCCACCACGCCCAGCCAATTCCACCTCATTTTAATGCTAAAGCCCTGCCCCAAAGTGAACACGAGATGTATGTTACAGACATGTTTGCCCATTGCACATGCATTCAGCTCCCCTCATAAATATGTATAGTTTTTCCCCCAAAACTGCTGAATATGTATGTCCTGTGAGGAAAAAAAACCCCAACTGCTCTTCCCTCTTGAAAAAGAGAATACCTTTGTCACACATCAGAGACTGTCTCTTCCCGTTTCGCAAACTGGTATTGATGATAAAGCTCTCCTTTCTACTACTGAGCCATCCTGGTGGTCTTTGGGACAACACCCTGAGTTGGATATCTTCTGCTAAGAAGAAACAACTACATATATGGGTCACAAACCCAAGAGTAATGCAGGGATCTGTGATTGGACCTGAATCAGGCAAACGGGCCCATGAGGATCTCAACCAAACACTTCTGGGTCCTGTGAAACTGCAAATATTTTCATTTTATTAACTGCCTTTTTTGTGCTGGGCCATGTTTGGTCATGTCTAAGCCTAGGGAAAAATGATGGGCTCCTCTTATGGTGGTTTTCTTTTCTTTCCTTTTTTTTTTGAGACGGAGTCTTGCTCTGTCACCCAGGCTAGAGTGCAGTGGCGCGATCTCAGCTCACTGCAACCTCTGCCTCCTGGTTTTAAGTGATTCTCCTAACTCAGCCTCCCAAGTACCTGGGATTACAGGTGCCTGCCACCGCGCCCGGCTAATTTTTGTATTTTTAGTAGAGATGAGGTTTCACCATCTTGGCCAGGCTGGTTTCGAGCTCCTGACCTCGTGATCCACCTGCCTTGGCCTCCCAAAGTGCTGGGATTACAGGTGTGAGCCACCACACCCAGCTTTATGGTGGTTTTCTATAGCACCTCTTGGAGTTATATCTTTGCATTGTGAATTGCATTTTTTTTCCTTTGAGCATATCAACAATTTCCTTCTTTAATTTTATTTTTTAATTGACAAACAGTAATTGTACATATTCATGGGTGACAGAGTGATATTTCTATACATACAACATATGGTGATCAGATCAGAGTAATTAGCATATTCATCATCTGTGAGTGGCATTATTTTTAAATTTTGTTTTTTTATTATTATTTATTTTATTTTATTTTTAGAGACAGGATCTTGCTCTGTCACCCAGGCTGGAGGGTAGTGGTACAATCAGAGCTTATTGCAGCCTTGAACTCCTGGGCTCAAGCGATCCTCCTGCCTCAGGCCTCCTGAGTAGCTAGGACTGCAGGCACGCAACACAACCCCAGATGGGGTCTCATTATGTTGCCCAGGCTAGACTCATACTCCTGGCCTCAAGCGATTCTTCTGCCTCAGCCTCCCAAATTGCTGGGATTACAGGCATGGGTCACCATGTCTGGTTGTATGTGTTGCATTTTTTAATAGAGCATGTTCACAAAAGCATATTATTGAGGTAAGAAAAGAAGGAAGAAAATAAAAGCAGATAAACAGCCAAAGTTTTGGGAAATACAAGAACTAAGGAATAAAAAACGAGAGTGTGATCTTGATGAAAAATGAAATCTTAGAGAATAAAAAAATGATGATCATTTAGGCATTTTTAAAAATTCACTGCTATGAATTAGTGGGATCAAATTAAAATGACAGATGTTGAAATGTACAGTAACAGAGAGATGAAAATATAAAAGCATGTTGGCTCTTAAATCCTTCGAGTTTGAGAACTAAGGGATGCCAGTGAGATTGTGTGGCAACACAGACTTGAAATGTTAAAAATTCACACAAACAATTATTTCCTTTACTCATGGAAATGTCTAGATTGCTGTCTGTTCCACTACACTGGTGAATAGACCTTTGTCCCAATGTCCTTGACACACAGCCTTTGTTGAGATCCCTGAGGGGTTGTGAGGAAGGGGGAAGGGCGGCGTAATGTAGAGAAGTTTAGAGGACAGAATCTTTCTCAACTCAATGTCTTTTGTTAGAATCCCAGGACAAGCTGGGCGCGGTGGCTCACACCTGTAATCCCAACACTTTGAGAGGCTGAAGCAAGCGGATCACGAGGTCAGGAGTTCGACACCAGCCTCTAGCTTGGCCACCATGGTGAAACCCTGTCTCTACTAAAAAATACAAAAATTAGCTGGCTGTGGTGGCATGTGCCTGTAATCCCAGCTACCTGGGAGGCTAAGGCAGGAGAATCGCTTGAACCCAGGAGGTGGAGGTTGCAGTGAGCTGAGATCACGCCACAGCACTCGAGCCTTGGTGACAGAGCAAGACTCCGTCTTGGGGGAAAGAAAAAAAGAATCCCAGGACAAGTCCCAAATGATGGAGTCTCACCCAAGTACATTTTTCAGAAAGCCCTCCTGCTTCTGTGTGAAGCCCAAAGCTAAGAGCTCTCCCGTGCCCACCCTTCCCATATTGGGGCTATTTGTCACTTCAAGTAGCAGTGCCCATTGCTCAAGGCATTGAGTGATCATTGTAATTCTCTAGCCAGCTTCATATATTTTAAATATGATCAAAGAGGAAAAGAAAAGCAATAAAAAGGCACAATTTAGATGTAATCTTTGGCTAGTGAGAAAAAACAATGATACTGGATTAGCCAGGATTCTTTTTTTTTTTTTTTTTTTTTTTTTGAGATGAAGTTTCACTCTTGTTGCCCAGGCTGGAGAGAAATGGTGCAATCTTGGATCACTGCAGCTTCCGCCTCCCAGGTTCAAGCAGTTCTCCTGCCTCAGCCTCCTGAGTAGCTTGGATTACAGGAGCCTGCTACCATACCCGGCTAATTTTGTATTTTTAGTAGAGACGGGGTTTCTCCATGTTGGCTAGGCTGGTCTTGAACTCCCAACCTCAAGTGATCCCCCGCCGTCTTGGCCTCCCAAAGTGCTGGGATTACAGGCTTGAGCCACCGCGCCCAGCCGGATTAGCCAGGATTATTTTGGCTGGAGTGTGTTAAAAGAAAAATCTTAAACAGGCCAGGCATGGTGGCTCATGCCTGTAATCCCAACACTTTGGGAGGCTGAGGTGGGTTGATCACTCGAGGCCAGGAGATTGAGACCAGCCTGGCCAACATGGCAAAACCCCATCTCAATGAAAAATACAAAAATTAGCCAGGTGTGGTGATACATGCCTGTTATCCCAGCTACTCGAGAGGCTGAGGCATGAGAATTGCTTGAACCCGGGAGGCAGAGGCTGCAGTGAGCCCAGATGGCACCACTGCAATCCAGACTGGGCAACAGAGCAAGATCCTTTCTCAAAAAATAAAAAGTAAATGAAAGAAAAATCTTAGACAAATTAAATTTAGCAGAGTTTAATTGAGCAAAGAACTAGGGCAGCCCCTGAACCAGAGGGAGGTAGAGAGAGGTTCCAGTATGGCCTGGTGGTCCGAGAAGATTTATGAACAGCAAAAGGAAAGTGATGTACAGAAAATGGAAGTGAGGTGCAGAAACAGCTAGATCGGTTACAGCTGGGCGTTTGCCTTATTTGAACATGTTTTGAACAGTTGGTCACCTTTGATTGGCCAAAACTTGATGATTGGCACAAGCATAGCTTGCAGTCTGTTCATACATCCAGTTAGTTTACAGTTCATTATGTACAGAGATATCTTTAGGCTGAACTTAAAATAACGTAAGGAGGCAGCTTTAAGCTAAACTTAGTTTAACAAATGATAGAGCATAAATTCAAACTAGCTAAAGCAAAAAGTGGAAATTAGTCAAGGACACCTGTGTGTCTCATGGAGTCCAAGAAGAGAAATGAGATCGGGCCTTAGGGAGGAACAGAACCAGGATCTTAAATCTTTCTGCTGCTCTGCTAGCTGAACATCTGCTTCCTTCCTTCCCTGCCTCAGCCCACCAGGCCCTGAAATCCTACCTTAATCATACCATGTTACTGCTCCAAGCACAGAGATCCCCAAGAGAGGTGAAACTGATGGGAGGGGCAGGCCATCTGGAGCCACCGCTGCCATCACACCAGCTGCAGCAGGGAGGAGTGGCCAGCGCTCCTTGCTCTGTGGAGCCCGTGGGAGCTGGGAACAAGTGGGAGCCTCATCCCTTCTAAGTTGGGGTGAGAGCTTCCTGGGTGCTGCTGCAGCCACCCAAACCTCAGCTGCAGACCTGGGCCTCCCACTCCACAGAGTAGGCAAGATCCCCACGCTCCCAGGCACAGCTGCAGCTGCCCAAACTGCAGCTGCAGACCTAGGCAACCCTGCACTCTTGGAGGCCCAGGAAGTCACCCCCACCGCCACCCTTATAGGCTTGGAAGTGCCTGCTCCACTGCCTGGCTTCTCCCTGTTGTCAGTGCCTGGTCCGATCTTGGAGCAAAGCTGGGGGGAGCCTGCGCACTATGAATGGCAGCAGGAGGCAGACAGATTCCTGGGCAGAAGGGGGTGGGTCCCTGGTGAGGTCCCACCTTCAGGCCAGGGAGGGCCTGAAAGCTGGAAGCTGGGCTCCCAGTCCTGCAGACCAGAGTGGGAGCTTGTGGTGGCTTTTCTGGGCCCATCCATGGCTGCTCACGGACCAATTGTTGCACACTTCCTCCTCTCGGAGGCCCATAAAAGCCCCAAGCTCAGCCAGAACTGAGCAGATGTTAGGACAACCAGCAGCAGAGAGAAGCTATCCACTCTAAGGCCTCCTCTATGCTGAGAGCTTCAGAGACTTGCAGAGACATTGGGACAGCCAGCTGCGGAGAGGAGCAACCCACTCCAGGGCCTCCTCTCTGCTGAGAGCTGCAGAGACAACAGGACAACCTGCCTGCAGAGAAGAACTTCCCACTCCAGAGTCTCCTCTCTGCTAGGAGGTGAACACTCATTAGGACACCCTGGCTGCGGAAAGGAGCTGCCCCCTGCGGGTCTCCTCTGAGCTGTTCTGTTGTTCAGTAAGGCTCCTCTTCATCTTGCTCACCCTCCACTTGTCTGTGTACCTCATTCTTCTTGGTCCCAGGATGAGAACTCAGGGCCCATCAAATGGCAAGACTAAAAGAGTTGTAACATAAACAGGGCAGAAACCTGCCCCCTGCTCATCATGTTGTGGGTGAACAGAATGAGACAAGAGCTGTGGCCTTTTGGGGAGCCCAGACCTGGGAGCTCCCTGAGCCAGGGATGTGACTTTCTCTTTGGGGCCCTGAGGTTCCTGGTGTCTCCAAGCTTCTGGGCACCACTGCAATCCCCAGTGCCAGCTGAGGAAGCTGCTTGTGGTGCACCTGGTCTTGCTGCAGCCTCATGGAGAGCTGGTGCTCATGCCAGCACCTGGAGCTGCTTGCCCCCTGGCTGGCATACCTGACTGTGCACAGAGGTCAGACCTCACACTTGCTCATACACTCCTTGCTGTTCCGCACCTGGCTCACCCTTGGCAGGCATGGGATCCAGGCCGGCAGCATGAGCAGAGTGCAACCTGCCAGGCCAAGTGGGCAGAATGAGCCCGGTGGGCCCAAGCAAATATCGGGCAATGGCCCCACAGCCACAGAGGTTTCCAGCCAGAAAAGCAACACCCAACAATCCTGTAACAAAACTACTCTTTGTTTTCCCCCAAAGCCTTGACATGTCAGGAAGGGCAGTAAGTAGTGGCTCTAAAATCCCTGCTGCTTCTGCATGGGTACCCTTTCCTCTCCCTCTGGAATCCCTGGAAACCAAGATTTCTGACCATATCCTGAAGGGACCTGTGCTTTTGTTTCCTTGGCCTGCTGAAATCCTATTCACCCTGCAGGGTCCAGCTCCAATCTATGAAATTCTTCCACCCCGGTCCTTTGCCTACACTGCTAAGTACGTTATTAATCTTCCAAATTCCTCTCCACAGTGCTGGGAAGAGTCGGCCTTAGCTCCTAGTAGACACTTATTAAGTATGTGCCAAATGGAAGCAAACTAATGGGCTAACAGACCCCCCTCAACCCCAGGACCTCTCACACAAACTATGGCAACATTGACAGCTCTAGGGATTGCCACAAGGAGCTTGTGCCCACACCATTATTTTAAATCAAACAAAGAGGCAGCTATTACAACATGTAAATCCACCCTTTTAGATAGAAAAGGAGGTAAAATAATGATCCAAAGTGTAATCATAGTAGATTCGTTGCCTGACACATACCACAAGTCAATATGCTGAGAGGTTGGGTTGCAGCAGAGAAAAATGTAATCCTAGGGTCACCAAACCAGGAGATGGGAGGGAACCTCAAATCCATCTCCCCAAGGAATTTGAAGTTAGGGTTTTTAAGGGGTAGTCAAACTGGTTGCTGGAATTTAGGGTCTGAGAAACATCTTAAGCAATCCTTAAACAAAAGCCTTATGAGTCTAATGTCAAAGATCCCGTCTGTAGGAGCAATGGGATGCAGACGTCAGCACCTAGTGCACCTGACTTTTAATAACAAGGAAGTAGGTTAGAGTGTAGCCTGATGAACGCTTAATTGTAACTATATTTTTGTCCAGAACTATGGACAAAATCCTTGCAGTCCTTCTCAACCCTGTAGGAATGGTTTCAAAGATAACATTGAAAAGACACAGTCATGTTTTTCCTCCTTTTAAGTGTTTTCATTCAAGTTAAATATCTAAGCATTGGCCTTGTGTGACGGCTCATGCCTGTAATCCCAGCATTTTGGGAGACCAAAGCAGGAGGTTTGCTTGTGGCCAGGAGTTAGACACCAGCCTGGGGAACATAGTGAGACCCCGATCTCTACAAAAAATTCAAAAATTAAAAATAAATTTTAAAAAGCATTTAAGTACCACTTCTGCTCTTCCAAGTCCTCCACTGGTTCCCAGCTTGGCAACTTCAAGGTACCGTTTGATCCCAACTTTAACAGGGGCCACCTCCCTCTTTGTCAAACTTCAAAGAGTAGGATGTAGGAAAAAGCAAACATTTTTTTTTTTTTTTTTTTTGCCAAAATTCTTTCTTTGAAATTTGTTTTTCTGTGATGTCTGGGAATTTCTAGTGAGAAACGATAAAGTAAAATAAGACAATCTCACTCCAGCCTTTGCCTTCAAACCCCCACTTCATCACCTGTGTTTCTGCATCACCCCCAAACAGCTAGTGCTGTGTTCTGACCTTTTCTTTCTCTGCATTCCTACCCTGGCACCAGCTGCAAACAGAGTCAGACATTGCCCCTGTAGGCCTTAAAAACTGATGAACAAAGATAGCCAGATGCTCTCTTCTATTGTGAGGAAATGGGGTGGGGGCATTTTTCCCTGGCAGAGACTCTCAAGTATGTTACCTTCCACTTTGAGCCATAATCACCATCATTCCCAACAACAAAACGGTAGTTCCCCCCACACAAAGTCACTGTGCTGCAAGGACCCTGTCTCCCTTAACGCTGCAAGCCAGTGGCCTATGTCTGCTGGCTCACAGGGACCCCTGGCATCGAATGTCTTACCCAGGGAGATAGTACCCTGTGGTGGGAGCAAAAGTCACCTCTTTTTTTTTTAAATTTATTTTTATTTTACTTTAAGCTCTGGGATACATGTGCAAAACATGCAGGTTTGTTACATAGGTATACATGTGCCATGGTGGTTTGCTGCACCCATCAACCCATCATCTAGGTTTTAAGCCACACATACATTAAGTATTTGTCCTAATGTTCTCTCTCCCCTTGCCCCACAACCCTTGACAGGCCCCAGTGTGTGATGTTCCCCTCCCTGTGTCCATGCGTTCTCATTGTTCAACTCCCACTTATAAGTGAGAACACGTGGCGTTTGGTTTTCTGTTCCTGTGTTAGTTTGCTGAGAATGATGGCTTCCAGCTTCATCCATGTCCCTGCAAAGGGCATGAACGCACCCATTTTTAGGGCTGCATAGTATTCCATGGCATATATGTGCCACATTTTCTTTATCCAGTCTATCATTGATGGGCAAAAAATCACCTTTTTGCTCCTGGCAACCTTTGCCCAGAGCATTCTGGTTTGTCTTTGTGTGTAACAACTCAAGGGAGATGGCTTTTTGTCCCGAGATAGCACTTTCAATATGATGGTGCTTATGTGGTACTCAAGTAAGCACAACATAAACAGTATTGCTGAGAAGGACAGTTCACGTTTATGTTTTAATTTGGTGGAGTATTATTGTTTCTTTGTCATTTGGTTGAATCACCATCTTTGGCTATTTTAGGAAAGAACAGAAAGGGAGCAGTTTTCTGATCCACCTGACAAATTCTGGGCCTGCACTCTCCCTTGGAGTCCACAGGATTTAATTTAAAGAGCCAGAAGACTAAGTTTAAATAGAAAAGGATATTTTGAAAAAAGGCAAAGTGAGACTGTTTTTTTAAATGAAACCTGAAAACGTACCTTGAAAGAGATTCCATGACTAAAGCCGCCTAAGGGAGTTTATTAAATGATTATTCTTTGATTCTTTGTTTCATTTTTGTCTTGGGTAAGAGCAATCCAGGTTTCTCTTCAGAATATGATTTTTTTTTTGACGGAGTCTCCCTCTGTAGCTCAGGCTGGAGTGCAGTAGCATGATCTCGGTTCACTGTAATCTCTGCCTCTCGGGTTCAAGCAATTCTCCTGGCTCAGCCTCCTGAGTAGCTGGGATTACGGGCGCCTACCACCATGCCCGGCTAATTTTGTATTTTTAGCAGAGACAGGGTTCCACCATGTTGGCCAAGCTGGTCTCAAACTCCTGACCTCAAGTGATCCACCTGCCTCAGCCTCTCAAAGTGCTGGGGTTACAGGCGTGAGCTATTGTGCCCAGCCAGAATATGATTTTTGATACCATTATTAGTTGGACTTCATATTCTCTTTCACCATCAGCAAGCAATTTTGTTTTCTATATAGTTATAATTTATTTACAAACAGAAGGTGTTTTATGGAGACCTTTGTTTACCAAGCATAGCTCAAGAGTACACTGTATTTCTGGAATTCTCTCGTCTTCCTTTGAAGACCTACCTAAGAAGTCTACACTGATGGATGTGTGAAAGACTTCAAGTTTCTTAATATGGCTCATTACTTTCATGAGAAGAAAAGGTTACTATAGACTTAGTTAAAGCAAGAAAAAGGCTTTCTATTGGAGTGGTCATTTCACAGTTTTATATCAAAATTATTTTATTTTAAAGGGAATTACAGGTAAACCTCACAAGGCTGGGCACAGTGGCTCATGTCTGTAATCCCAGCACTTTGGGAGGCCAAGGTCAGAGGATTACTTGAGGCCAGGAGTTTGAAACCAGCCTGGGCAACATAGCAAGACCTGTCTCTACAAAAAATTAGCTGGGCATGGGTGGTGCACACCTGTAATCCCAGCTAGTCGGGTAGCTGAGGCAGGAGGACCACTTGAGCCCAGGATTTTGGGACTGCAGTGAACTATGATTGTGCCACTGCAGTCCAGCGTAGACAACAGAGAAACCCATCTCTGAAATATAGAACAAACTACAACAAAACAACAACAACAAAATCACATGAACATGGAATTTTCTTTGTGAACGCTTACTGACTTGGTTTCTAAAGGGCAGTGGAGTTATTTGTCTGTACCTGATTCAACAATATCCATCTTAAAATTCATGAAGATCCAATTAAAATGCCCCTTATTCCCTCCTGAACCCCCTTCACCCTCTGCCACACACAGATATTAAATTGTGACATCCCCCAGCACAACAGCATGTGCCCCCAATCTATTCCAATCTATCATAATCCTTTGTGTACAGTCCCAAGTCACCTAGTAGACGATGTGTTCTTTGAGTGCAGGGACTATGTTGTATTCTTCTTTATTTTATTTTTTTATTTTTTTGAGATAGAATTTCTCTTTTGTAGCCCGCCCAGGCTGGAGTGCAATGATGCAATCTCGGCTCACTGCAACCTCCGCCTCCCGGTTCAAGCAATTCTTCTGCCTCAGCCTCCCAAGTAGCTGGGATTACAGGCATATGCCACCATGCCTGGCTAATTTTTGTATTTTTAGTAGAGATGGGGTTTCGCCATGTTGGTCAGGCTGGTCTCGAACTCCTGACCTCAGGAGATCGACCCACCTCGGGCTTCTAAACTGCTGGAATTACAGGCATGAGTCACCATGCCTGGCCAAATGTCATACTCTTCTATTTTGCATCTTCCACTGAACCTATGACTGTGGCTGGTACATCCGAAAAGAAATTAAATACCTGCTGGATTTAACTTATTTCAATGTCTCCACAGAATCCCATTATCCTCATAGCACTCTTTAGAAGTTGCTATTTTCCCTCTATAGTGACAGTGTACTGTGACTGTCACTCTAGAGTTATTGCAAAAAGGAGAGAAGTTTAGGAGGGACACAGTAACACACATGACATTTGCCTTTGTTGTCTTCCTGCTATTTTTAATAAACATTTTCCCCAGGTGCCCAATTCTGCCATGGAACCCCCACCTTGGCATCTCATAAGGGCCTGCTCAGTGCCATCAGTTCCTGTGACTTTTGTATTTATTTATTTGTTTCAAATGTCTTTTATATTGACTTTTTTTTTTTTTTTTTTTGAGACAGGGTCTTGCTCTGTTGCCCAGGCTGGAGTGCAGTGGCACGATCTCAGCTCACTGCAACCTCTGTCTTCCAGGTTCAAGTGATCCTCCCATCTCAGCCTTCTGAGTAGTTGGGACTACAGTCACACACCACTACACCCAGCTAATTTTTGTAGAGATGGGATTTCTTCATGTTGCCCAGAATGGTCTCGAACTCCTGAGCTCAAGCGATCTGCCAGCCTCGGCCTCCCAGAGTGCTGGGATTACAGGCATGAGCCACCATGCCTGGCCTATATTGACTTTTTAATGATATGTTCATTTAAGAAAAATTTAGCAATACAGATAAGCAAGATAAAAACCACCTGTGAACCTACTCCTCAGGTGGGATCATGTGGCATAACATTCCTGTCTATAAACAGAGTGAGTTTTGTTGGCTTGTTTTCTAGAATGAGGGTATCAAATAACCTCTGAACAAGGAGAGACAAAAATTCCCCTGGCAGGGATCTTCTTTGTCCTGTGACTGTCGCTTCATCCATCCTCTTAGTTTTGCACTAACACGCTTTGGTAGAAACACGTCCTGATTAGAGTTGAAGTGGATTTCTCTTTGGTTTTACAAAGCTGACCCTCCCTCCTAAACTCCTTCCCATTGACAGTAGTAAGCAGAATTTGGGGGAAGCTGAGCATGAGGGGATTGTGGGAAAACCATATGTGACCCAGCATGTGGTTGCTATTTGAAGCAACTGCAGACCTGCTCACCTCGGCACAGTGAGTTGCTTTGGGGAGCAATGGCTAGGTAGAAGAGTGCTCATTAAGAAGAGTTGTGAGGGCCAGTGCAGTGGCTTATGCCTATTATCCTGGCATTTTGGGAGGCTGAGGCAGGAGGACCACTTGAGAACAGCGGAGGATGCAGTGAGCTATGATGGCGCCACTACCCTTCAGCCTGGGTGACAGAGTGAAACACTGTCTTCAAAAAAAAAGGAGAAGGAAGAAGCAGCAGAAGAAGCAAAAGAGGAAGAGGAAGAAGAGGAAGAGGAGGAAGAAGAGGAGGAAGAAGAAGGAGGAGGAGGAGGAGAAGAAGGAGAAGAAGGAGAAGGAGAAGAAGGAGAAGGAGAAGGAGGAGAAGAAGAAGAAGAAGAAGAAGAAGAAGAAGAAGAAGAAGAAGAAGAAGAAGAAGAAGAAGAAGGAAGAAGAAGAAGAAGAAGAAGAAGAAGAAGAAGAAGAAGAAGAAGAAGAAGAAGAAGAAGAAGAAGAAGAAAGTATCCAATGTGGGTTGCATCTGAGACTCTGGGAGAAATCTAGACCGAAAGAAGAAGAAGAAGAAGAAGAAGGAGAAGGAGAAGGAGAAGGAGAAGGAGAAGGAGAAGGAGAAGAAGGAAGAAGAAGAAGAAGAAGAAGAAGAAGAAGAAGAAGAAGAAGAAGAAGAAGAAGAAGAAGAAGAAGAAGAAGAAGAAGAAGAAGAAGAAGAAGAAGAAGAAGAAGAAGAAGAAGAAGAAAGTATCCAATGTGGGTTGCATCTGAGACTCTGGGAGAAATCTAGACCGACCAGTGGGGTCATTCTAACAATGGTGGACAATGATTTTCCTTCAAACAGTAGTAGGACAGCCTTTAGCAAAGACACTGTGAGGCTGCAAGAAGCAATGAGGTGGGTGCGAGGGAGGGACTGTTGAGTCTCTAACTCCTGCTCTGCCTGGCATGGAAGCAGATGTGCATGTGTAGGAGGATGCTTGGTATTTAATAAGTTGGGTATTTAATAACTTTTTTAAAAAGGTAAAACATCATCATAATGAGGTAAGAATTATGTTTTACCATAAAAAAGTAAAATGTAATAATAAAATTAATAATAATAGGTTGGGGGATTTGAACACTTGGAGGTGGAAAGACCCCTTAAGAAGATGTTCTTTGGGATAAGAGCTAATAAAAAAAGAAAAAAGAAAAGAAAAGAAGATGTTAGTTTGCCTGGAAGTGGAGCAAGTAGGCATTCAAGCAGTCAACTCTAAATGAAGCAAGATTATATTTGTGCACCAAAGTGGAAAAGCAAGTTATACCATGTGTGATTGCACCTGCGTAAATGTGTGTGTAATTTTTTTATTGAGGGCATCACATTAACTGGTACTGATTGCTTTAGTTCAGGGAACTTCAGGCATGGAAGGCAGAGCACAAGAAAGATATTTCTGGATGAAATGGCCTTTCTGATCTTCCTCTTAAGTATGCAATGATTTCACTGATAGGTCAGGTCAGATTTAGCCCATCTCATAACTGGTTATAGAAAATCAGGAGAGGCTGAGCGCAGTGGCTCACGCCTGTAATCCCAGCATTTTGGGAGGCCAAGGCGGGTGGATCACAAGTTCAGGAGTTCGAGACCAGCCTGGCCAACATAGTGAAATCCCGTCTCTACTAAAAATACAAAAATTAGCCGGGCATGGTGGCACATGCCTGTAGTCCCAGCTACTCGGAAAGCTGAGGCAGGAGAATCACTTGAACCTGAGAGGTTGCGTGGGGAGGTTGTGGTGAGCTGGGATGGCACCACTGCACTCCAGCCTGGGCAACAGAGAAAGACTCCATCTCAAAAAAAAAAAAAAAAAAAAAAATCAGGAGAAAGCCCTAAAAAAGGTTCAGGAAACAGAAAGGAGAATTGCTGAATTCTCTTACCAGACTCCGACCTGGAGTCTGGTAAATTCTGATAGTTCTCCCAAGCCCCAAACCCCTGAAGTCTTCCCAGCCACTGCCATATGCCATTGGCTTGTTAACAGTTGCAGCCTCTTCTCAGTCACAAGTTTTTGTTTGTTTTTGCTTTTTCACTTTTGCTAACATTTAAAAACTTTTAAAATAAAAATTTCCAAACACAAACAGAAGTAGAAACAATGGTACAATGAACTCCCATGGACCCATCACTCAGCATCAAGAATTATCAGTGAGGTTCCATCTGTACCACCATCCACTCCAACAAACATTTTGAAGCAAATCCCAGACATCATATATATACACCTTAAAAGCAAGGATTCTTTTTTAACATAAACACAATACACAATACCATTAACACTTAAAAAAGTTAACAATAATCTCTTAATATCAAATATTTAATCAAAGTTCAGCTTTCTCCAATTGTCTTATAAATGTTTTTGTAATAGCCTCAAGTTTCATATGCTTATAGTGTGTTAGAATATTTTGTTTCTATCTTTAAAAATCCATCAATAAACGGGGTGTGATGCATGCCTAGAGTTCCAGCTACTTGGAAGGCTGAGGTGGGAGGATTGCTTGAGCCCAGAAGTTTGAGGCTGCAGTGACCTATGATGAATAGTCACTGCATTCCAGCCTGGGCAAAGTAGCAAGACCCCCATCTCTTAAAAACAAAAAACTCATCAATAAGTGTGCATATATTTACTATGTGGTCAGCCTTGTTTTAAGCACAATAAGGAGCTAAGTGCCCATGCTGCGGAGTGGTGAAAAATGGGATCAAATAGACAGGATAGGGCTAGACTACGGAGGATATTTAAAAACAGCAGAGGAGTTTCAACTTGATTTGGTGGACAGTGGAGAACCTCTTAAGATTTCTGAGCTTGGCGTGACAAGAGGAACTTCAGCTTCTCCGGTGAATGACATATGATAGTGACAATTCCCTTCACCTCTCACAATGCCTGACTTCCTGAAGAGTTGAAAGAGCAAGTGAGGTAATGAGTATTCTATACAAACCTCAGTTGCATTGATGGGAGTATAAAGATAGAAACTTGCCTTTATAGTCAAATGTTTTAATACAGATATTCTGCAAAGCAAGGGATATATATATATATATAAATTGAAATGAAATATAAATTATATTTCAATAATAAGACATTTTAATGAAAAGTTTTAAAATAGTAAAATAACCATATGCATAGTGTTAATATAAACAAAGAGCATTCTTTTTTTTTTGAGATGAGTCTTGCTCTGTTGCCCAGGCTGGAGTGCGGTGGTGCAATCACTTCTCACTGCAGCCTCAACCGCCTGGGCTCAAGGGATCCTCCCACCTCAGCCTCCTGAGTAGCTGGGACTACCGGTGTGCGACACCACGCCTGGCTAATTTTTTGTATTTTTTGTAGAGACGAGGTTTCGCCATGTTGTCCAGGCTGGTCTCGAACTCCTGGGCTCAAATGATCCTCCCACCCTGGACTCCTAAGTTGCTGGGATTACAGGTGTGAGCCATTGTGCCTGGCCTCAAGAGCATTCTCGATGGTCAGGAGAGACAATGTAAAAGAATATAACTTTGAAGACTTAGAAAGTGAGTGTTTTTCTGACATCTTCTAAATATACATCGTGAGTTTTTTAATTGTATAAGTCCTAACCAATAGCCTAAGAGCTAAGTATACAGATGAATACCATATAAAGGCAATCTAAGTCTAGTTATTTTTAACTCAGTGGATTATAAAATAAACCTAAGACCTCATTAGAGGTCAAGTTTTTGCAAAGATATAAAAATTGAGCTAGAGTTGGCAGGGGCATATGTGGTAGAATTTTGAAACACTTTGTAATCCATGAGTCAGTGCCTCCGGAATGTTGGAGAAGAAAGAATGGCAGTAATCAATCCAAGAGGACCCAAAGGCATGCACTCTGTAGGCTGTTCCACGCCAATTTTAGCAAGTGCACATGTCTCCAAAATAATAGGTACTCTCCAAGTGGCGAGATGGCATCTGGATCATACAGGGTTTTGTGGTTTTTTAAAAAGTCATTTAAAATTATTGAAATTCAACTAGACCCTCCAAAATCTTCAGAAGAAAAGAACAAATTTCAAATTTTAGAAAGCAGTTTAAGAAAAAGACATAATGGGACTGAGGTTTATCAGTATACATATTATCATGATCAATCTTTAGTATTATTATATGAAACTGATGGATGTTTCATAAAAACACATGGATTCTGGGCAGCCTTCCCTACTGAAAGGCTGAGAGGTGGACCCTGGGGCAGACAGCTGGGCTCAGAGCCCAGCAGGGTGAGGATGGATGAGGATGCGCTGACCACCCTGAAGATCCTCATCATTGGCGAGAGTGGGGCGGGCAAGTCCAGCCTGCTCTTGAGTTTCACAGATAATACTTTTGATCCAGAACTTGCAGCAACAATAGCATGATGTGACTGCAAACAGTATGATAAGAATGTATGCCAGGTGAAACACAGGGATCACTGTCATAGAAGTTGCCTCAAATTCCAGTTGTCTGGAAAGCGATGTAAACTGGACCGCCCGCCACAAAAATATACTCAGTAAAATAAAGTCTATAATATGTCAAATGTGCCAAGAGAAGATAACGGTAAATATATGTCTCTTTCCCACTGTCTAAACCAGTAATTCAATGCTCTGTTCTGTATTTGCTTCTTCCAGGCAATCCAGGAATCACATCAACCTGGCTATTCACAGATGAAGGGGTAAAGAAACTGCTGTGTAGATACACAATGGAATACTCTTCAGCCATAAAGCTTCTGGAAACCCTGTCATCCGCAGCCACATGTGGAACCCTGTGCATCCACAGATGAAGGGATCAGGAAACTCTAACACATATACTGAAGGGAATAGCCTTCAGCCACCAAAATAATAAAATTATGTAGCTTGGAGCAATACAGATGAACCTGTCCATCCACAAATGAAGAGATCAAGAAACTCTAGTATGTACACAAGGCAAAACCCTTCAGCCACCAAAATCATGACATTATGTCACTTGGAGCAACACAGTTGAACCGCCGAGGATGCCTCATCCTCCACAGGCGGATAAACGCTGTGGCCGCCGCTGCTGCCTGGGTTGTGCCCTGACACCCCCACTGCTTCTCTATTTATACAACTTAATAGGGTTGCTGACCCAGCAATAACTGAACAGCTGATATGTACCTCACACTAAGCCAGATGCTTCATATGTATCTAATTTGAAAAATGCTGAGCTACTTACCTTCTTAACACCACGGAACTTCTACTTAAAAGTTTGTTTTTTAATCCTAGAGAGCTCCAAGCAAGTTTTAGGGGGCTCCCCAAAACCAGTGAAGACTTTAACTAAAAGTAGAATTTCAGAGTACTATAATTTGATTAGAAACCAAACCCCAAAATTAAATATGAAGATCAATGTCTGTACTGAACCGGCCCATCTGGTGGACACAAGATTTGTGTTATTGACTAGAATGTTACCGAAAATTCACAATTTCTGGCATCCATCGGTGTTCAGAAAATTGGATTAAGTACCAAATACAGCAGAGCACACCCAGCTTTGAGGCAAGGACCCCGTCAAGCAGTCAGGCAGCGCTTCTGTTAGGGTTCTGGGCACAAGTCTTCCCCGTCCCTCCCACCTTCTCCTGGCCTCCCTGTAAACCCGAACAGCCAGGTACCTCAATTTTCTTCAAGGCCAGGCTGTTCTTAACGTTGGCAAATTGGTCGAGGAAATGGGTGAGCCACTGCTTGCTCTGCACGTCGTCCTCAGGATGCTCGGTCTTCAGGCAGTACAGCAGCCACACGGCTTTGGCCCGCAGGAGTAAGTGGCCCATTCCTAGGCTGTCCCCCAAGATGTGTCCTCCGAAGAAGCTGGTCAGGTAGAGGGGATGCCCGCCCTATTTGTAGATGGGGAAGGAGATGCTGCTCAGGTCGAGCGTTTTGTCCACCTGCCAGGCGTACAGGAGCGGGTTGGGGGGCACGCAGAGCACCCTGTACCTCGCGCACACCTGCTGGTACTGGATCTGGCTTCCGTTTCCCCGCGCCACACGCAGATCCTGCACCGCACCGTCCAGTTTGCTGACTTCTGCAAAGATGGCCGGGTCCAGCAGTGAGTCGCTGTGGAAGACCGCCAAAAGCGAGGCGCAATTGGCCTCGGTGCTCATCCTGGAAGCCGAGAAGACGTAGGAGTCGTTGTTGGTGAAATGGCTCTGCAGGAAGCACCCAGGCCTTGGCAGGTGAAAAAGCAGCCGTGGGCCAGAGCTCCCCCTACCCAACCGTTTCCTGGAGAAATTCTAGGCGAGTCTATTTGAGCTCCGCCCCAAGCTGCCGGCGGAGGCGGCATTTGTAGCACGTGGTTGGCCCCAGTCGCCTGACGAATATGGAAGGTGTTTGTGGCCTGGTTGACCTCTCAGGGGTTCGGCAAATACAAGGATCGCTTTTTCAAGGCCATCAAATGCGTACCTATCCTACGGGACTCGCAATTTATTGGGAGAATTTGGGGGTTTCTCCTACACACACAAATGGCACAGAAATTCCACGTGTCCTGAGAAACAGATTTTACCTTTCCTGGTGTTCACCCTGTAGCAGTTTCAGGTAAGGCTTTTGTGAACCTGATGCACTTGACTTATTGTTTTTATTCTCTGTCCACAAATGTAACATGAACATACATTCTCCTAGTAAAAACAAGTAAACGCATAGAATGAAAAGTGGAAAAAAGAAATCAAAACCTTTCTATCCCATTCCTCTTAAAGGAAGTGTTAAAAAGTGGGTCTACATCCTCACAAACCCTTTCTATGCATATACATGCATATCAAAGATATAGCAAATATACCTTTTCCATAAATATTGTTGAGCTATTTGTGCTATGCAGATTACATTTTTCATCTACAGTGGCAGAGGGTTTGAACATGTCAGTGCATATAGACTTATTTATTTATTTATTTTTGAGGCAGATTCTTGCTCTGTAGCCCAGGCTTGAGTGCAGTGGTGCGATCTTGGCTCACTGCAACCTCTACCTCCCCAGTTCAAGCAATTCTCCTGCCTCAGCTTCCCAAGTAGCTGGGATTACAGGCATGCGCCACCATGCCTGGCTAATTTTTGTATTTTTAGTAGAGATGGGAGTTTCACCATGTTGGCCAGGCTAGTCTCGAATTCCTGACCTCAAGCGATCCACCTGCCTCGGCCTCCCAAAGTGCTGGGATTACAGGCATGAGCCACACCACGCCCGGCCTTATCTTATTTTTTTGAACTGCTCTATACTTTTCCAATGTGTGGATGAAACATAATACAGCAAGAATTTTGTTGATGGACCCATAGATTGTTTAGATGTTTGCTTTTATAAACAGCATTCAGTGAGTGAATGTCTTTTATTTAACCTATACTGAGGAACCATATCTGCGAGATAGTTTTTTAGAGTGGATTCACTAGGCCAAAGGAAAGGTTATTTAAAATTTTTAGAACTATTGAGAAATTAAAATCCAAAAAAGTTGTATTAATTTGTACCCTCATAAGCAATATATAAATTTACCATAGCCTATCCCACAATGTCGGCAAAGCATTTGGTTTGTGCCATTGGTATCTTACTTTGGTTTAATTTTGAATTTATTGCTTAGTATCCTTATCTTTCCTTTTGAGTGAACTATCATATCTTTTGTGTGCGTGATCCATTCGATAGTTTTCCTATTGGATTGTTGGGATTTTCTTCTTTGTTTATAGGAACGATTCATATGTTAAAGAAATGACCACTTTTCTTGTGATCAGAGTTACAAGGGTCCTCCCCACCCACCTGCATTTTGCTCATTGCCATGGATTATTATCATTATTATTTTTTTGAGATGGAATCTTGCTCTGTCACCCAGGCTGGAGTGCAGTGGCGCCATCTCAGCTCACTGCAAGCTCCACCTCCCGGGTTCATGCCATTCTCCTACCTCAGCCTCCTGAGTAGCTGGGACTACAGGTGCCCACCACCACGCCCAACTAATTTTTTCTATTTTTAGTACAGACGGGGTTTCACTGTGTTAGCCAGGATGGTCTCGATCTCCAGAACTCTTGATCTGCCAGCCTCGGCCTCCCAAAGTGCTGGGATTACAGGCGTGAGCCACAGCGCCCATCCTTGCCATGGCTTAGTTTTGTAGTTCATTAATGAATACTTTTCTTCCCTGAGATCCAAGTTTTTGTCATATTTGTGTGTGTGTGTGTGTGATTAAAAAAAACCCACATGGATTCTAATCACGAAAAATGCAGAAAATAGCGTAAGGACTATTTCCGAAGATTTTGTCTTGTTTTTTGGTGGTTCACCAGATGGATGCACGAGACTCAGTGACAGGGTCCTAAGATTCATTGCAGCAAAGCATACTGAGCAAAAATAGCAGGGAATGTGCAAACAGAGGAGTCCAGGGAGGGTCCTGGGAGGCCCAGCATAGGCCTCTGATTTCCTTCCTCATTCACAGCCACACAGGAGCACTTTCTCTCTGGTAGAGCTATCTGGTATATATGAGTCTCAGAATCTGAGGGCTTTGTAGCAGGTGGGTCACAAAGGTACCTCCTGCTATACAACCAGTCATGGCAACTAACACTCAAGATCCCAGTAAAAAAACCCAAGTGTCTTGATATTTGTGCCAAGAACCCAACAAACCAGTACAGTGTGGCCCATTGCTCCAAGTATATGTAGCAAAACCATCAATCATAGCCAGGTGCATTGGCTCTCACCTGTAATACTAAAACTTCGTGAGACTGAGGCAGGAGGATCACTTGAGTCCAGGAGTTTGAGACCAGCCTGGGAGCCATAATGAGACCCTGTCTCTGTGAAAACAAAATTAAAAATTAGCTGGGCATGATGTTGCATGCCTGTAGTCCTAGCTACTCAGGAGGCTGAGGTGGGGGAATTACTTGAGCCCAGGAGATCAAGGCTGCAGTGAGCTATGATCACACCACTGCACTCCAGCCTGGGTGATAGAGTGAGACTGTCCCAAAAAGAAACAAAAACTATCAGTCACTACCATAAAGAACATTTCAGGAGCCATATTCCCAGTTGCTGGCAAAGAGTCAATCATGGTGTCCTTGGAGACATGTAAGGACTAAGCATACAGACCTGTTGTGGTATTAGTTTGGTGCAAAAGTAATTGCAGTTCTTTGCCATTACTTTCAATAACTCTTTCATTAGGGATATTCTGGAATGAACCAAAGGCAGCAAGCTTGCAAGATGGTATTACTCCAGAGAGTGTGCCCAGTATGCCCTACCAGCCTGCCTTTCCCCATGTTTCTCCCTATGCCTACTTCCTCTCCTGTCCTTGTTTCCAGATCCCATATACCTTTCAAGCTCCCAAAACTTTGGGACAAACTCCCAAGACTCTCATGCCCAGCTGGTAGCCATCACTTGTACAGTCAGGACTGGCTACGCAATTTGTAGGATCTGGTACAAAATGAAAATACCCAGTTCCTTGTTAAAAAATTATTAAAGAACTTCGGGATAGTGACAATAAAGCATTAAACCAAGAGTAAGGCCCTCCCTCGAGCAGGTCACAGCTACACAGGTTGCAAAAGCCTGAGGCCAGCCCCGATTTTTTTCTTTCATATTCTGTCACCGAGGCTGGAGTGCAGTGGCTCCATCGCTGCTCACTGCAACCTCGACCTCCCAGGCTCCAGCAATCCTTGGGACTTGGAGAAGCTGGAATACCACCACACCTGGCTAATTTTTGTATTTTTTGTAGAGACGGGTCTCACTATATTACCCAGGCTGGTCTCCAACTCCTAGGCTCAAGTGATCCTCCTACCTTGGCCTCCCTAAGTGCTGGGATTACAGGTGTGAGCCAATGCGACTGGCCTTGTAGTGAGTTTTCACTGGCGTATGTAAGACAGCTACAGGGAATTGGAAAGTACCCCACTCACCTTCAACTCAGATCACTCCTAGCTCTACTCCATTGACAAGGTGACCTTGGAAAGTCACCTTGCCTCCAGACTCCATTTCCTCCTCAATAAAACAGGAATGATAATGATAGCATGTTTATGGGGCAATTGTGAATGTTGAAAGAGATATATACATGAAAACGCTTTGTAAAGTAAAGCACTATGCAAATATTAGCTTTCTCTCTGGGGCTATGTCCATCTAGATAACAAACACTGGTCTATTATTTTCTCTCCCTTGGACAGTGCTGGAGGCACACTAACAGATACTTTTCTTTGTTGTTGTGAGTTCGCTCTTGTCACCCAGGCTGGAATACAGTAGCGCAATCTCGGCTCACTGCAAACTCCACCTCCCGGGTTCAAGCAATTCTCATGCCTCAGCTTCCTGAATAGCTGGAATTACAGGTGCCAGCCACCATGCCCAGCTAATTTTTGTATTTTTAGGAGAGATGGGGTTTCACCATGTTGCCCATGCTGGTCTTGAACTCCTGAGGTCAGGTGATCCACCCACCTCAGCCTACCAAAGTGCTGGGATTATAGGCATGAGCCGCCGCGCCCGGCCAATACTTTTCTTTTTCACCCTTTCTCCCCAGACATGAATGCTTTTGTTATTATAGTAGTACAACATAACCTCATATTATGTTTCCCCAATTACAAAATGTAGTTATACTTACAGTTGTTATTATGGGGGAGACTAATTTGTGTCAGGTTGAGTAACTTCTATGGATGGCTAATCTTATGCACTTTATGTTTTATTCCAATTCAACTTCGGAGGATGTCATTTTCAAAACTTGTCCCTAAATTGTCACTTTGTCACACCATGTAATACTGTGGTCACCTCTCTACAGAATATACTTTGTGCTTGTTAATTTCTCACCTTCCTAACTGCTGCTATGTGCACATAAAGATCCTGATAAATATTTGCTAAATAAATGAATTGGCAAATGAATAAATAAAGAAAGAAAGAGAAGGTCATAGTCTGGATACACAAAAGGATTAAATGACGAAACTGGTTTATGATCACCAAACATAATTTCTTTAATGTCAGAAATAGTAGTTCTCTTAGTTGCTACCTAAAGACTTCAAACACACAGAAATGCATCCCAGATCATTGCAGCACTGGATCCAGAGAAGACGAGGTCCTGGTGGGGCAGACATGGAATAGGGTGGAGCTAGGTGAGCCACTGATTGGCCCACATGCATCACTATTCCCTGAATGGAAATAGTGCTCCAGCCTTGGGGTTCGGGGTCTGTTCCAATATATTCAAAGGGGTCATCCCCAGGCCGGATTAGGGGCTCAAGGTCACTCCAGGAAGGGCCAGCCCAGAAGTCTGTGGTCCTTCCACTTCCTGACTGACTTTCCTCTTTACAGAGCCCTCTTTCTTCTTCCTTCCACTACATAACCAACACACAATCAGGGCCACTGCTGATCCCTCCTAGACCAATTTCAATCCATGAGTCATCTCTAGGACTGACCCCATTCCCATGCAACACTCAGGAGTTGAGCTGATCCTCTTAGAAGTATAGTCCTTGATACATAGTCCTTGATTCTGAAAGACTAGTCTAGCTTTTAGAGGTGGCTTAAAGGAAAGAAACAAATGTTTTTCATTCCCAAACTTCTAGTTCCTATATATATTTGGGCCAGGTGTGTAAGAGAGACTCACTAAATGTGTGTTGACAAGCTGAATAGAGTTTCCACTCTGATCGACTCAGAAATGAAGAGCTCACAATTCAGAATGTGTCTGTGACCCCCAGATAAGTCTCTTGGCCTGCACAGCTGGAGACTACCCAAGAAATTCCAATAAAATAAATTGCTTGCCTGAAAAATGGAAGTGTTCCATTTTTAATGTTGTAAAAGAAACAAGTAAATGCCTCAGAGCCTACAGCCTTTAGGATGGCTAAGAAATCCAACATCATAATGACATTAAGGCTTTAAATGAGAATTGAGACGTCTCTGCAAAGTTTTTGAGTTAAAATTTTTATTGCTTGTGTTCCCGGGATCCTTAGATAACAGAGTTAAAATAATTAAAGTGTGGTTATGGCAACCCTGCCAGCTTTCATGGTTTTGGAGATTGCTATGATTTGAGTATGGTTTGAGTTTATTTCCCCCAAAAACTCATGTTGAAATTTGATCTCCAAGGTGGCAGCGTTGGGAGGTGAGTTTAGTGGGAGGTATTTGGGCCATGGGGGTGGATCCCTCATGAATGGCTTGGTGCTGTTCTCATGGTAGTGAGTGAGTTCTTGAATTAGTCTTGGATTAGGTCTCTTGGGAATGGGTTAGTTCTCAGAAGGGCAGGTTGTTATAAAGCCAGGACATTCCTCAGGCTTTGCCTTTCTTCACACGTGTCCACTTCACCTTTGACCTTTCCACATTGTTGCTTGTTTTTTTGTTTCTTGTTTTTTTCTTTTGAGACAGAGTCTTGCTCTGTCACCAGGCTGGAGTGCAGTGGCACTATCTTGGCTTACTGCCACCTCCGCCTCCTGGGCTCAAACGATTCTCCTGCCTCAGCCTCCTGAGAAGCTGGGACTACAGGCGTATACCACCATGCCCAGCTAATTTTTTGTATATTTTTAGTAGAGACGGGGTTTCATCATGTTGGCCAGGGTAGTCTCGAACTCCTGACCTCAAATGATCTGCCCACCTTGGCCTCCCAAAGTGCTGGGATTACAAGCTTTAACTGTAGCCCCCGGCCTCTCCATCATGTTTTAGCCTACCATGAGCCCCTCAGCAGAAGCCAAGCAGATGCTGGAGCTGTGCTTCTCATACTTCCTAGCCTGCGGAATCAACTAAATAAACCTCTTTTATTTATAAATTACCCAGCCTGAGTTATTCTGTTATTGCAAAAAGAAAAGGTTAAGACATAGGTGATCCTCCTTCCTTGCCTAACACAGCCATGGCTGTGTCCCAAGAAGCATCTGAAGTGGGTAGCAGCTCCAAAGCATTGGATGCTGGATAAAGTGACCAGTGTGTTTGCTCCTTGTCCATCCAGTGGTCCCCACAAGTTGCGAGAGTGTCTCCCCCTCATCATTTTCCTAAGGAACAGACTTAAGTATGACCTGACAGGTGAGGAAGAAGATTTACATGCAGCAGTTCATTAAGATCAATGGCAAGGTCTGAACTGATATAACCTACCCTGCTGGATTCATGGATGTCATCAGCATTGACAAGATGAGAGAGAATTTCTGTCTGATCTATGACACCAAGAGTTGCTTTGATGTACATCTTATTACACCTGAAGTGGCCAAGTACAAGTTGTGCAGAGTGAGAAAAATCTTTGTGGGCACAAAAGGAATCCCTCATCTGGTGACTCATGATGCTCACACCATCCACTACCTTGATCCCCTCATCAAGGTGAATGACACCATTTAGATTGATTTGGAGACTGGCAAGATTACTGATTTCATCAAGTTTGACGCTGGTAAGCTATGTATGGTGACTGGAGGTGCTAACCTGGAAAGAATTGGTGTGATCACCAACAGAGAGAGGCACCCTGGATCATTCGACGTGGTTCGTGTGAAAGATGCCAATGGCAACAGCTTTGCCGCTCGACTTTCCAACATTTTTGTTATTGGCAAGGGCAACAAACCATGGATTTCTCTTCCCCGAGGAAAGGGTATCCACCTCACCATTGCTGAAGAGAGAGACAAAAGACTGGCGGCCAAACAGAGCAGTGGGTGAAATTGTCCCTGGGTGACATGTTAGATCTTTGTACATAATTAAAAATAACATGGCATGATTAATAGCCAAAAAAAAAAAAGACATAGGTGATCTTCAGCCTGACAGCTAAGTCCTCCTGCATCTATGTTCAGAATGCTTCAGTTATGTACTTGTTTAATTAAATAGAATAGTAAGTCAAAATGTGTTATTTGGGGGGAACTCATATTTCCTGGGAGGAGTTTTGTGAGATAAATGTTCAGCAGTTAGAGATTTTCCTTCTTGTTGCAGGGAATGGCTTTTCTCAGTTAGGCAATGATAAAACTTTCTACTATTAGGAAAGTAGAGTATAGTAACATCACGTATTTAAATGGAAAAATCAGTATAAGCTTTGGCTTTAAAAAAGATGTATATTTTCTAGCTCTATCACTCTTTTATGTGGTCCCACGGCAACAGCAGCACATTTATGTGTAACCAGCTGCAGTGATTGTTAAACTCCTATCTTCCCTGTTGTTGCATGTGACCACTGGGGACAGTAAGTCTTCCTGCCTTTTGTATGGTCTCTACAATTTCTGGGACTTTTTATCAGTATTGTATTCAACATTTTTCTTATACAGATAGATATAAGTATAAGTTGGTCTCTAATAGTATTGCCTACCAAAAAGAGAAGGACTCCTAGAGGACAGCTGATTCCATGTCTTGGGGCAAGAAAAATTAGGATGGTTTTTGGAACTTCATGTCTTGCCAAAAAGCAAGAATGTCTTTAAGGATGCCAGAGCAATGCTATAGGGCAAAGCAATTTGCTTAAATGGTTTCCCATCATGAACAATAACCGTTACTGTTAATAAATTAATTAGAACAAATCAAATCTATAAAAGGCCAAGGGTTTATGATACCTGAAAAGGGAACATTAGCATAAATTATACAAAAGGTAATGTACTGAAAAAGAAGAATGATTATAAGAAAATATGTTTTATTTGTATTGATTTTAATAAATAAAAGAGGAAGTATGTGTGTTTTCTTTCTTTAAGTTTTTACCTATTTATCGAGTATGGATTATAATTCTTTCTATCTGTATAAGAAAAATGTGGAATACAACACTGTTAAAAAGTCCTAGAAATTGTAGAGACTATACAAAAGACAGGAAGAATTACTGTCCCCAGTGGTCACACACAACAACAGGGAAGATAGGAGTTTAACAATCACTGCAGCTGGTTCCACATAAGATGCGAAAAAGAGTTCAATAGAGTTAAATGTGCCAAATGTGTTAGAGAGGAAAGCTAACTGTGCATCTCCTAGGTAATTAAACTTCTTGATAGTCCTACTGGTGATAGTGAAATACAACAAGAAATGAACACGGTTTTAATATGAAAACAGACCAGGTGAATATATAATAGCAGAACATGTTATCTAACACTAGCCAACCAGGACTATAAAGAAAAAGTAAATGATTTGGATTTTTGCTTGTTTTGTGTTTTAGAGACAGGGTCTTACTCTAACGCCCAGACTGGAGTGCAGTAGGGCGATCTTAGCTCACTGCAGCCTCCAATTCCTGGGCTCAGTTGATTCTCCCACCTCAGCATCTCAAAGTGCTGGGATTGCAGCCATAAAGAAGAATGAGTTCATGTCCTTTGCAGGGACATGGATGAACCTGGAAACCATCATTCTCAGTAAACTAACACAGGAACAGAAAACCAAACACCACATGTTCTCACTCATAAGTGGGAGTTGAACAATGAGAACACATAGACACAGGGAGGGGAACATCAGACACTGGGGCCTGTTGGGGGGTGGGGGACAAGGGGAGGAAGAGCATTAGGACAAATACCTGATGCATATGGGGCTTAAAACCTAGGTGACAGGATGCCACAAACCACCATAGCACATGTATACATATGTAACAGACCTGCAAATTCTGCACATGTATCCCAGAACTTAAAAAAAAAAAAAAGAAAGAAAAAGTGCTGGGATTACAGACATGAGTCTTCGTGCCCTGCTCAAAGTAAACTATTTTGAAGGAAGATAGCAAGTTGCAAAAAATAAAACATAGGCTAAAAATGATCTGAAAAGTTTTACTGAGATGATAAGTGGAGCTTTACTGTAAACAAGAAGTTCAGCCCCCATGACCAGGGATCAAATTTGACTCACCTAAGAAGCCCTCAAGTCCTGTGCTCTAATGAATAATCTTTGATAAGCCACATCTTACAACCTTGGAGTATTTTTCTTTTGAGTCTGGTAAGATTACTGCAATCCTGGGAATGTATCAAAAAAATTGTTATGAAAACTCAAGATATTATTAAAATAAAAATAACTATAACCCAAAAAAGGTATAAAAACAACTACAAACATAATAAATTTAGCCTGTTATTCTGATGTCTCAAAAATAATTTAGGTATAATAATACATTTTATTATCATTTGTATGTTTTATTTACCATCTGAAGTGTTTGAAATGTCTTAGAAATCAACCATACTAATAAATATATTTGTAATTACAGTTTAAAATTGTTTGGGGAAATGTAATTAATTAAATTTAATTCTTAAATGTTCAAGAAAATTTAGCTTTCAAATATTAGATATATGAGGCTTAATAATCTGAGCATTAAACAAAGTACAAATAGCTAGGAGTATTCTTCTCCATGTCCCAAAGCCCCTGGTCATTGAAGAATGTACCCAACAATTCAGAGGGATAATGATATGGTTAGGC
This sequence comes from Homo sapiens, assembly GCF_000001405.40. Taxonomy (NCBI): domain Eukaryota; kingdom Metazoa; phylum Chordata; class Mammalia; order Primates; family Hominidae; genus Homo; species Homo sapiens. The sequence continues at coordinate 32,099,836 of NC_000010.11, read as the reverse complement.
TTTATGTCCCCACCCAAATCTCATCTTGAGTTGTAATCCCCATAATCCCCACGTGTCAAGGGCAGGACCAGGTGAGGTAATTGGATCATGGGGGTGGTTTCCCGCCTGCTGTTCTTGTGATAGTGAGTGAGTTCTCATGAGATCTGATGGTTTTATAAGTGTCTGGCAGTTCCCCTGCTTGCACTTACTCTGTTCTGCCACCCTGTGAAGAAGGTCCTGCTTCTCCTTTGCCTTCCACCATGATTGTAAATTTCCTGAGGCCTCCCCAGCAATGCAGAACTGTGAATCAATTAAATCTCTTTCCTTTATTAAATTACCCAGTCTCAGGTATTTTTTCATAGTAGTGTGAGAATGGACTAATACAGTAAATTTGTACCAAGGTAGTGGGGCACTGCTATAAAGATACCTGAAAATGTGGAAGCAAATTTGGAAGTAGGTAACAGGCAGAGGCTGAAACAGTTTGGAAGGTTCAGAATAAGACAGGGAGATGTGGGAAAACTTAGAACTTCCTAGAGACTTGTTGAATGAATGGTTTTGACCAAAATGTTAATAGTGATGTGGACAATGAAGTCCAGGCTGAGGCTGTCTCAAATGTAGATTAGGAACTTATTAGGAACTGGAGCAAAGGTGACTCTTGCTATGCTTTAGCAAAGAGACTGATGGCATTTTGCCCCTGCCCTAGAGCTCTGTGGAACTTTGAACTTGAGAGAGATGATTCAGGGTATCTGGCAGAAGAAATTTCTAGGCAGCAAAGTGTTCAAGATGTGACTTGGGTGCTCTTAAAAGCATTCAGTTTTATGCATCTGCAACGAGATGGTTTGGAATTGGAACTTATGTTTAAAAGGGAAGCCAAGCATAACAGTTTGACAAATTTGCAGCCTGACAAAGCAATAGAAAAGAAAAACCCATTTTCTGAGGAGAAATTCAAGCCCACTGCAGAAATTTGCTTAAGTAATGAGGAGCCAAATGTTAATCTCCAAGACAATGGGGAAAATGTTTTCAGGGCATGTCAGAGGTCTTCTTGGCAGCCCCTCTCATCACAGGCCCAGAAGCTTAGGAGGAAAAAATGGTTTCGTGGGCCGGGCCCAGGGCTCTGCTGCTTTGCGCAGTCTTGGGACTTGGTGCCCTGCATTCCAGCTATGGCTAAAAGGGGCTAAGGTAAAGCTCAGGATGTTGCTTCAGAGGATGCAAGCCCCAAGCCTTGGTGGCTTACATGTGGTGTTGGGCCTGTGGGTGTACTGAAGTCAAGAACTGAGGTTGGGAAACCTCTGTCTAGATTTCAGAGGATGTATGGAAATGCTTGGATATCTAGGCAGAAGTTTGCAGCAAGGGCAGAGCCCTCATGGAGAACCTCTGCTAGTGCAGTGTGGAAGGGAAATATGGGGTCAGAGCCCCCACACAGAGTCCCTACTGAGGCACTGCCTAGTGTTGCTGTGAGAAGAGGGCCACTGTCCTCCAGATGCCAGAATGGTAGATCCATCAGCAGCTTGTACCATGCGCCTGGAAAAGCCACAGACACTCAACACCAGCCTGTGAAAGCAGCTGGGAGGGGGGCTGTACCCTGCAAAGCCACAGGGGTGGAGCTGCCCAAGACCATGGGAACCCACCTCTTGCATCAGCATGACCTGGATGTGAGACATGGAGTCAAAGGAGATGATTTTGGAGCTTTAAGATTTGACTGCCCCACTGGATTTTGGACTTGCATTGGCCCTCTAACCCCTTCATTTTTGCCAATTTCTCCCATTTGGAATGAGTTTCTCCCATTTACCCAATGCTTGTACCCCCATTGTATCTAGGAAGTAACTAACTAGCTTTTAATTTTACAGGCTCATAGGTAGAAGGGAATTGCCTTGTCTCAGATGAGGCTTTGGACTTGGACTTGGGTTAATGTTGGAATGAATGAAGACTTTGGGGTACTGTTGGGAAGGTATGATTGGTTTTGAAATGTGAAAAGGATATGAGGTTTGGGAGAGGCCAGGGGTGGAATGATCTGGTTAGACTCTGTGTCCCCACCCAAATCTCATCTTGAATTGTAATCTCCATAATCCCCATGTATCAAGGGCAGGACCAGGTGGAGGTAATTGAATCATGGGGACAGTTTCCCCCATGCTGTTCTCGTTATAGTGAGTGAATTCTCACAAGATCTGATGGTTTTATAAGCATTTGGCATTTCCCCTGCATGCACTCCCTGCCACCCTGTGAAGGAAGTGCCTGCCTCTCTTTTGCCTTCTGCCATGATTGTAAGTTTCCTGAGGCTTTCCCAGCAATGCAGAACTGTGAGTCAATTAAACCTCTTTCCTTTATAAATTACCCAATTTGAGGTATTTCTTCATAGCAGCATGATAACGGACTGATACAGGTAACGTGTAGCAAGAATAACTGGGATTGATGTCAGTACCCAATGGGAAAAGTGGAAATGAGATGGGTAGGAGTGCACAGAGAGCTTCAGTTATACCAAGTTTACAACTTAAATGGGGCTTTTGGCTGAATAGGTGCCCATAACATTACATGCTATACATTTTTTTATGTTAAAATATTTCAAAATAAAACAAATTTACAACTGTACTTGAATGAGGAGAAAATGTCCCTGATCAAAAATATGGTCTTAGTCCTAAATGATTGGCTACATTGGTTAAAATCACATTGAAAAACTTTTATATGTTGTAATCTTACCGCAAAGGCAGAATTTTACGAGTTGAAAACCATTTTAACTGGTCAAGTGAGATAAGTACATTGAAATTAGCCTTAATGTTTGATTTTAATGCCACTAACTATTAAATATATGTTCATCTATTTCATTTCTTAGATGTTCATGAAACTCTTAATTTTCCAGAAATTAAGTCACATTGCCTCTGTGGACTTTTGACTTGTGCTGTGCCTTCAAAAACTGTTTATATAAAACATTTACCGTACTAACGTAGTTCATAAGTTGGGTTAACCAAGCAAGTTAACAGTAGTAAACTATTTTTACGTTAACTTTGGGAAGCAATAGCTATCATGGAAAACAAAAATACAGCAGTAAATAAATACTCTTTTAGTGCATTGTAGTGGATTCATATCACAAAGAGAAAAGAAATATGAAAACATATATAACTAGTGCTATTCTGTACCTTATACAGCTTTGCAGTGGCTAAAGCCACCATAATATGGGCTGACAATTGTCATCAGTCTAGGTTATGTACTGGGCCATCATCAACACTGGGAAGTTTGTTACTCAGAGCCACTTAAAATGCATTCTGGTGGATCACTTGAGGTCAGGAGTTCAAAACCACCTTGGCCAACATGGGAAAACTCTGTCTCTACTAAAAATACAAAAATTAGTTGGGCGTGATGGCATGTGCCTGTAATCCCAGTTACTCAGGAGGCTGAGGCAGGAGAATTGCTTGAATCTAGGAGGCAGAGATTACAGCGAGCCAAGGTTGTGCCACTGCACTCCAGCCTGAGGGACAGAGTGAGACTCCGTCTCAAAACAAAAACAAAACACATTCTTCACAGTAGTCTGCAGAGGGAAGCTCTGTCTAGAAGGCATTGGCAGGGCTCATGTCTGAATTGAGAGCTCAAAATCTCTGGAATTGACCAAGCTAAAAGAAAGATTGTTTGTTTTCCACAGATGCTGTATTAGTCTCTTTTCACGCTGCTGATAAAGACATATCCGAGAGTGGGCAATTTACAGAAGAAAGGGGTTTAATAGACTCATAGTTCCATGTTTCTGGGGAGGCCTCACAATCATGGTGGAAGGTGAAAGTCACATCTCACATGGTGGCAGACAAGAGAAACGTGAGAGCCAAGCAAAAGGGGTTTCCTCTTATAAAACCATCAGATCTCGTGAGACTTATTCACTACCATGAACAGCCCCCATGACTCAATTATCTCCCAGTGGGTCCCTCTCACAACACAAGGGAATTATGGGAACTACAATTCGATACAAGATTTGGGTGGGGACACAGCCAAACCATATCAGATGCCAACTGAGATCTGGTGGCAGAGTGGAACCTCCAGGAATTGTGAGATGAAGGACCTGAGTGCCAAAGTGCCCATATATTTACTTATTTCGATTGTATTGATTCCAAGCAACTATACTTAATGCATCTTAATGCATTTGTACTGACACTGTGGGTCATCATTTCCATGATCAATTCTGTATTCGCTGATTCCACGCTTTCAGAAACTTCAGAAATTGATGTTTGCTATTGAGTCCAGACTGACTCTCAAAGATTTCTTTTCCTTTCTTTCCTTTTTTTTTTTTTTTTTTTTTTGAGACAAGGTCTTGCTCTTTCACCCAGGCTGGAGCACAATGATGCAATCACAGCTCACTGCAGCCTCAAACTTCTGGGCTAAGATGATCCTCCCACCTCAGTCTCCCAAAGTGCTCAAATTACAGGCATGAGCCACTGTGTCTAGCCCAAGAATTTATTACTTTTGTAACTTGTACCCTTAACTCTCTGCTTGTAATATGACCTTTTTTTGTTTGTTTTACTGCTAAACTAAACTCAAGACAATAGGGTTTGAGGACACCTCCCTTTATTGACATAGTCACTATTTGCTAAAAGTGGAAAGCAAGTAAAGAAGACAGCACAGCACTCACCACTGCAGCCAGGGGACCTCAGCCCTGCAAGGGTGCTGCAGTGGAGAGGGGCACTGCCTTATGCTCTCAAGGGGTGGGGGCCCTGGCTCCTGGCACTTGCTGGCTGTGTGACCTTCACTTAGTAATTTTACTTCTCTGGACTGCAGTTTTCTCAGTGAAAATGGATTAACAATACCTTTCTTTTTCAGAGCCAGTGTTAGGGTGAGGTGAGTGAAACCAGATCATGCAAGCAAAGCCACATTCTTTCCCTAAAATTTTGACATTTTGTTTATCATGGATTTTCTTGCAGTTATTTTTTTTATTTATTTACTTTTTTGAGACAGAGTCTTACTCTGTCGCCCAGGCTGGGGTGCAGTGGTGTGATCCCAGCTCACCGCAACCTCCACCTCCATGGTTCAAGCAATTCTCCTGCCTCAGCCTACTGAGTAGCTGGGATTACAGGCACCCACCATCATGCCTGGATAATTTTTGTATTTTTAGTAGAGATGGGGTTTCACCATGTTGGCTAGGCTGGTCTTGAACTCCTGACCTCGGCCTCCCAAAGTGCTGGGATTACAGGCATGAGCTACTGCGCCCAGCCTCTTGCAGTCATTTTAATTTTGCAAATATTGCATTAAAATATTATTTATCTTACTGAGTTTTTGGGGATCTCCCTTAATTTTGTGTCTGAGGCAAGTGCCTCACCTCCATCACCCTAGTGTGAGTTGTACCATCACCCAAGGCAGGGTTGTGGGAATAATCCTAGATTCTTCATTCTTAACCCCACCCCACGTCCAAACAATCTCCAAGTTTCATAGAATCTAGTCTCTCTCTCTCATTGCTTTCTCATTCTCTATTCCCATTTGTTTCATCTCTCATCACTCCCCTGTGAGATGACTCCAAGAGCATTTTAATTAGTCTATTCTAACTAGTCCACCTGTCTTCCTCCAATGCATTCTCCATGTCACCGCCAGTGAGGCCTTTCTAAAGGGCAAATCTGATCCCACCACTCTCTGGCTTTAAAGCCTTCAAGATGTCCTCTAGCTTTCCGGATAACCTAAATTTATTCCCACGGTCTTTCATATCCTGGTTCTGTAGTCTTGTTTCCTGCCATAACCCCACTCCCACAAGCATGGTGGTATTTCATGCTGCCAGGCCTGTGCGCATACTGTTCCCTGTCCCTGGAATGCCCTTCCCCATTTCCTTACCTAGCTGAATTATATTTCAAAGCTCAGCTCAAGGATACTTCCTCTGGGAAGATTTGGCTGCCCAGATAGTTGAACGTACATATCTAGTCTCTGTGTTCCCAAAGCACTTCATGTGTCCTCTATCATCGCTTCCATCATGTTAGACTGAATTCACTGATGCACTTGCTGTATTGCTTGCTCTCCTAGCACAGCACTAATGAGACTCAATAAATGTTTGTTGAATGACTGACAGACTGAATTACATAAAAGGACATAATAATGCACTGTACACAGTAAGTACTTGAAAGTATTATTCTGTTTCCTTTTTTGGTTTTGCACCCAGCTACTCCAACAACAGATGTATGGTTGTTGTCTTCAACAACCAGATACTTTTTAAGAACTGATACTTTTCTTAAAGGATCTCAGGGTATTTGCTGAGCCTGTCACTGCTGGTTGGAGGCTTTGATTGAAGGTACTCAATTTTACTAAACAAACTGTGCTGATCCCAGTAGTCTAAAGGATGGATAAGAACTGATTCTTGCTCTTTAAGAATATTCAATCTAATATAACTGAATGTGACAAATACTCAGTTTATGCTAACATAAGGCATTTTGCAATAAAGTACCATACAAAAGACTGTGGGGGTTATATCACTTGGACTTGAAGAATCAGTGGAGTAAGAGATGGAGACAGAAACTTCCACATGGGGGACACAGAGGCACAGAGGTGGTGAGCCATGGAATATTTGGAAATAGAAAGTAGGTCTGATGGAGTACATAAGGGGACCTGAAGAAGCAAAACTTGTAAAGACGGTTGAGAACACATTTCAGAAACCCTAAAATACCACATGGAGGAAATGTGTGCTTGACCTGAGACAATAAGAAACCATAGACGGGCCTGGCGCGTTGGTTCATACCTGTAATCCCACTGCTTTGGGAGGCCTAGGTGGGCGGATCATGAGGTCAGGAGTTCGAGACCAGTCTGGCCAACATGGAGAAACCCCGTCTCTACTAAACATACAAAAAATTAGCCAGGCATGGTGGCAGGTGCCTGTAATCCCAGGTACTTGGGAGGCTGAGGCAGGAGAATTGCTTGAACCTGGGAGATGGAGGTTGCAGTGAGCAGAAACCACGCCACTGCACTCTAGCCTGGGCAACAGAGTGAGACTCTGTCTCAAAAAAAAAAAAAAAAAAGAAAGAAAGAAACCATAGAAGGTTGTTGAGGAGTGTCATAACCAGATAATTTCCCAAAGAAAGTTTAGTCAGGTAGTATATTATCATGGATGTGTACTACATAAAAGGAATCCAGCCATTGTGAACTACTTTTATTAAAAAAATAAAAAGGCCGGGCGTGGTGGCTCATGCCTGTAATCCCAGCACTTAGGGAGGCCGAGGCGGGCAGATCACGAGGTCAGGAGATCGAGACCATCCTGGCTAACAGGATAGTTTAGTAGAGACCCCATCTCTACTAAAAATAGAGAAAATTGGCTGGGCGTGGTGGCGGGCATCTGTAGTCCCAGCTGCTCGGGAGGCTGAGGCAGGAGAATAGCGTGAACCCAGGAGGCGGAGCTTGCGGTGAGCCGAGATGGCGCAACTGCACTGCAGCCTGGGCAACAGAGCAGACTCTGTCTCAAAAAAAAAAAGAAAAAAAAAAAAATTGGCTGGTCACTGTGGCTCACGCCTGTAATCCCAGCACTTTGGGAGGCCGAGGGGGGAGGATCATGAGGTCAGGAGTTCGAGACCAGCCTGGCCAATATGGTGAAACCCCATCTCTACTAAAAATGCAAAAATTAGCCAGGTGTGGTGACACACGCCTGTAGTCCCAGCTATTGGGGAGGCTGAAGCAGAAGAATCGCTTGAACCCAGGAGGCGGAGGTTGCAGTAAGCCAAGATCATGTCATTGTACTCTAGCCTGGGTGACAGAGGAAGACTCTGTCTCAAAAAAAAACCCTCCCAAATACATTGAGAACTGTACCCCTCATTCAAAGACCAAATTAATTAACCTTGAATGTCAATGGTCTTAATGCTCCACTTAAAAGGCACAGAGTGGCCAGGCGTGGTGGCTCATGCCTGTAATCCCAGCAATTTGGGAGGCCGAGGTGGGTGGATCACCTGAGGTCGGGAGTTAGAGACCAGCCTGACCAACATGGAGAAACCCCGTCTCTACTAATAATACAAAAAATTAGCTGGGCGTGGTGGCACTTGCCTGTAATCCCAGCTACTCGGGAGGCTGAGGCAGGAGAATCGCTTGAACCTGGGAGGCGGAGGTTGCAGTGAGCCGAGATCGCGTCATTGCACTCCAGCCTGGGCATTAAGAGCAAAACTCTGTCTCGAAAAAAAAAAAAAAAAGGCGCAGAGTGGCAAGTTGAATAAAAAAACAAGACCCATTCATCTGCTGTCTTCAACAGACCCATCTCACCATAACAACATTCATAGACTCAAGATAAAGGGTTGGAGAAAGAACTATTACACAAATATAGAACAAAAAAGAGCAGGGGTTGCTAGTCTCATATCAGATAAAATAGACTTTAAACTAACTGTAAAAAAGGACAAAGAAGGACACCACATAATGATAAAGTGTTCAATCCAACAAGGTGACTTAACTATCCTAAATACATATGCATCCAACATTGGAGCACCCAGATTCATAGAACAAGCACTTTTTGACTTACAAGAAGACTTAGACAGCTATACAATAATGGCAGGGGACTTCAACACTCTGCTGACAGTGTTAGACAGATCACTGAGGCAGAAAGCTGGCAAAGAAATCCTGTACTTAAATTTAACACTTGTCCAGTTGGACCAAATAGACACACTCCACCCATCAACTACAGAATGTACATTCTTCTCATGAGCACATAGAACATAGTCCAAGATCAACCACATGCACAGCCATAAAACAAGTCTCAATAAATTCAAAAACACTGAAATCATAGCAATCATACATTCAGACCACAGTGGGATAAAATTATAAATCAATAACCAGGAGATCCCTCAAAACCACAGAATTAAATGAAAATTAAACAACTTGCTCCTGAATAACTTTTGAGTAAACAATGAAATTAAGAAGAAATTTCAAAATTATTTGAAATAAATGAAAATAGAGACACAACATACCAAAATCTCTGGGATAGAGCTAAAGCAGTGTTAACAGGAAAGTTTACAATGCTAAACACCTACATCAAGAATTTAGAAATATCTCAAATTAATAATCTAACATAGCACCTAGGGAAACTAGAAAAATAAGAATGAACAAACCCCAGAGCTAGCAGAAGAAAATAAATCAGAACAGAGTGAAATTGAGACCCAAAAATTTATATAAAGGCTCAACAAAACCAAAAGCAGTTTCTTTGAAAGAATTGAGGTTGATAGACTGCTACTAGATTAACGAAGAAAAGAGAGAGAAGAACCAAAAAAATACAATCAGAAACAACAAAAATGACATTACAACTGATCCCACAGAAAATACAAAAGGTCCTTAGGCAAGATTATGAACACCTCTATGCACATAAACTAGAAAGTCTACAGGAGATGGATAATTTCCTAGAAACACATAAACTCCCAAGACTGAATCAGGAAGAAATAGAAACCCTGAACATACCAATATCAAGTTCTGAAATTGAATTAGTAATTAGAAAGAAACCTACCAACCAAAAAGAGCCTTGGACCAGGTGGATTCATAGCTGAATTCTACCAGACGTACAAAGAAGAGCTTAGTACCAATCCTATTGAGACTATTTCAAAAAGTAGAGGAGAAAGGACTCTTTCTTAACTCATTCTGCAAAGCCAGCATCACTCTGATACCAAAATCCGGCAAAGACACAACAAAAAAAGAAAACTACAGGCCAATCTCCCTGATGAACATAGACACAAAAATCCTCCACAAAATTCTGTAAACCGAATCCAGCAGCCCATCAAAAAATCAATTCCCTATAATCAAGTAGGCTTTATTCCTGGGATGCAGGGCTGGTTCAACATACACAGATCAACACATATGATTCATCACATAAACAGAGTTAAAAATAAAGGCCGGGCCGATGGCTCACACCTGTAAAAAACAAAAACAAAACAAAAAACCATATGATCATCTCAGTCAATAGGTGCAGAAAAAGCTTTTGATAAAATCCCAAATGCTTTCGTGATGAAAACTCTCAATAAACTAGGCACTGAAGGAACATACCTCGAAATAATAAGAACTATCTATGACAAACTCACAGCCAACATACTGAATGGGCAAAAGCTGGAAGCAGTTGCCTTAAGAACTGGAACAAGACAAGGATACCCTCTCTCACCACTCCTATTCAATGCAGTACTAGAAGTCCTAGCCGGAGAAATCAGACAAGAGGAAGAAATAAAAGGTGCCCAGATAGGTAAAGAAGTCAAATTGTCTCTCTTCACTGTTACTATGATTCTGTATCTAGAAAACCCTAACAACTCCACCAGGAGGCTCTTATTGCTAATAAATGATTTCAGTAAAGTTTCGGGACACAAAATCAATGTATAAAAATCAGTAGCACTTCTAGACACCAATAACATTCAAATTGAGAGGCAAATTAAGAATGCAATTCCATTTATAATAGCCACATTAAAAAATACCCTGGAATACATTTAACCAAAGAGTTGACAGATCTCTACAAGAAGAACTACAAAACACTGCTGAAAGAAATTATAGATGATACAAACAAGTGGAAAAACATCTCATGCTCATGGATCAGAAGAATCAACATCATTAAAATGACCATACTGCCCAAAGCAATCGGCATATTCAATGCCATTCCTATCAAGCTATCGACGTCATTTTTCACAGAATTAAAAAACTATTATAATATTCATATGGAACCAAAAAAGAGCCTGAATAGCCAAAGAATTCCAAGTGAAAAGAAAAAAGCTGGAGGCATCACACTACCCAACTTCAAACTATACAACAAGGCTACAGTAAACAAAGCAGCATGATACTGTTACAAAAACAGACACGTAGACCAATGGAACAAGATAGAGACCCAGAAATAAAGTGCATACCTACAACCATCTAATCTTTGACAAAATCAACAAAAACAAGCAATGGAGAAAGAACTCCCTATTCAATAAATGATGCTGGAATAACTGGCTAGTCATATGCAGAAGAATGAAAGTAGACCCCTACATTTCACCATATACAAAAACTAACTCAAGATAAATGAAAGACTTATATGTAATATGTAAACCTATACAAATCCTAGGAAAAAACCTAGGAAATATTATTCTGAACATCAGCCTTGGCAAAGAATTTATGACTAAGTCCCCAGAAGCAATGGCAACAAAAACAAAAATTGACAAGTGGGACCTAATTAAACAAAAGAGCTTCTGCACAGCAAAAGAAACTACCAACAGAGTAAACACACAACCTAGAGAATAGAAGAAAATATTTGCTAACTATGCATCCAACAAAGTTCTATTTTCCAGAATCTATAAGGAACTTAAACCATTCAAAAACCAACCCCATTAAAAAATGGCCAAAGGACATGAACAGACAGTTCTCAAAAGAAGACATACATGTGGCCAAAAAACATATGAAAAAAATGCTTGGCATCACTAATCATCAGAGAAATGAAAATCAAAACCACAATGAGATACTATCTCATACCAGTCAGAATGGCTATTATTATTATTATTATTATTTTTTTTTGAGACGGAGTTTCACTCTTGTCACTCAGACTAGAGTGCAATGGCGGGATCTCGGCTCACTGCAACCTCTGCCTCCCAGGTGCAAGTGATTCTCCTGCCTCAGCCTCCCAAGTAGCTGGGATTACAGGCACCCACCACCACACCTGGCTAATTTTTGTATTTTAAGTAGAGACGGGGTCTCACCGTGTTAGCCAGGCTGGTCTCAAACTCCTGACCTCAGGTGATCCACCCACCTCCGGCTTCCAAAGTGATGGGATTACAGGTGTGAGCCACTGAGCCTGGCCTAGAAAGGCTATTAAAAAGGCAAAAAATAACAGATGTTGGCAAGGTTCTGGAGAAAAGAGAATGCATATACACTGCTTGTGAGAATGTAAATTAGTTCAGCCGCTGTAATTTGTCAAAGAACTTAAAATAGAACTACTGGCCCTGTGCAGTGGCTCAAGCCTGTAATCCCAGCACTTTGGGAGGCTGAGGAGTGTGGATCATGAGGTCAGGAGATCAAGACCATCCTGGCTAACGTGGTGAAACCCCGTCTCTACTAAAAATACAAAAAATTAGCCGGGCGCAGTGGTGGGCCCCTGTAGTCCCAGCTACTTGGGAGGCTGAGGCAGGTGAATGGCGTGAACCCAGGAGGTGGAGCTTGCAGTGAGCCGAGATCGCGCCACTGCACTCCAGCCTGGGTGATGGAGCGAGACTCTGTCTCAAAAAAAAAAAAAAAAAAAGAACTACCATTCAACCCAGCAATCCCACTACTGGGTAGGTACCTAAAGAAAACAAATTATTCTACAAAAAAGATACATGTAATTGTATGTTAATTGCAGCACTATTCACAATAGCAAAGACATGGAATCAACCTAGATGCCCATAAACAGTGGACAGGATAAAGAAAAGGTGATACATATACACCATGGACTACTATACAGCCATAAAATAGAACAAAATTGTGTCCTTTGCAGCAACATGGTTGCAGCTGGAGGCCATTATCTTAAGCAAATTAACGCAGGATCAGAAAACCAAATACTGCATGTTCTCACTTATAAGTGGAAGCTAAACATTGAGTATACACAAACATAAAGATAACAGCAATAGACACTGGGAACTACTAGATAGAGGCAGGAGAGTGGGAGGAGGGCAAGGACTGAAAAACTACCTATTGGAAACTATGCTCACAGCCTGGGTAATGGAATCATTCATATTCCAAACTTCAGTGCACACAGTTTACCCATGTAACAAACCTGCACATGTACCCCCTGAACCTAAAAGTTGAAAAAAAAATCCCAAAGACCAAATTATTGCAAGAACTCATACTTAAAAAAAAAAAGGACGATGAACTATATTTGAGCAACCTAAGATCTTTTGAATTTAGGAATATTTGTTGTGCAGAATGTGAGTTTTATCAAGTTAGAAGAAAAAACTGGTAGAAAACGGTCACTTCATTTACTGAGTCGGTGATGTTTCCATTCTTCCTACTCAAGGAAAATTTTTAGTCTGGAGGCCTTGCCGTTTAATCCACCTAGATCTTACAATCAACAGAGAAGATGGCTAGAACTCGTCTTCTCTGTTCCATTCTTTTTTTTTTTTTTTTCAGAGACCAGAGACAGGGTCTTGCTCAAAAAATAACTAAAGATAGATCACAGACTTAAATGTAAGACCTGCATGTCTTGCTCTGTTGCCCAGGCTGGTGTGCAGTGGTGGAGTCACAGCTCACTATAGCCTTGAACTCCTGGGCTCAAGCAATCCTCCCAATTTTTTGGCAGAGGTGGGGTCTCTCTAGGTTGCCCAGGTTGGTCTCCGACTCCTGGCCTCAAGCAATTGTCCCTCCTTGGCCTCCCAAAGTGTTGGGATTACAGCCGTGAGCCACTGTGCCTGGTCTGTGCTCCACTTCTATCAAGACCTCAAATGTGGCAACCTCTGTGGAAGAGATATGCAAGATAGGCCAATTTCTAGAAGCCACAGTAACTATTTCTCTGGAAAGTGATATGTTCAAAGTAAAACACCAGGGGCATGCATTAACTATTTGAAAATACATGTTTGTGTGCCATACCTTAAGGAAATCTGACATTAAACCTACAAATCTGAAGACATAAGAGATGAAGAGATGAGGATGAGGTTTTTTTTTTTTTTTTTTTTTTTGACAGAGTCTCACTCTGTCACCCAGGCTGGAGGAGGGCAGGTGTGTGATCTCAGCTCACTGCAACCTCTGCCTCCCAGGTTCAAGTGATTCTCCTGCCTCAGCCTCCCAAGTTGCTAGGATTACAGGCATAAGTCACCACACCCATCTCATTTTTATATTTTTAGTAGAGACAGAGTTTCTCCATGTTGGCTACACTGGTCTCGAACTCCTGACCTCAAGTGATCCACCCACCTTGGCCTCCCAAAGTGCTGGGATTACAGGCATGAGCCACTGCGCCCGGCCAGGATGAGATTCTTCAACCTCGTTTAAGATAATTAGGTGTATGCATAACTTTGGGGGAACAAATAAGTGATAAAAAGCCAAGTTTTCCATACCACATCTATCTTAAAAAATCTCCCGTCACAAAGAATCAGGTGGCACAAGTGTCAGGCATGATTTGGGAGGGAAAGAGAGAAAACTAGTCAGAAGCTTTTGAATCATTATCACTCCTAAGAAAACAATTTCTGGAGCAACAGGGCAGTGGTGTCCACTGATTCTTAAACTTTGGTATAAATTGGAATCACAAAGCAATTTTGTTAAAAGTACATATGCCTGGGTTCCATCTCTGGAGATTATTCCTGTAGGTCTTGGAGTAGGGGTGTGGATGTGGAAAGGAATCAGGTATCTGCATTTAAAACATGTACATGCATTTGTGGGGTGCCATGGTTCACACCTGTAATCCCAGCACTTTGGGAAGCTGAGGTAGGAGGATTGCTTGAGCCAGTAGTTTGAGACCAGCTGGCAATATAGTGAGACTCCTGTCTCCACAAAAAATAGAAAAAATAGCCTAGCATGGTGGCATGAGCCTGTAGTCCCAGCTACTTGGGAGGCTGAGGTGGGAAGATCAATTGAGCCCAGGAGGTTGAGGCTTCAGTGAACTGTGATCATAACACCATATTCCAGCCTGTGCAACAGAGCAAGACCCTGTCTCAAAATACACATACGCACACACGCACAGACAGACAAGTAATGTTGATACCAACAAAATCTGGGAATCACTAAAAAAAGGATTACCGAACTCTGTATCTCCCAAATTCCCAAGCACCCAACTGCAACTGTCGTCTTTTTTTTTTTTTTTTTTTTGAGATGGAGTTTCACTCTTGTTGCCCAGGCTGGAGCACAATGGCATGATCTTGGCTCACTGCAACCTTTACCTCCCAGGTTCAAGCAATTCTCCTGCCTCAGCCTCCCCAGTAGCTGAGACTACAGGTGCCCACCACCACGCCTGGCTAATTTTTGTATTTTTAATAGAGATGGGATTTCACCATGTTGGCCAGGCTGATCTCAAACTCCTGACCTCAGGTGATCCACCCACCTTGGCCTCCCAAAGTGCTGGGATTACAGGTGTGAGCCACTGTGCCTGGCCCAACTGTCATCTTTTTGTGTTGGTGTTCATGTAGTGTTTTCTAATGGAAACACTTGCTTTGAATCCTTCATGGTTAGAGTAAAATTCTTCCAGATGTCTGCAATCCCATTATTTTCACATTCTTCCCGTCTCTTCCAATGAGGTGACATGGAAAACTAAGAATAGAAACAAATGTGCCTTTGGAAGATGTGTTAGTCCAGATGCACGGAGACGTGGCTGCCAAGATGGGATAAAATGTGCAAGGGTCTTACTAAGGAAAATGACTAGTGAAGGAAAGTGGAGAGCAGCTGGAGAAATCTGGGGAAACGCTCAAGCCACAGGCAAATTTGACTCTGAAAGAGGAACAGAGAGAGAGAATCTTTGGTAGAGGTGTCCCAGACCACCATGTAGTCCATTCAGCTAAGTTGTCAAGGAGTCCCCAGGCCAAAACTGGTCATCAGAGGAGCCTCCTGTCTTCTAGGAACAGGTGTCCCCAGAATCCCTGCTGCACTGTCATTGGCTGGGAGCAGCCTAAGGGAATGGCGCCCCTGGAGCCATGGATTTCAGATCCAGCAGCTGGGCCCTTATTCAGTCGCAATCCTTGCAGCTGAACTGAGACATTCTCATGGCTGCCACAGAAGAGCTCAGTTTTGGTTGACAAACTGAGAAAAGAGAAATGAGGACTATGTGACAAAGTGTTATATGTTGGTTGCTCTGATCAGCAATAAGACACACCCCACCATGTTTGCTTTTGAACATTTTTATTATTTATTTATTTATTCAAGACAGGGTCTTGCTCTGTCGCCCAGGCTGTAGTACATTGGCGTGATCATAACTCATTGCAGGCCTGGTGTGGTGGCTCAGTCCTGTAATCCCAGAACTTTGGGAGGTCGAGGCGGGTGGATCACTTGAGGTCAGGAGTTTGAGACCAGCCTGGCCAACATGGCAAAACCCCATCTCTACAAAAATACAAAGAAATTAGCCAGGCATGGTGGTGTGTGCCTGTAGTCCCAGCTATTGGGAGGCTGAGGCAGGAGAATCGCTTGAACCCAGGAGGTAGGGCTTGCAGTGAGCCAAGATCATACCACTGCACTCCAGCCTGGGTGACAGAGTGAGACTCCATCTAAAACAACAACAACAAAAACAACAAAAACTCATTGCAGCTTCAACCTCCCCAGACTCAAGCAATCCTTCCACCTCAGCCTCATGAGTAGCTGGGACTATAGGTGCATGTCACCACTCCCGGCTAATTTTTTAAATTTTTTGTAGAGTTGGAGTCTCAGCATGTTGCCCAGCCTGGCCTTGGACTCCTGGCCTCAAGTGATCCTCCTGCTTTGGCCTCCCAAAGTGCTGGGATTACAGGTGTGAGCCACTGCACCTGGCTTGAAATTTTTTTTAATTAAAGAACATTACTCTAGTGGTCCATTAATCTTTCTCCTCTCCTTCCCTTTTCCTTTCTCCCCACCCTTCAGTCCCCATATTAGGATGTGGAGAAGTTCCTAATTTACATTTATTTATTTATTCGGTTTAACCCCACATTACCTGTCAGCTTTTAATTCTCTGATATTCTCCATCATCAGTCGGTCTCTCAGCCCACTGAGCACACCACACATATACCACTTTCTCCATCTGGGTTTATGCTGCCCTGCCAATCTGGAATGACCCTCTGTCAAGACAACACATCTATACTGGCTGGACAAAGAGCTTGCGTCAGGAGAGGTAGGGTGGTCTGGAGTGTGGAAAGCTGAAGACCACCACCTACCAGTCATTTCTACCCCCCTTCCTTCCCCAAGGCCTGTGGCTTTCCCATTGATTTTGTATTCCTCTCAGCATCTGGTTCAAACTGAGCATATGGTAGGTAGACAAAGCACACAGAAATTCCTCTGCAAAGACGGCCACAAAATTCTATGCATGAGACTCAAACAGTCAAATTTCTAGAGTTTTCAGCGAAAGCTTCAACGTCCAGAAGAAAGTGGAAAAAATTAAAATTTGTGCAGAGAGTGGAGGTGATAACTTCTAACTAGCATGCATAGAAAACTTGTGGTCACTCATTATCTGTGAGATATCATTTCGTGAACATTCACAAGTGCAAAACTACATAATAAAGTGAAAGTAGATGACTCTTGGTGCACTGCCTATGGGGTAGCCCTGTTCCAAAGGGGCAGTCAATCCACCAATCAATATGTTGATTCTAATACAGATGATGTTATTGGTTACTTTGGAAAGATCTCAAGTGGATTGATGTAAACATCTTTGCAAATTTAAATTGCCTATAAGACAAGGGCTTCTTCACTTATCTATAGCTTTTTTTTTTTTTTTTTTTGTGATGGAGTTTTGCTCTTGTCGCCCAGGCTGGAGTGCAATTTTGCAATCTCGGCTCACTGCAACCTCCACATCCCGGGTTCACATCATTCTCCTGCCTCAGCCTCCCGTGTAGCTGGGATTACAGGCACCTGCCACCACGCCCGGCTAATTTTTTGTATTTTAGTAGAGACAGGGTTTCACCATGTAAGTCAGACTGGTCTTGAACTCCTGACCTCAGGTGATCCACCCTGCTCGGCCTCCCAAAGTGCTGGGGTTATAGGCATGAGCCACTGTGCCCAGTCCACTTATCTGTAGATTAATCATTAACCTATTTTGTAGCATCTATAACCTAATATATCTTATTTTTAAAGATTTAGATTCTTTCTACCTGTGTGATAATCAGAATTCTATAGACAATGACCTTGAGAAAAAAGTGACTTTGAAGTTAATTGTATCTTCTGGAGATTCTCTTGCTTATCAGTGAAATCTTGGAATTTTTTTTCTATAATTAATAATGTAAGCTTCCCACCTGGAGAAGAGAGAATTCACATCATTCCAGTGGACATGTTATATTACTCATTCATTAAATTAACAAAGCAAAGAAGATTCTAGAAAAGGTTGCTTAAATATGGCATTTTGCACACTCCTGGCCATTGTTAATACCTTGGATATTCCTGTATATGTTACATACAGTCATGGACTCTCAGACAGATCCTGGGATGACAGACTGTCGATGACTGTAATTACTGATAACATTTCCATAGGATAGATGTTTATTGTTGTTTCCTGAGCACCCAGCAACTTATTAGGATGTCTAATCCCTGCCATTTTAGAGATTCCTTTCCACATGGTATCTATTTACCCTCCAATGACACCGTGCTTACCATTTCAATCTGAAGTTTCCAAAGCACTTTACAAAGTGACTAAATATAACTTGTATCCCAAGAAGTCTTTTCAAGAGAAGGGTTGCAGATAGTTCTCATTTTGCACAGTTCCCACAGGCCCGAATTTCAGTTACTGCAGTTTAGTTAAATAACAACAGTCCCCCAACAACCTGGTTCGAATTTCAATTCCATGCCTTACAATATGGCACTCCTTATTTTTGCAATTGCATAAAGTACAGACTTTGCCACTAGGTCTTCAGTCCACACATCACTACATAAGTAACTGATGTGCACTGTGATCAGTGGCCAATCACATCACTTATTTTCATGTCTGTGCATTTTTGGTCACTGCACATCTGTTATTCGGTTCATCTACAGATGGCAAAATGGGGAGGTGTGTTGCCTCCCAGGGATAAATTCACATGACATTTTACACAAATGGGTAATAGAAAGAAGGAACTGGCTAACAAAGATGAAAATAGAGCAAAGAAATAAGAAGTGATAATTCTGGACGTTAAATTAGAATAGTGAACACTTCAGCTATAGAAGAAATAACCTGTTGCTGGGCATGGTGGCTTATACCTGTAATTCCAGCACTTTAGGAGGCCGAGCTGGGTGGATCACTTGAGGTCAGGAGTTGAAGACCAGTCCGGCCAAAATGGTGAAAACCTGTCTCTACTAAAAATACAAAAAATTAGCCAGGTGTGGCGGCACACGCCTGTAATCCTAGCTATTCCAGAGGCTGAGGCATGAGAATCACTTGAACTGGGGAGGTGGAGGTTGCAATGAGCTGCGATCACGCCACTGCACTCCAGCCTGAGTGACAGAGTGAGAGTCTGTCTCAAAAAAAGAAGAAGAAATAGCTGTCCATGGGAATGCTGACCCTGCTACCATTAGAGCCTTCAACATGCAGCCAGAGGAACTTAGTTAAGGTGACTTAATTTAAATGAGAAAAGCAATATAACAGAAAGAATGAAGACGTCACAGAGGCAAAAAAACTTTACACTAAAGGAACTCATGAAGACACTGCATGATATAAAAGCACAAAGGATAAAATGTCAGAACCTGACCCAGACTTAGAAAGGTACATGACAAGACCGGGCACGGTGGCTCACACCTATAATCCCAGCACTTTGGGAGGCCAAGGTGGGTGGATCACTTAAGGTCAGGAGTTCAAGACCAGCCTGGCCAACATGGTGAAACCCCGCCTCTATTAAAAATACAAAAATTAGCTGGGTGTGGTGGCACACACCTGTAATTTGGGAGGCTGAGGCATGAGAATCACTTGAACCTGGGAGGTGGAGGTTGCATTAAGCCAAGATCACGCCACTGCACTCCAGCCTGGACTACAGAATGAGACTCCGTCTCAAAATAAAAAAAGAAAGGCACATGACAACAGAAAACATTCTCACTTCATATTGTAAGTTACATGGAGAGAAAGAGACAAGCACTGTACAAACTATGCTTCATAAGTTTTTTACAAAGAAATAAGACACTTTAATGTGTAATGTTTCTAATGTTTTAACTTATATTATTCATTTTACTATTTTTTTCATTTTCCTATACCTTTATAGCTGACAGAGAGTTTTTACTGTTTTGACAAACTTTTTTAAAGGTTATGGAACAATTGTAATTTTTCCCATTCATAGCTAACATTGCTTTGCATGGCTTTATACAGTCATTCTTTGTTTTGTTTTGTTTTGTTTTTTTGAGATGGTGTCTGACTGTCACCTAGGCTGGAGTCCGGTGGCATGATCTTGGCTCACGGCAACCTCCACCTCCCGGGTTCAAGCGACTTTCCTGCCTCAGCCTTCCCAGTAGCTGGGATTATAGGCGCATGCCACCATGCCTGGCTAATTTTTATGTTTAGTAGAGACAGGGTTTCACCATGTTGGCCAGGCTAGTCTCAAACCCCTGACCTCATGTGATCTGCCCGCCTCGGCCTCCCATAATGCTGGGATTACAGGTGTGAGACACCGCACCTGGCCTGTACAGTCATTCTTATGGTGCTACATGACTGTGCAAGGTGAGGACTGCCTGTACAAATTTAAAGGGTTCAGAATGTCTGGTAACAAAGCCATATAAATCCATATTCCGCCGATTGTCTCTTCTTTTACAAAAACTACTCCTTTATTCTACTGTTACAGATAGTCATTTCTAAACTTTTCTATGCAAGGAAGCAACTGTTTTTAAATGTTTTTCAGAGCAGAAGCCATTACAAAGCATACATGTTTCACATGTTTGACCACAGATACAGTGCAATTGGGAAGGTAATTTCTTGTGTTTGGAAGTTGCAACCTTCAACTTTCTGGTCTTCTCCTCATGTATTCTTTGTCCTCTACTGTGCCTCCTGTGGAAGTGAACTCCCCAAATCCTATCTATAGCCCTGGGTGCTCACTAAGACAACATTACTGAACAAGCAGGGATGAGCCCATGACATCTCATTCACAACATGTCTAAAATCCATGTCTTTATTCTTAAAATCCTCCCTCCTGACTTACTGATTTTGTTATTTTTATTTTTATTTTTGTTTTCTTGAGACAGAGTCTCATTCTCTTGCCCAGGCTGGAGTGCAGTGGTACAAATATAGTTCACTGTGGCCCCGACCTTTGAGGCTAAAGCGATCCTCCCACCTCAGCCTCCTGAGTAGCTGGGACTACAGGCATACGCCACCATGCCTGGCCAGTTTTTGTCATTTTTCTGTAGAGACAACATCTTGCTTTGTTACCCAGGCTGGTCTCAAACTCCTGGGCTCAAGTGATCCTCCTGCCTTAGCCTCCGAAAGTGTGGGGATTACAGGCATGAGCCACTGTGCCTGGCCACATATTTATTTTGATTGATTATTGCTTTTTATTTTGGCTATTTGAATTTCAAAATTTGGAGTTAAAAACTCCTCATTCTTCCTTTTACATAATGTACCTTTAAGATATCTGTTCATTGGTAGATTAATTTAAACTAATTAAACTGTACACTTATTTGTGGATACCACTGCACTAAGGGTTTTAAAAAAATATTGTTTTCTTTTTTCTTCTCTCTTTTTTTTTTTTCTTTTTTTTGAGATGGAGTCTTACTCTGTCACCAGGCTGGAGTGCAGCGGCGTAATCTCGGCTCACTGCAACCTCTGCTTCCCGGGTTCAAATGATTCTCCTGTCTCAGCCTTCTGAGTAGCTGGGGCTACAGGCGTGCGCCACCACGCCCAGCTAATTTTTGTATTTTTAGTAGAGACAGAGTTTCACCATGTTGACCAAGATGGTCCGATCTCTTGACCCTGTGATCCCCCCACCTCGGCCTCCCAAAATGCTGGGATTACAAGCATGAGCCAATGTGCCCAGCCCTCTTTTCTTTTCTTAAATTTTTTTCTTTTTGTCTCTGCTGCTTGAATCAGAACAGTTTAGAGGTATGAATATTCCACATGTATATACATATATGCTTACTTATGTAAATGAATATATGAGAAGGGGAACTGGAATTGTGCTCATGGTTTGAAGGAAAGGTGAATGAAAGAGAAAAGCTTTCTATCCACCATGACCTTTATGCTGTCAAAGCAGCCAGTGGCGTGGCAGAGACAGAATTCCCTTGAGGCTTGCCCTGACACTAAATCAGGCAGGAACGCCAAGGGATGAGTCAGAGGGTGGACTGGGATCTGCTTCTCCCAGCCTCCACTAAAAGAATGAAACTTTGAGGCATTTCACAAGGGCATGTGGACCCTCAAGTCGCCAGGGTACATGTGGCCATGAAAATGTGTAACCATGACTACATCCCTGCTCTGGTCTCTCAATGCCAGCGTCATCCACTCCCAGGAGATGTCCTAGACCATCCCCTCTTCCCACTTTTCATACTACATCAGTCTTTTTGTTCTGTGGGCAATATTGGAATTAGGTTTTCACGGAAATAAGTGGTTAGATGATCACAGCTTGGCAGACAAGGAGAATGGCAATTCCATAGACAGAAGTTCCTCTTTTTATTTTTTATTTATATTTTTTGTAGAAACAAGGGTCTCACTTTGTTGCCCAGGCTGGTCATGAACTCTTGGCCTCAAGCAATCCTCCTGTCTTGGCTTCCCAAAGTGCTGGGATTACAGGCGTGAGCCGAGATCACAACACTGCACTCCAGCCTGGGTGACAGAGCGAGATCCTGTCTCTAAAAAAAAATAATAATAATAATGAAGAAACAAAATGCTTTTTCCTACTTTCTTTTTTATTTTTTTGAGGCAGAGTCTTGCTCTGTCACCTAGGCTGGAGTGCAGTGATGTGATCTCGGTTCACTGCAACCTCTGCCTCCTGGATTCAAGCAATTCTTCTGCCTCAGCGTCCTGAGTAGCTGGAATTACAGGTGTGCACCACCATGCCCAGCTAATTTTTGTATTTTCAGTACAGACAGGGTTTCGCCATGTTGGCCAGGCTGGCCTTGAACTCCTGACCTCAGGTGATCCGCCTGCCTCGGCCTCCCAAAGTACGGGGATTACAGGCATGCGCTACCTTGATGGCCAATTCACTTCACTTTTGACACTACCTGGAAACAGCATCAGATCCCTTAAGCCTGCGCGACTTCAGTTGCCAATCTTTTTTTTTTTTTTTTTTGAGACAGAGTTTCGCTCTTGTCTCCCAGGCTGAAGTGCAATGGGGGTTCAAGCAATTCTCTAGCTTCAGCCTCCTGAGTAGCTGGGATTACAGGCACCCGCCACCAGGCCTGGCTCATTTTTATATTTTTAGTAGAGACGGGGTTTCACTATGTTAGCCAGGCTAGTCTTGAACTTCTGACCTCAGGAGATCTGCCTGCCTCGGCCTCCCAAAGTGTGGGGATTACAGGCATGAGCCACCGCGCCCACCTCAGTTGCCAATCTTAAGGACTAGTTTGGCACCTATACTTCTGATCGACCTGCTAAAAAATCGGAATTTCCACACAACTCTCTCCTTAGGTTCCATTAATTTGCTAGGATGCCTCACAGAACTCAAGGGAACACTTTACCTACATTCATCCAGTTATTATAAAAGATATTACAAAGGATGCAGGTGAAGAGCCCAGGGAGAGATGCCGAGGGTAAGGCACATGAGAAGAGTCTGGGAGTTTCCTCCAGGAGCCTGCATGTGTTCACCACTCTGGAAGTTCCCCAACCCTGTCCTTTTGGGCTTTTAGGGAACCTTCATTACGGACGCATGATTAATTAAATTACTTGCCATTGGTGATCAACTTGACCTTCAGCCTTTCTCCCCTCCTTGGAAGTTGAGGAATGAGGCTGCAAGTTCCAACCCCCTAGTTTTGTCTTTTTAGGGTCCTCTAGCCACCAGTCATTTTATCCAAATATGAAAGACACTTAAAGGCCAGGGGCAGTGGCTCACGCCTGTAATCTCAGCACTTTGGGAGGCTGAGGCAGGAGGATCGCTTGAGGCCAGGAGTTCCAGACCAGACTGCACAACATAGCAAGACCCCCGTCTCAAAAAACAACAACAACAACAAAATATATATATATATAAAATGACCTGGATGTGGTGGTGCACATGCCTGTAATCCCAGCTACTGGGGAGGCTGAGGCAGGAGAATCACTTGAACCCAGGAGGTGGAGGTTGCAGTGAGCCGCCACTGCCCTCCAGCCTGGGCAACAGAGTCAGACTCCATCTCAAAAAAACAAAACAAAACAAAACAAAAAAACTTACCATGACATTACAATAATTTTAAAAGTATAATGTTATTAGGGAAAAGTGTACTGATGTCTGTAATTTAATTAGAAATGCACCAAAAAGAAGGTGGATCAATGTATGGATAGAATGAGTGATAGCTGTCAGGATACATGATAAAGGGAAGATAATTTCCCACTAGTTTGCATTTATTTCTCTGGAAAATTAAATAATCACAATAATAAGAAGGCACAATAATAATATTTTGTAATGATATGTATCTCAGATATACCTGATATCTTTTTGTTTGGTTTGGTTTTTGTTCATTTTTGATACAGGCCTCTCTATGCTGCCCAGGTCGATTTTAAACTCCTGGGATCAAGGAATCTTCCTGCTTAGACTTCCCAAAGTGCTGGGATTACAGGCATGAGCCACCTTGCCCAGCCTACCTGATGTCCTTACCGTGTGAGATTTCATTTCCCTTTATGCTGAAGTATAAATCATCTGAACCTTCATCCTATATGACTGATAGAAGTCTAATATTTTTATTATTAATAATGATTAACTTTTATTGAGTACTTATTATGTGCCAGGTCCTTTGATTTTTTTTTTTTTTGAGATGGAGTCTTGCTTTTGTCACCTAGGCTGGGGTGCTACGGCACGATCTCGGCTCACTGCAACCTCTGCCTCCCGGGTTCAAGCGATTCTCCCGCCTCAGCCTCCCAAGTAGCTGGGATTACAGCCACCCACCACCATGCCTGCCGGGCTAATTTATGTATTTTTAGTAGAGATGGGGTTTCACCATGTTGGCCAGGCTGGTCTCTAACTCCTGATCTCGTGATCCACCCGCCTCAGCCTCCCAAAGTGCTGAGATTACAGGCGTGAGCCACCGCTCCTGGCTCCTTTGATCTTTAAACAAGAAAACACACAATACACATATACATCTATAAGAATAATCAATAATTTTCAAAGACAGCAAAGAGCAAAGCCATATTTAAGAAAGAAATATTATCCTAAAGAAATCAATTTACAGGAATATAGCTCCTGCAATGAAGACAAATGTTTGAAATACTATGCAGAACAGCATAACCCCTCATTTTGTTGGATCTTTTTATTACAAAATAGAATCTTTCTTACCAAAAAATCTACCATCCTGTTTTTCCAAAAACCAAGAAAGAAAGGAACAGCCTGCTCTCACAGAAAAATCTAAGTCTCCCTTTCTGGTAACATGAAGTGGAGTGTTTGAAATTGTTCAGTTTCTCACAATTGTAAGGATCCCAGGATCCAGATAATCAGGGTAGAGTTATCTGAGCTCCTTTCTTTCCCTTTGGCCTAGAATGGAGACCCCCAGGCTTGAGAGGAGTCTCTGCTGCATTTTCCCCTCACCATACAAGCAAGCCTTTGAGGTCCCAGTTTTGTGTTTTTTTTTCACTTTTCAACATCTTAATAGGAAATTAAGTATCAAATTTTCTGAGCTATATAATTGAAAAATTCATTTGGGATAACAGTAACACTATAAACTTACTGTGAAATTATAATTTTTAAAGTATAGTGTTATATTTAGGGAAAAGTGTATTGATGTCTGCAATTTAATTGGAAAGGCACCATAAAAAGGTGAATCAATGGATGTAAAGAGCAATAAATAGCTGGGTGAATACATGATAAAGAAAGGATAGTGAAGTGTTAATTGTAGAATCTAGGCAGCAGGTATACAGGTGATCACTATAAAATTCAACTTTGCTGTAAATTTTTAAATTTATATGGTGAAGGCATATATAAATAGATTAATAGAATCTTCGAAGCTTTCATCTCAGAAGTCCAGAAACACACCCATGAATATATGGAATCTTGTTGTATGACAGTAGAATCATAAAGTTTTGAGAAATAGTACTTGGATGGGAGAAATAATGAATGATTTAATAAATGGTGCTGAAGTCTGTTCATTTAAAAAAAATTAGATTTCTATCCCAATTAGCCTTACAGTCTAGTGTTTTCCATTGAACTCTAAGTTCCATGACAGCAGAGTCTAGATCTATTTTTCCTCCTATTATAATCCCAGGGCATGGTGTTTAGTAGGTGGTCAATAAATACTTGTCAAATGGTCAAATGAAGAATATATTAATGAAGACCTTAGTCCTGGAAGATATGCTGTGGGTTGTAGGATTCCTGTGATCTGTGCTGTTGCCAGGCATTGTAGGAAAGAGCCAAGCAGCTGAGTCTGGAATCTGTCCACTTCCCTGTTCCTCCTTAGCTGAGCTAAAGCAACTGTCACACTGACTGCTGGTTGCAAATAAGCAAACTTAATGATAAGTGCTATGAGGTTGTCCTAGACTTCATTCAGGGCTGACAGAGCTCCCTTGAAGACTTGCTTATAACTTTGGACTTGCAGGAACAAAGTCTGTAGCTGTTTGCGCTTTCTAAATCTGTAACAAATGGGATGGGTGAGCAGGATTTGGGGTGGGGGAGAAATAATGATGTAGAAATAAATGATTGATCCAAGTTCATTGTATATACATATAATATACATCACATATATATGCATTATAGATGTATGTATAAATGTTACATATATTATATATATGTTTGCGTGAAAGAGCGTGTGTGCATAAAGAGATAGCAAAAATTTCTTCCATGAGTTTAGCCAGATCTCACGTACATTTTCCTTATAGCCCTGAAAAAGGAGAGCAAGTTATTTCACAGGGAATCAAATTCGGCAACCGATACTTTGAACTACTTTCACATATTGATTTGATGATTTTGTTGTCAGGACACACATTGTACTTTGATTCTGGTAAGTCATGTGCTTATTCTCAGCACACCACTCATAAAATGAAAAGGCTGCATTTAAATTATAGATACTGCACTTAGAGTTTCCATTTTGACTGCTAAAGTGTGTTTTGTTCCATTGTATGATAAACATTGGTATATACATTTTAGTATAGTTGAACATTTTTTTTTTGGTGGATCATGGGCACAATGCCTCCAAAGCCACAGGGGCTTCCTTTAATCGAGAGACTATTAAAACAAATGTTCTTCTTTTAACATACAGCCATTGAAAAGATGACACATTAAGAAACATGTAAACACTGCAGCTGGTTAATTACAAATTGCACTGCTTGATTTAGTACCTATGCGCTCCCAGGTTTGGGGACCTTAAGAGAGGGGGACAGGGGCCTCCCCTCACCTTTCACAGTTGGATAGAGAAGGCAAGAATGTGGGTACAGTAACAGAAAACAGAAGACCTGGCTTGTGCACAGTGCCTGAGAGAATCAAAGCAAATTCTATCTTCTAGTTCTCCCGGAAGAAAGATTTAAGATGTTAGGAAGGTTGGAAAATGAATGTGTGTTGTCATTTGGGAGACAAAGGAATTGACAAATGCTTCTAGTTAGAATACCAGCTAGGAAAAGGAGGCATACAGAGCTGACCTCATGCTCTGAAAAGGCAAGGAATCCAGAACCTGCCTCCCTAATCCACTTAAGCCCCAACCTTGATCATCAAGGGCAGTGCATAGGTGATCCTGTACGTCACACCTGAACACACGACCCAGCTTAGGGGAAACACCTTGCCTTCTTTGGTTCTGCTGCCCCCAGTCACCCTCCCAGGCCACCCCAAATGCCTCTCCCTCCAGTCTCAGCTCTGATCCGTGAGCCCTGCCAAAGGCCTGAGACTGCACTGATCTCAGAAAACAGGAGTCTTCCTTTCCCACACTAACTGAAAGGTGACACAGGAACCAACCCCTTAACTTTCCAAATTACTGAGAACTCAGACGACCAAATACCGTACCTGTTGGCCAGTGGAGCCTGCTTGGTCTTTCCATAAAGAGAAGGGAAACCAATAGAAGAGTAATGCCTGTCATTTCCAGGGGAGGCAAAAAAGGACAGTAAACTTTACTACTGTAGGCCCCAGCGCAGAGCCATAGAGGGAGATGTGCCTTCCTCTCCAGCATAAAAATAATATTCACAAGAGTTTTGTATATGTGGTTTTTAAACAAACAATAGCAATAGTCCTAAACTTGGGTCAGTCAGCTGGTGAAGGTGACTGGCAAGATTCTGGCAAGCAGAATGATTCGGAAGTTTCGCAGCAGAGTCTTCTGCCGAGGCTCAGGTCTCCCCTGTGTAACCCGCAGGGAGAGGGGTAAGGGGGCTTGGGCATTAGTACAAACAGCCTTGCAAGGTTTCAAAACTAAGCCCTAATTCCCAGAAATGAAATGGAGGTCGAGGAGAGATGAGGGTCCACTCTCAGGGAGGCGGAGGGATCAAGGCCACTTCCTGGGATTGCTTCTTAAGGGAAACAGGCCCTCTTGATAAGGGCTTGTTGGGGCACATGGAGCAATACCTAGAACAGCCCAGACCTTGGGGTTACCAGGTGGAGCCATGTGAAGGGAGGCAGTTGCTATGCACTGATCTTCCTTGGTGGGCCAGGCTGAGCCTCCTGGGTTAGTCGAACATTTTTTAAGTCTACGTAATCCTAAAAGTCAAAAGAATAAGCTGAATAAAAGTGTTGTACAGATCTTTAGTTTTCCTCCAGTATAAGAGAAAGTAAAGTGGATACTTCACAAATATTCTCTGTATCACTGTGTATTATAGAGACTGCGTATTACATAGACAACTAATACAAAAATGCATGCTTTCCACAAACAGGAGTGCATGTTGTCTTTGCTTAGATAAGCCATATATGCAGCATAATAACTGTTCTCTTTATTTTAAGACACAAATCCTAATATTCTTTAGAGTGCCTCAAAGAAGATGAAGTGTGACCCATAAAAGAACTACTTAATAACAAAGATTCTTCAGAATGAACCGTCCTAAAAAAAAACAAAAAACAAACAAACAAAAAGATTCGTCCCACCTAAAATCTTTGTTTTTTTATTGATCTGAATGAAACACATTTTCCTTTTCATGGTTTCCCCATTCATCAATAGTAAACTCAGCTCCTTTATCTCAGGAGCATTAGAACTACTAACTGCAAATGTGCTGAGTACAAATCACTTTCAGAAATGTCCAACAATCACACCCATTTTAATGCTGCGAATGAAAGATTTGATGAACCTAATCGGTTCATCTAGCAAGCAAGCTATTATAACACTATTTTACTGCTGGTACTATTCCATTACCACCCGTAAATGATGTATTTAAAGTTCCAGGATCTTGAAAATGAACAGAGCCCTTGTAAAAATTGTGTTTATACATTTTGTTTATTAAATAACTTAATGATTACTTTGAGTATTTGTGCAGCTGAAACCCAGGGGTGAGGCTGCAGTTGTCCTGATTAAGGTAGTACATTCCTGCAAAAGGCTTAACTGCAATAGACATGTTACAACATGAACACGATTAGGATAAGAGAAACATCACCATCTTGATTTAAAGTGGCTACTTTAATTTTGTCTATAAGATGTCTATGATAAAATATCAGACTATACTTTTACATAACACTTCAAGGCCTCCAAAATAAGAGAGAAAATTATATTACCTTTCTAAATAGGTATATCGATATAATATAAATCAGTACTTTTGTCTTGATTCCTAAACTTGTGGAGTGACAGTAATAAGCAGAACTGAAAAGAGGGTGGACAGTTGTGACACATCCAGGTTCAATATTCCAAAGATTCATCAATGTTAAGAAACACATTTAGGGCTGGGCACAGTGGCTCACACCTGTAATTCCAACACTTTGGGAGGCTGAGGAGGGAGGCTCATCTGAGTCCAGGAGTTTGAGACCAGCTTGAGCAACATAGGGAGACTCCATCTCGATAAAAAATCTGGCCAGGCACGGTGGCTCATGCCTGTAATCCCAGCACTTTGGGAGGCCGAGGTGGGCTGATCACCTGAGGTCAGGAGTTTGAGACCAGCCTGGCCAACATGGTGAAACCCTGTCTCTACTAAAGATACAAAAATTAGCTAGGTGTGGTGACGGGCACCTGTAATCCTAGCTACTTGGGAGGCTGAGGCAGGAGAATTTCTTGAACCTGGGAGGCTGAGATTGCAGTGAGCCGAGATTGTGCCACTGCACGCCAGCCTGGGCGACGAGAGAGACTCCGTCTCAAAAAAAAAAAAAAAAAAAGGCTAGAAAATTACCCAGGTGTGGTGGCATGTGCCTGTAGTTCCAGCTATTTAGGAGGGTGAGGCAAGAGGATCGCTTGAGCCCAGGAAGACGAGGCTGCAGTGAGCCATGATCAGCCCACTCCACTCCAGCCTGTAACAGAGTGAGACCTTGTCTTAAAAAACAAAACAGCCGGGCACGGTGGCTCACGCCTGTAATCCCAGCACTTTGGGAGGCTGAGGTGGGTGGATCACCTGAGGTCAGGAGTTGGAGACCAGCCTCACCAACATGGAGAAACCCCGTCCCTACTAAAAATACAAAATTAGCCGGGCGTGGTGGCACATGCCTGTAATCCTAGCTACTCGGGAGGCTGAGGCAGGAGAATTGCTTGAACCCTGGAGGCGGAGGTTGCGGTGAGCCAAGATTGTACCATTGCACTCCAGCCTGGGCAACAAGGGCAAAACTCTGTCTGAAAAAAGAAAAAAAAAAAAACAACCAAGAAACACATCTAGGAGGAGTTTACTATGCCTATCACTTAGAGAAGGTGGAAGTATCTGAACTCTGGGAAATTGTTTGCTGAAAATGAATTTCAAGTTGTCTGCCTTTCAATTTAACTATTCAGCCACTTGGTTTTGGTTTTGTTTCATTTTTGATAAAGAAAAAAGCAGTTGATGGAAGGGCACAAACTGACAGTTCTTACTGTATTAAAAATCAAGTCAGCCGGGTGCGATGGCTCACGCCTGTAATTCCAGCACTTTAGGAGGCTGAGGTGGGTGGATCATGAGATCACGAGTTCGAGACCAGCCTGGCCAACATGACGAAACCCCGTCTCTACTAAAAATACAAAAATTAGCCGGATGTGGTGGTGGGTGCCTGTAATCCCAGCTACTCAGGAGGCTGAGGCAGAATTGCTCGAACCCGGGAGGCGGAGGTTGCTGTGAGCCGAGATCGCACCACTGCACTCCAGCCTGGGTGACAAGAACAAGACTCCTTCTCAAAAAACAAAAAACAAAAAACAAAATCAAGTCTTCGCAGAAATAGACAATATAAAGGCTTCCTAAGTGTCCTGCAACACTGGTGTTGTAGATGCTGTGCTGTGCCGCCCAAGCGCCCAAATTCCCAATTTATGACCGAGGCAGTGGCGGCTTTCAGTCTCCTTGGGAATTCCCTTCTACAGAAGGGAGCTGCTTCATCTAAAATTATGTCCATTCCCCAGGGACAGCCAGCCTGCGAGGCCTAGCCCCTTGTCCCAGTTAGCACTGCCATCCCTGCTCCAGGGATTCCTCCATGAGATCGGCTGAGGCCTCCGTGCCAACTGCATCACAGTCCAACGTCCCTGCTTAATCCTGCTGTTGACAGCTCTCCCCAGTTAACCTTCTGCAAGCAAATTTCTGCCTGAGACACTTCTCCACATCAAACTCAACCTAAGACACACGGCAAAATTCTTTGATACAATTAAAGATAACCATTTTTGGCCGGCGCAGTGGCTCACGCCTGTAATCCCAGCACTTTGGGAGGCCTGAGGAGGTCAGGTTTGAGACCAGCTTGGTCAACATGGTGAAACCCCATCTCTATTAAAAATACAAAAATTAGCCAGGCATGGTGGCGTGCTCCTGTAATCTCAGCTGCTGGGGAGGCTGAGGCACAAGAATCACTTGAACCCACGAGATGGAGGTTGCAGTGAGCTGAGATCATGCCGCTGCACTCCAGCCTGGGCAACAGTGACACTCCATCTCAAAATAATAATAATAATAATAATAATAATAATAATAATAATAACAATTTTTATGTAATTGTAGATTACTACTCTATTAATTGGGTTTAAGTGAATGCACTGGTTGTGGTAACATTCCTGCCAGTTTTCTTATAAATCTGTCTGCTTAATTCTAGGTGTGTGGACTTGGCTTTACAAATGTTAATTTCTGTAGGCCGGGCACTGTGGCTCATGCCTATAATCCCAGCACTTTGGGAGGCCGAGTTGGGTGGATCATCTGAGGTCAAGTGTTTGAGCTACTCAGGAGGCTGAGGCAGGAGAATCGCTTGAACTCAGGAGGTGGAAGTTGCAGTGAGCCGAGGTCGTGCCACTGCACTCCAGCCTGGGTGACAGAGCAAGATTTTGCCTCAAAAAAAAAAAAAAAAGAAAGAAAGAAAGAAAGAAAGAAAAAGGAGTCTGAAAAAACAGTCTGAAAAAAATGTAAAATGTATACGTCTTGTTTTCTAAAAATAGAATAAATTAGCTTGTCAAATCACAGTAAAAATATGAATAAATAGGAGAGACTCTCCAGTTTATTTCTCAATTATGTCCATTCTCCTTATAATTACTAATTATCAGGTGACTTGCTGAGCAAGAATGAAACCTTGGTCATTGAAGACATGAGGATGCTGGGAGCGGTGGCTCATACCTGTAATCCCCACACTTTGGGAGGCCAAAGAGAGAGGATCACCTGAGCCCAGGAGTTGGAGACCAGCCTGGATGACATAGTGAGACCCTGTCTCTACAAAATATTTTAAAATTAGCTAAGTATGGTGGCACATGCCTGTAGTTCCAGCTACTAGGGAGGCCGAGGCAGGAGGATCACTTGAACCTAGGAGCCTGAGGCTCTAGTGAGCTGTGATTGAGCCACTGCACTTCAGTCTGGGCAACAGAGCAAGACCCTATCTCTAAAAAAAATAAAAAATACAAAAATATATGAGGGAAGCTGCTACACCTGGTCAACCAATGGTACGTTTAACCTAACGTTCTGCATAGAGAGGCAAGTTTTGTTAAACATCTTGGCAGTGATCCCTGATATCAACTTTAAATTGTCAGGAAAGTTTTCCAAAATATCCATTATTTGTGCTCTCATGGCCCTGCTTTTATAGAACCTATCCCTATGGTTTCTACTATCCTAACTCCCCCACTAGAATCCTGGTCTTTTTCAATGGGAACCTGTTCATAATTTTATCCCACCAACTTTTGAGCAGAGCATGTTAATTAATAGGCACTCGTTGAATTCCAATTTCAATCAGTACAGAGGACTTATTAGCATTTGTGAGATCCTGAGCACTGAGCTAAGCATTGTTGAAGGAAACGAGCCATAGTCACTGCCCTCAAGTAACTTATATCCTCGGAGTGACAACATAATTAAACTGGAGACCCAGATACAAACTGTGGCAAATTAAATATGGGAGGTTGAATATTCACATTTCTCTTCAAACCCCCTGAAGCTCCACTAAAATGTTAGTAAAGAAATACCAGGCCGAGCGCGGTGGCTGAAGCCTAGCCTGTAATCCCAGCAATTTGGAAGGCCAAGGGGGGCAGATTATTTGATGCCAGGAGTTCGAGACTAGTCTGGCCAACACAACGAAACCCTTCTCTACTAGAAATACAAAAATTAGCCAGGCGTGGTGGCATATACCTGTAATCCGACGTACTTGGGAGGCTGAAACAGGAGAATTGCTTCAGCCTGGGAGGCAGAGGTTGTGGTGAGCCGAGATCGCTCCACTGCACTCCAGCCTGGGTGACACCATGAGACTCTGTCTCAAAAAAACAAAAAAAACCCAAAAAACCCCAAAAAAACAAAATGCCAAAGCCTAAAGCCACGATATAAAGAAAACTTGAAAGAAGACTATCAGCAAACAGGATTTCAACAAAATGTTGGAAATGTGTAACTACCTAAATAGCCTGGAGAAAGCTAAAAACCTAAGCTTGCAGGCAGAATGTCAATAAGTAAGTTAATTCTCTATATAGAACACCAGACAGCCTCGGGAAATGTAGACACCAGGAGGCTGAGGTGCAGGGTAGAGCTGAAAATAGGAGGGTTTAGTTAAAAATGTATATAAAGATCTGTTGGAATGCAATTTCCCCCCCACCAAAAATGCCAGAAGATTGTCCTCTCCCCCAGCACAACAGAAAGAAGGAAGCTCACTCTCTCGAGAAGTTGAACCAGGGAGGCTGTGGACTCAGGGACATCACACACACAAAGATGGGGTGAGTCGCCTACTGAAAACAGGGAAATAAAACCTACAAACTGAATGTTAAGATTGCGTAACCCCATCACTTCTGAGAAAACTGGCAGCCAGACTTATGTAAACCTGGCAAAATATTAGAGAACTCCTTTCTAGGGAAACCAACCAATTCAAAAGAAATGTTATAAAACCACATTGGGTCTACACCACCGAAAAAGGTCTATAGATTCAATGCAATCCCTATCAAAATACCAATGACATTCTTCATATTAATAGAAATTTTTAAAAATCCAGAAATTCATATGGAACCACAAAAGAATTTAAAGTAATCTTGAGCAAAGAGAACCAAGCTGGAGGCATCACACACACTACCTGACTTCAAAATATACTACAAAGTTATAGTAACCAAAACAGCATGGTCCTGGCATAAAAGCAGACACATAGACTGGTGGAACAGAATAAATAGCTCAGAAATAAATCCACACATTTATAGCCAACTGATTTTCGACAATAGTGCCAAGAACACACAATGGGGAAAAGATAGTCTCTTCAATAAAAGGTATTGGGATAACTGAGTATCCACATGCCAAAGAATGAAATTAGACCCTTATCTCATACTATATTCATAAACCAACTAAAAATGGATTAAAGATTTAAATGTAAGACCCAAAACTATGAAACTACTAGAAGAAAACAGGGGGAAGCTCCCTGACATTGGTAGGGGCAATGTTTTTTTTGGATATGGCCCCAAAAGCATAGGCAACAAAAGCAAAACTATTTTTAGATAAATGGGATTATGTCAAACTAAAAAAGTTCTGTACAGCAAAGAAAACAATTAACAGTGGCTGGGCACGGTGGCCCACACCCATAATCCCAGCACTTTGAGAAGCTGAGGCTGGTGGGTCACCTGAGGTCAGGAGTTCAAGACCAGCCTGGCCAACATGGCGAAACCCCATCTCTACTAAACATAACAAAAATTAGCCAGGCCTGGTGGTGCGCACCTGTAATCCCAGCTACTTGGGAGGCTGAGGCAGGAGAATCACTTGAACCTGTGAGGCAGAGGTTACAGTAAGCCAAGATCATTCCACTGCACTCCAGCCTGGGTGATGGAGTGAGACTTTGTCTCAAAATAAAAATAAAAATAAAATAAAAAAGACATTTAGAATTTTCCTAATGAAATGGCTAGTTCCTGCCCAATCACACCTTGATGAAACCCATCGATCTCTAAACCCTACCAACATGCACAAGGTTTTCCAACATGTTTTAGTTTCTCACTCAAGTTGTTAGAATATCAACGCCCACCACTCATGTGAGGAAATCCTCTGACATGAGTGACAGATTCCAGAGAAAATTTGGGAAACAAAAGCTAAATAAAAAATAAAACATGCCAGGGGTGGTGGCTGATGCCTGGAATCCCAGCACTTTGGTAGGCTGAGGTGGGTGGATCGCCTGAGGTCGGCAGTTTGAGACCAGCCTCACCAACATGGAGAAACCCCATCTCTACTAAAAATACAAAATTAGCTGAGCGTGGTGGCACATGACTGTAATCCTAGCTACTTGGGAGGCTGAGGCAAGAGAATCGCTTGAACACGGGAGGCAGCGGTTGCGGTGAACTGAGATCGCACCATTGCACTCCAGCCTGGGTAATAAGAGCAAAACTCCGTCTCAAAAAAGATATATATATTATCTGAATAATAAGAGAAGATATTGGTCTGTGAATAGAAACATTTCATGTAAAACATCCATTTGGAGAATTAAAATCCAGAGAGTTTTACACACACACACACACACACACACACACACCCCCCATAGGGTGGGATCAGCACATCGAAGACATTTTTTTGTTTGTTTCAGACAGGATCTTTCTCTGTTGCCCAGGCTGGAGTGCAGTCGTGCAATCACAGCTCACTGTAGTCTTAACCTCCCCAGGCTCAGGCGATTCTCCCATCTCAGCCCTCCAAGTAGGTAGGACTACAGGTGCATACCACCACGCCCAGCTAGTTTTTTTGTATTTTTTGTAGAGATGGGATCTTGCTATGTTGCCCAGGCTGGTCTTGAACTCCTGAGCTGAAGTGATCCTCCTGCCTTGGCCTGTCAAAGTTGTGGGATTACAGTTGTGAGCCATCATGCCCAGTCCATCCAAGAGATATTATCCTCCTAATTACACACACACACACACACACACACACACACACACACATCGCCAATAGAAAACAGTTGAAAATAAAGTTAAGAGAATATCTCCAAAAGGAGAACAAGAAAACAAAGAAAAGGAAAATAGGAAAGAAAAGAGGAATATAGACAAAAAGAGACTAAAAGCTGCCTGGAAGAAAAATTCAGATCACATACAAATGATTAGGACTCAGAATCAGACTTAACAAAAGGAGCAATACCTTCAAAATATCAAGAGTAGCTTTATACTGCTGGTGGCTATTTGGAATGTGTTAAGAGTAAACTGGTAGAAAAAGTTAGGCAATTTTTAAATCCAGAAAAACACAAAAAGTTGTACAAGGTAGGCAATGTAATTATAGTGCACTACATGGCTAAGCTGGGAATAATATTATGTAGCATGTAAATGCTGTATATTAATTTAACTAAAAATAGTGATAGAAATATATATTGAGAAGATAAAGAGAAGAAAATACGTTGATTCAGATGGAGGCTAGTGTAAAGGAGCTATAACCTCATTTAATAATAATAATTCATAAGTCAAGAAGCAGCAATAAAATCATGTTATTTAGAAACATGGAGATAAATACTAGAAGAAATTGCTAAAAGATTTAAAGTAGTTGCCCTGGAGAACAGAAATGGAGGTTGGATTGAACAGAACCAGAACTTCTATTTTTCAGGGTTGTAGTGTAGTTTTCACTTTTTAAACTATGAGTGTGTTTCTTTGATAAAATAGAAAAAATATATAGGTTCTAAAGAGTTAAATGAAGCTGGATGTGATAGTGTGTGCCTGTAATCCTATCTACTTGGGAGGCTAAGACAGGAGGATCGCTTGAGCCCAGGAATTTGAGACCAGTCTGGGCAACACAAAGAGACCTCGTCTCAAAAAATTAAAAATAAGGCCAGGCGCAGTGGCTCACACCTGTAATCCCAGCATTTTGGGAGGCTGAGGTGGGTGGATCACCTGAGGTCAGGAGTTTGAGACCAGCCTGACCAACATGGTGAAATCTCGTCTCTGCTAAAAATACAAAAATTAGCCGGGTGTGGTGGCAGGCGCCTGCAGTCCCAGCTACTCAGGAGGCTGAGACAGGAGAATCACCTGAACTTAGGAGTGGAGGTTGCAGTGAGCCAAGATAGCGCCACAGCACTCCGGCCTGGACGACAGAACAAGACTCCATCTCAAAAAAAAAAATTAAAAATAAATAAATAAATAAATAAATTATGGTATTAAATACCATGTAGGAGTTTTCTCTCTGACCTCTGAAATAATTCTGTGTGGTACAAACCACTTGCAGAAGGTGGGACCTGAGGAAAGACGGATGGGATTTGGACAAGCACAAAGGAGAGGGACATACACAGTGAGATCAGATTGGCTTTGAAATTAGCAAATTATAATGAAGGACAGTGAAAAAGACCAGTTTCCAGGAGTTAAGAATGTAAGTCGTGGAGCAGTGGAAAACCCTAGTTATGTAATGGGGAGTCAGTGCTAGAAGAAGGCCTTGGAATCCAAGCAGAGGAATTTGAATTAGTTTGAGTAGGAAAAAGGGGCGTTGTTGTAGGTTCTTGAGTAATGAAATGATTTAATAAAGGTAATGCTTTTGGAGACTTAATCTGAAAATTTCATGCAAAACAGTGGATATGGGAGGAATTGTTTAGTCTTTTTCACTATCGTATTCCTATAGTCTATCTCAGCACCTGGACCATAGTGGGAACTCAACCTATAGTTACTGAATGTTCGAATGGGAAAGAGGCTGAGACCTCCCGTAGTAACCTCGGCCTGAAGTAGTGAAGCCTTGGACCAGGATGGGGTCCTGGAGCTAGAAAAGAGCAGGTGTGTCTTATTCAGATTTGAAAAAGAAATGCTATAATTTTCTATTCCAAAAGCCCATTTCTGGTCATTTCAACTGGAAATAGTAAACAAATTTTCTTACAGTAATAATGTTAAAAATAAACATACTTTTATAAATGTACTTATAATAAATAAGTACATTTATTTTTAAACAGTGGTGATGTTCTTAGATTCCCTCCAACCATTTAATTTATAATTAATTTAGAATATAGCCCAATCTAATACATTTATTACACTTTTAGAGGATTATTTCCAGGAGAAACATTTTAAGTTCCAAATTTTAGGTTATCATTCGAGGGATCTACTGCTATGTAACAAATGATTCAAAATGGAGCAGCTGAAAACAATAACCATTTTATTATATCTCATGATTTTATGAGTCAGGAATTAGGACAGGCCTTAGCTGGGTGATTCTTCTACTCCAAGCGTGTTAATTGAAATTACTCACTGGTATTCAACTGGTGGGTGTGCTGGCATGGATAGTCCAAGATGGCTTCACTCACAAGTCAGGTCTCTGGATGGAAGGCTGGGATCAGCTGAGACCATTGCTTAGTGCCCACATATGGCCTCCCCAGCATGGTAGTCTCAGGGTGGTTGGTCATCCTAGATGGCAGTTCAGAGCTCCTAGAGTATTCCAAGAAACTAAGGTGGAAGCTGCAAGCCTTCTTCTCACCTAGTCTCAGATAGCATGTGGTGTCATACTTCTGCCACATATATTGGTTGCAAGTGAGTCATAGGGCCAACCATGCAAGATTTAAGGAGAGAGGCTGCACAAATCTGTGAACCCAGGGAGGCACAGTTCATCAGAGACTAACTTCCATAGTGGAGTTTTTTTTTTTTTTTTTTTTGAGACGGAATTTCACTCTTCTTGGCCAGGCTGGAGTGCAATGGCAGAATCTCAGCTCACTGCAACCTCTGCCTCCTGGGTTCAAGCGATTCTCCTGACTCAGCTTCCCGAGTAGCTGGGATTACAGGCACCCACCACCATGCCCGGCTAATTTTTGTATTTTTAGTAGAGATGGGGTTTTGCCATGTTGGCCAGGCTGGTCTTGAACTCCTGACCTCAAGTGATCCGCCTGCCTTGGCCTCCCAAAGTGCTGGGATTACAGGCGTGAACCACGGAGTCCAGCCCACAGCGGAGGTTTAATGTTCTTAATCTGTATAGGTGAAAACACCACTTGCATTTCCATAAGAAAAAGTTATGCCAATAAGTCTCGAAATGTGCTCTCAAGGAAACCTGCTGTTTCACTGCTAATGCTGAATAATGGCAGTCTGTTCTATGTTCGGAAGCATTACTAGGATTAACTAGGTTTTAAAAAAATCAATCTTTTGTTTCCCCATGAAAATATTTCTTAAACCCTTATTGCCTGATACCATTATTTCTTAGTAGTGTGACAGGACAATTTTAAGAACAATTTTGTTTTTCCATAGCATTTTTCTCCTTCCTGGTTCTGTGATAACATTCAGGCTTTTTGTGCTCTCTTTCCCAGGAAAAGTATGTATGTCAGGTCTGAAAGCAGAAGGCTCTTGCAGACACTTCCCTTTCTGGCTTTTATTTATTTATTTATTGGTTTATGAGACGAAGTCTCACTCTGTTGCCTAGGCCAGACTGCAGTGGTGCAATCTTGGCTCACTGCAACCTCTGCCTCCTGGGTTCAAGCAATTCTCCCGCCTCGACCTCCTGAGTAGCTGGGACTTCAGGCACACGCTGCCAAGCCCAGCTAATTTTTTTGTATTTTAGTAGAGATGGGGTTTCACTGTGTTGCCCAGGCTGGTCTCGAACTCCTGAGGTCAGACAATCCACCTGCTTTGGCCTCCCAAAGTGCTGGGATTACAGGCGTGAGCCACTGTGCCCAGCCTCTGGCTTTTATTTTTATGAAGACTGAGTTTCCAGAATCTGTTGTGCAGGAAGAGGGGACAGGCAGGGGTTGAAAGGCAACAGAAGCTGACCAGTACCTTTGGTAGCAGAGGTTTCCAGAGCTTCACTCCCTTCCTTCTACCTCCTTTCCCTGCCCATACGCATGACGTCTCCTCAGTCACCTCTTTGGAACCTCTGTTTCTATGGAGTAGAATTTCAAACTCACTGCTCTAGATCAATCAATCCTCAGGTCTTCTGAGTTGAGGAACATAGGGGGAATGGTAAGAGTTGAAGTTCAGGAGCTTCAAATACAGACTACCATGTTTCTCTTTTGCATGTATAGGGGATAAAGGTAAGAGTAGAATTACAGGTGATTGGAACTTTCTTAGCCTGGAAGTATAGAAGAATGCTGATACCAGTCATGAATTAAGTATTGGCAGGGAGTGGGGGATAATTCGCTTCATTTCTGGAATGCTAAATTTAAGGTTATGGTACAGCATTCTACACAAGGTGGCCTGTAAGCAGCTGGAGAGATGACAATGTCAACACAGATGAAAACGTCAGGGTTTTAGATAAGAGACTCCAGCAATTGTTGAAGAAGTGAGCCCAGAGATAAGAGAGCCAGGGCTGGGGACAGAGTCCTCACAACGTCCTGCTCAAAGGTTGCAAACTGGAGGCCCACCTGCCACATCCAGCCCACAGGGATGTTTTACTTAGTTCATGCATTATTTAAATTATTTTTAAATTGATGGCCAATTTAACTTAAAAATTGAGAGTTTTAAGGACATCTGGATTATGTCTTTCTGGAAAAAGGAAAACTTGGTAGTGTTGGGCCCACAATTCTCCCGTGGTAGAAGCTGCGTAGCCACTGCTGTCTTCGGATGGAACTGCCTCTGAGCAACCACAGTCCCTTCTAGTCAATTTCACCCAATAAATGGCAGCAAGAAGTGGCAAAGATTCTCCCCTTGACCAAACTCTAGCCAGGCTCCTCTGAGCCTTTCTTGAATAGGCCTCAACCATGGCCTATAAAGACTTGAACAAAACATGAACATAGTTTAACAGCTCAAGATCAGATTTCTGGGATGACCCTAACCTCCTTTAAAGTGGTTTCCTGAGAAAATTCAAGACTACAGAAAAGATACTGTTTGTTCCAGCCAATACCTGAAGATAGGGTCCCTGTCTCCTAGGTTCTGCGGGAGGGCAGGAGCCTAACCTCTATAAGGACCAGTTAGAAAACCCAGATGGGTTCCACGTGGACCAACCCCCACTTATTGCTTTTTGCAATTTTTCACTTCCCGGGCTCTACTGAGCTCCAGCTCATCCCCCTTTGTATTTCTTTGTGCTCCCTTTAAAACGTCCAGTTACCTCTGTACAAGTCAAAGTTGAGTTCAGTTGACTCTGGCTTATTTTCCCCATTGCAATAGTGTGTTATGCATTAAAAGTTGTCAATACCACTTTAGCGTCTGGCTTGTTTTATCTTTGACAGAAGGCTACTAGTCAACAGGAACCAATGAAGGTGTTAGGTTTCATTGCTGTTTTAAAGATGGGCTGGCTGAGCGTATTTGTTTCCCTTTTTTCTTCAGGGAAGCCAAGAAAAGGGAGAAATCAAAGATGGAAGAAGATGGTGGCCATTGGTATTGGACGAAGTTGGAAAGAATTTTGAATGCAACTGAGAAATTAGTTTTTGAGAGGGAGAGTGCTGACTTTTTCTGCAATTAAAGATAAGGATGACAGGATATAAATATGATGAAGGAACCAGGCAAAGAATAATAGGACTGAAAGAGTGAGAAAGTAAGACTCTACCTTCATTGATCAGACTGGACTAACAGACAGAGATAAAGCCAGCTGAAAGGTAAGCAGAAAAGTATTTCTCTCAAGGACATACTACATTTATAAAGTGTCACACAAACTCCTTCTTTGAGTGACCTAATTTCTTTCTTTTTTTTTTTTTTTTTTTTTTTGAGACAGGGTATGGCTCTGTTACCCAGACTGGAGTGTAGTGGCACGACCATAGCTCAGTGTAATCTTGGCTCCTAGGCTCAAGCGATCCTCCTGCCTCAGCCTCTGTAGTAGCTAGGACTGCAGGCACACACCACCACGCCCGGCTAATTGTATTTTTTTATTATTTTGTAGAGACAAGGTCTCTCTATGTTGCCCAGGCTGGTTTCGAACTCCTGGCCTCAAGCAATCCCCCTTCCAAAGTTCTGGGATTATAAGCACGAGCCATCATGCCTGGCCTACTGATTTCTTACTGAGAAAACTGATTCCACAAAAATCATAGACTATTACAAACTGTTGTTTGAAATTGTATCAGTAAGAATAAAACATTCCACTCTTGCTTGGAGGACCTAAGACACAGAGAAGCAGTCTTGACTTCCAAGCCAGGTGAAGGAAAAAGGGGTTTCTGAAGACAACACTTCCCATCTATCTTAACTGTAGTATTCACGGAAACAGAACCTGGGGTCCATGGTGGTCCAGACCTGATGTTAATGCCTTTATTTGCAGCTCTGCTTTGCCTGGGGCCTCTCAAAAACACTGCTTCATTTAAATGTCATCAGAACTCCACACCTCCCAGAAAGCCCTGGGTTAATTTCATCCATTCCTTTGTTTGGTGAGATGTTCCAAGGTTCCTTGAGCGTGAGCTCTTCTTCAAGGCAGTGGATTAATAAACCTGAATCTGTTGAACTCTGAATTTGTTTCTGTAGGTATTAGGATGATTGGGTGAGCACAGGTAGCCCTGGAGGTTTTCATAGTTCAGTCCTTCATTTTACAAACAAAAATTGGGGACGAGGGGGAGGAGTTGTTACTGCAGTTCTTCTGCAGCACCTCAGAGCCACTTCCTCAGAGCCACTTCCCCGTGGAATTTTATGGTACTCATCTTCTAAAACTAGAAGGCAAAGTCAACTATGGAGTGGTCTTCCTTGGATATGAAATGAACAAATTTACCTAGGCCTTTTATAAAGACCATCTTTAGGCTCCAGGTCAGTCATTCCTCCAGCACTGGGATTGATGGGTTCCGTATGTTCATTGCAGGGAAAGTGGCGGGAATTCGCTGAACTTCGTGGGGGCGGCGAGGGTGCGGGCTGGATGCAAGGTACTGGGCCGCTGGAGTGACAGAGATGCTGTGTGATGGGGGCTGAGGGCTCTTCCCCCTCCTCACCCTACTGTTCCACATTTCTTCAGCAACTTTCTTCATTCCTTAGGAAAATTTTCCTTTTTCTTTCTTATTCCTGTTTCCCCACATCCCACTCTCTCAGGAAAGAGCTACCCTTCATTGAAATCTTACTTTTTTCTGGCAACGCGCTCTAAAAAGATGGGCCAGGAATGATTCCCTCCACCCCCAGACAAAAATGAAAGCAACACTTCCTTTTAGGAATATAGTACTTTCTGTTTTTAATTTTAAAGCTAGTCAAGTGACACAGTGCGAGTGGAGAAGAAACAAATCTCTGGCTGTGACCAATTAGCTGCAAACACCACCGCAACGGGACCAGCCTAGTGATTTATTTAAACAAACGACATTAAGTAGTTAAAGCAAACCCCTTCTCCCTCAAAGAAAAGAAAGCTAAGTGCGTCTGCCTTAGCTCTGGGGAATTCTTCGGCGGCTTGGGATGGCGGGTGGGAGCTGCCGCCCTGCCTCCCCAGGAACTTCTGCGACAGGGGCAGTGCAGTAAAATTTGAATCTGCGACCCCGGGCCAGGAGTGGTGGTGGAAACAGCAGCCCGGCCGCCGCGGCAGGGTGCGAGCGCGCGCACCGATTGGTCGCCGGGCCGCCTGGCCCACTGCGCCTGCGCAGTCCTCCTCCCGCACCGCCCTGTCGCCCAACGGCGGCCTCAGGAGTGATCGGGCAGCA
Organism: Homo sapiens; assembly: GCF_000001405.40. Classification (NCBI taxonomy): domain Eukaryota; kingdom Metazoa; phylum Chordata; class Mammalia; order Primates; family Hominidae; genus Homo; species Homo sapiens. The sequence continues at coordinate 32,056,388 of NC_000010.11, read as the reverse complement.
GTCGGCCGGCCAGCGGACGGCAGAGCGGGCGGACGGGTAGGCCCGGCCTGCTCTTCGCGAGGAGGAAGAAGGTGGCCACTCTCCCGGTCCCCAGAACCTCCCCAGCCCCCGCAGTCCGCCCAGACCGTAAAGGGGGACGCTGAGGAGCCGCGGACGCTCTCCCCGGTGCCGCCGCCGCTGCCGCCGCCATGGCTGCCATGATGGATCGGAAGTGAGCATTAGGGTTAACGGCTGCCGGCGCCGGCTCTTCAAGTCCCGGCTCCCCGGCCGCCTCCACCCGGGGAAGCGCAGCGCGGCGCAGCTGACTGCTGCCTCTCACGGCCCTCGCGACCACAAGCCCTCAGGTCCGGCGCGTTCCCTGCAAGACTGAGCGGCGGGGAGTGGCTCCCGGCCGCCGGCCCCGGCTGCGAGAAAGATGGCGGACCTGGCCGAGTGCAACATCAAAGTGATGTGTCGCTTCAGACCTCTCAACGAGTCTGAAGTGAACCGCGGCGACAAGTACATCGCCAAGTTTCAGGGAGAAGACACGGTCGTGATCGCGGTGAGTGACCCCCGCCGGCATCCCTCCTCCCGCTTCTTCGGGCCGGCCTGTGCGGGGAGTTTAGGGAAGTGGCAGGGTGCAGAATTGAAAGGGAGCGGCGGTGTCCCCAGCCCTCCCCGGCGGGGTTTGCCGGTTCAGATAACCCAGTGGAGGGAGACTGCGCAGCCTCGCGTGCGTTCCTGGATCGCCCCCACCCCAGTCTTCGGCGCCGGGAGACGGGAAGCGCCCAGCCTCAGCCCTGGACACTCCCCCACCTGGGGCAATGGAGGAACGTCCGGGCAGCAAGTTCAGTGCACGTTTGTCTGCGTGTGTGTGTGTGTGTGTGTGTGCAATTACGGATACTGTTGGTGTTTTGGATTAACCCCAAATTTGCCATTCAGAAAATATGTAATGCTAATATAAAGATCGGCTGGTGACATTGAGCTCTGAGATAAGCCGTAGTGTACTTTAGTAAAGATGCTTAGTTTTATGGAAACATAACCAGTCCTTGAACCGTATTGTTTCCCTCTGGGAGAAGGAAAAAGCACCAAAAAGAGGTACAAATATTATCTATACCTCCAACTTTCACCCACCACTTTTTGAGTGATGAAAGACTTTTCATGTTAACAACTACAAATGGCAAATCGATGATTGTAGAAAGAAATAGTTGAGCTTTTTTTTTTTTGAAACAGGATGATCAGTTTTGTTTAATCTAGCAGACCTAGCCGACTTTGGTTGGGTCAGATAAGTGCTCCGAAAGACAAATCGCATTCTTGCTAGGTTTTATGGGATAACAGCCTAGGAAAAAGTATTAACTTTTTGTTTTTGTATCAGACAGAAAGTGTTATAAAAACAAACTTATAAAAAAGATAAAAATTGACCAGTATTAGATTCATACTTCTGCAGTTAAGGTCTATCTTGAAGAAAATTGTTGTTTGGTAATCCCAAGAATAGTGAGATACTGTTTTTTTGTAATGAAAAACATAACTAGAGTTGAGTGATCATTATCAGTGAGACCAGAATGTGAGGGTTTTTAAAGGTCTGATCTCTGGCATTGAAAGGTGTGAGAAAATAGCACTCCTAGTTGAAGGAGATTAAAAATTAATTGTAAAGTATGGCATACGAAACAGTGACTAAATTATGTTGCTCTTTGTTGGTAATGCTATGTAGTAGAACTAACTTTCTACATTGTTACCATGGTATGAAATTTTAATATGTTAATTTTTCCTCTAATGTCATTCTATAGTTAATACTGTATTGGGGCTATTTAATTTGGAAATAGGGCAGAGGTCACAGGAGATGGGACATGGATGATTGAAAGCATTGACACTGAAGACAGACTAAAGTTCTTTAGGGTTTTGATGTGAAAGTTTCTCCAAAGTTCAGCTCCAAAAAATGAATTGTCTTAGCTCCTTGGTAGGCCTTTGGCAAACAAGTCATTAGGCCACTAACAATTGCCAACTATTACTGTGTAAAGACTGTCAGGCGAGTTCTTTGTTAACAAGTCCACTAGAAAAACTCGTGTGTAAATGACATCATAGCCCGGCAGAGGCGGAGTAGTTAAGCCCAGTAATCCTTTTCCTTTGGGATGGTATATTTTACATATAGTCAGGAGGCTTGCAAGGCCTGGATTAGTTGTCAAACTTGAGGCTATTAGTTTCTTAAGAGTTTTTGTGGTTTACAGTACTCAGCTTCTGCAGTGGTTGGCACATCAAACCTATTTTTCCGTTTACACTTGTTTTAAGAATGTCTTATTTCTTCAGATTTTGTGTTTACACAGATCTGTAGTTATCACTATGATTCTTTTTGTTGGAATGCTAAAATTTAGGATTCATAAAATGTACTAAGATTAGAAGGTAAACTTTGATGAGGCACAAATACGACATGAACTATGAAGAAAGAACTAAAGGAAAATGAACAAAGGAAACATACATTTATTCTAGGTTTCCATTGGGAAAAAGTTGCTTATAAGTTCCGTTTCAAAATTTCAGTACTCTATATAAATGGTAATATTAGGAATAATGGATACATTGTTGGTTTGTGAATCCGTAATGAACAGTTAACCTTTAGGTAAGCTGATAAGCATTTTAGTTGTTTTTTGGTTGGTTGGTTGTTTTTTTGAGATTTTTTTTTTTTTTTGAGATATTTTTGAGTTTTGCTCTTGTTGCCCAGGCTGGAGTGCAGTGGGGTGATCTTGGCACACTGCAACCTCCGCCTCCCGGGTTCAAACGATTCTCCTGCCTCAGCCGCCCCAGTAGCTGGGATTACAGGCACGCGCTACCACGCCCAGCTAATTTTTGTATTTTTAGTAGAGATGGGTTTCACCATGTTGGCTAGGGCGGTCTCGAACTCCTGACCTAAGGTGATCCACCTGTCTTGGCCTCCCAAAGTGCTGGGATCACAGGCATGAGCCACCACGCCTGGCCTGGTTTTTTTTTTTTTTTTTTAACGTGTAACCAAAAATACATTACAACTGAATAACATAGCCTTAAAAAATGAAAGGCAACATGTTTTGGTTCATTGTTTTCAGAAACTAGTTTCTTGCATATAGTAACGACATTAATTATTGAGGTCTCATATTTTTGTTCAGTTTTTTAAATGAATTATTTCATTTTGTAAAAGGTTATAAGAGCAGCCAGGAGGAGCGGAATTGGAAAATCTGTGGGTAAAATCTTCTCGGTTTGGTTTTTTCATTTTACTGGTTCCTAATCCTGATTCATAATGAACAGTTTAGGAGAGAATTGCTGCAATGCAGCATTTAAAACTAAATTTTTAAAAACATGATTTAAGAACATTTTGTATACAATCTTCTATTTAGATCAAAATTGAAAGAATATTGTAGTTTATGATGTTAGAAGCATAATCAGTGCTCATGGAGAAAGTAATTTTTAAGGATTCTGATTTTCTTATAACTTGAGTTTTTAATACTTTGTCTAAACTTTTTTCCTGCTACTCATGTAATCAGTGATTTTAATATGACACCATGGCAGGCAAATCTTTCATAGTGTTTCTGTGTATGCTGTACAGCCTTTAATACAGAATTTATTTTTAATTAAGTGCTTGGTGAAGTGCTATAAATGTAACATCGAATGAAATGAATTATTTTATGAAAGTCTTTAAGCGATATACATATAAACTATTTGCTTTAAATTAGAGAACTTGTTACCGCAAAGCAAGGAGGACAGGGAAACAGTTTATGTCTTTGAAATGAGCTTGCTGGAAACACCAGAAAAAAATCAGTAGAAAAAATTAGGAGCTTGCTAAAAACACCAGGAAGAAAAATCAATAAAAAAATTACATCTATCTATTTATGAATCATGAAAGTAGAATATGGTTATTTGCATCATTAAGTATCTTTACAAATCATTATTCCTTATATGGTACACCGTAAAGGCTGCCAAAAACAAGCTGTGGTAGTTCCGAGAAATTAGAAGAGAATAAAACTAATTAGATAATCTTGCCCAGTTCCTTGCCTAAGCAAAACAACATTCTCGCTTTTCAAGTGAATGATTTGGTGTTTGAACCTTCTTGATTACCTTAAGAGGGAAAAATGAAGGAGAGGAGGGAACCATCATCACATACCTTTACAGTTGTGGAATGTTAGCCCACTATAGTGTTTAACTAAGGAAAATCTAATATAATACACTCCCAAGTGATCTGAAATGATCCGCTATTCAGAATTCCAGAGAAAGACATATCCCTGCCAGAAGGGTGTCCTTCATAACCAAATTTGGTCTTCAGTCTGGTCGGTGCATACTCAAACAGGAATCACTTCCCTTAAGGAACCTAAGGTATGCAGTTGAGATCAACTTATTCCTTTTTGATTTGTCCCCTTAAAGCATCAATCAGACGTGAATGCATCTTGTGACTTGGAGTTACTAGTAATATTGAAATCTGAAACTTGGGGGATCTTTGAAGACACATGGGATTAAAAGCTGCATAATGTACATTTCGAGGCTAAAAACCAGGTTTGAAAAATACAGATGTCCAGATGAGTTTTTCTTTAATTTATTTGAAAAATAGAGATATGCCTTAATTATAGACCATTAGAAATAATTTTTGTGTTTCACAGAGTCTTGATTTTCATTCCAGGAAGCCAGAGTCAGTAATTTATGGCTAGATCTTTAATTAAAACATTTGCCTTACTTAGTATTACAAAATCATCATTTGGTTTTGCAATCAAGATAAGACTGTTTTGTCAACTTAATGCTAAGCACTTAATTTTTATTTAACAATAACTTCTAGAAAGATAATCACTCCAGTCTCAATTATTTTTATGTTTGTGTGTTACCTTTTAATAGTTGCCATTTATATTATTTTAGTAAGGTTGTAGTGGTAGTTTATATATTTGCTTGGAGTTGATAACTAGAGTAAGCAGCTTCATAAAGTACTTCTGAAGGCAGGCTTTACTATTAAAACTGTTTACTATTATGAAGCTGTTTACATTATTTCTGGCATATCTCTTGGTAAATGGTTTAGGGGCACTATTTTCTATTGATGTAAAAATTGAGGCCAGGCATGGTGGATCACGCCTGTAATCCCAGCACTTTGGGAGGCTGAGGCAGGTGGATCACTGGAGGTCAGGAGTTTGAGACCAGCCTGGCCAACATGGCAAAACCTCATCTCTACTAAAAATACAAAAATTAGCCAGGCGTGGTGGCACATGCCTGTGGTCCCAGCTACTCAGGAGTATATTTGTAGATACATATAAAATTCTCTTGACATTACTTGATCACTTATATTAGATCCAAGTGTATAACTTAACTTAGTATTCAGGTTTTTATCTGGCCTTATCCTCTATTACTCTTTGAACCCTACAGTCTGTACTAATTATTTCTAAAATTGTGTTACTCATCTACAATATCTCATATCTTTATAGTCACTAAATGAATGTCTGCTGGATAAATGAGGGAAAATTACTTTCTTTTTGCATAGAAAAAACTATTAGTATGGTTTGTTTTTGGGTGGCGATTGTTATTTTGATTGTACTTAACGTTTGTTTTCAGAATTGTTCACCATGAATATATCTTGTGTCAGCAGTAAAATAATAGATTTCTTTTAGTCACACCTGTAGAATTGAATGTTAATTGTTTCAGTAGCATCTGAGAAAAGGATACGTTCACATATGTCACAACTAAAGAATAATCAGACATCGATGCCTATTTTAAATTGATGCCAAAGTGAGATCAGCTTCTTGTATCTGTCAGTAATGCTTTCAGCTTTAGAGGAAAAACCAACAGCTAATAGTGGCTTAAATAAATAAGAGGATGTTTTTCTCACATAACAAAAAGCCTGGATATAGGCCCTTCACGGTTCCTCACTCTGTTATACTTTGTCGTCCTTAGCTGTTGCTTTTCATCATCCTGTTTGTCGTATTTGCAAGATGGATGCTACAGCTCCAGGCATTCATTCCAGGAAGGAGAAAGGGCAGTTTTAGCTGAGATGGTCCTTTTTATCAGGATAACAACACCCTTCTCAGAGACCTCGAACAGACCGCCACTTCATATTATTCAGAGCTTGGTCATGTGACTACTAGTTGCAGGGAGACTAGGCTAACAGGTATTTGGCTTTCCGGCCTATTTATTGGGAGGTAGCAAGGGAAAGGGGAATTGGGAATGGCTTTAGGAGTGTCTGGTTCATTGTTACTTTTATTTCAGACTTTGAAGTGGGGATGTGGAGGGTAGTAGGTCTTTTTCAGCTAAGACTTAGGAAGTGTTTTCTAATGTTAAGGGCTTTTTCTGGGGTCATGATTGTTTTGTGTTTTAGGGCCCAACTTCCTTCCTTTCCTTTAGGAGAAACTAGAGAGCAGGCAGATACTTGCAAATACCTAGAACCCCTTGCCTCTTATTTTTGGATACCTACTCTTTCTCCTAGATTATTAAAATTGTTCCTGCAAGCATTTAAACTACCTCAGGTCTTACAAGTCTTAAAAAAAAAATAACTTTCTTAGACATACAGCAGATTTTCTGCACCACTTGGTTACCTCCCATTCTTTTTCAATCCATTCCAATCTGACCTTTGTCATTGAGTACTTTTTAGTTTTGTCTTGGCCTCACAACTGTATTTGACATAATCACTCCCTCCTTGAAAATTATTATTTTTTGACTTGCATGGACACCACTGATTTTTTTTTTTTGTTCAATACCCCTGGCTCCTTCTCAGACTATATTAGTGGTTCTCTGAGAGTGGTCCATGGAGTCCCCAGTATCATTTCTGGGGTCCAGAAGATCAAAGCTGTTTTCAGAATAAGATGATGTCTTTTTAACCGTTTTGATATTTGCATTTGATCCTTGCTCCTTGTACTTCAACTTAACAACTTCCATTGGTTTCTTGAATGCTACACTGTTCTTTCTGCCTTAGGATCTTTAAGTATCCTCCCAGTGCCTAGACTACTTTCCTACACGAAACCTTTTTCACCCTTCATGACTAATACTGGGGAGAGTGATGATGAGTTAGTTGCTGCGTATTTTTCAGTTCTTAAATATTCTTTCTCCAAGGGTGTTTCCGTGATATTCTGCTTTCCCGTAGACTTAGGTTCTCCTCCTATATTCTCTCATTGCACTTTCATAGCACTCAATTGCATGAGTCAGAATTCTGGTCACTTAATTTTTTAATGTCTGCCCCACTATTATTTATGCTCCACTAAAGCAGAGAGGGAATCTCTTGGTTATCATTCTAGCATGTCATCTCACATTCCATAAGTATTTGTTAAATGAAAGAATGGTTGAAAAGCTGTTGCAGGACAGGCATGGTGGTTCACACCTGTAATCCGAGCACTTGGGGAGGCTGAGGCAGGAGGATCTCTTGAGCCCAGAAGTTCAAGACAAGCCTGGGCAACATAGCATGGTGGCACATGCCTCTAGTCCCAGCTGCTCAGGAGGCTAAGGTGGGAGGATTTCTTGAGCCCAGGAGGTTGAGGCTGCAGTAAGCAGTGATTGTGCCACTGCACTCCAGCCTGGGTGACAGAACCGAGACCCTGTCTCAAAAATAAATAAATAGGTATTTAAAAAAATAAAAATCACTCAGCAATATTTGGCTGCCATAGTAGTGCTAATTATAATTACTGGGAATTATAATTGTAATTACTGGGCCCTGGGAATGCAGCAAAGACTAAAGACCATTCTTGTTTTCCTGGAGTTTATTCTAATGGATTTGTGCATGGTGATCCCTTCTACTTCAAAGATTCAATGATACCAAATTATGCATACTAGGTATACTATTTTGAGGATTAAATATATTATATGATGGCATCTGTAAAGGTTAGAAATGTTCATTTACCTTTAATTTGTATAGTTGAAACACTTTTTTGTTTTTCAGTCCAAGCCTTATGCATTTGATCGGGTGTTCCAGTCAAGCACATCTCAAGAGCAAGTGTATAATGACTGTGCAAAGAAGATTGTTAAAGGTAAATATATTCAACCTGCTGAGTTGTCTCAGCAATAAGTAAATAAGTTTGTGATCTTTTCTACTTACTCAGCTTCCTTTTTTCATTTTAATGCCCCTTTCTTCTAAGTTAATTGCAGAAGAAAGTTGTTTAAATAATAAAAAGGTCAAACACAATTAGTAAATATTCTATTGCTCAAATTCCATGATCTAATTATATACAGTACCTAATTAAGGTTATTATGAGAACTATGTTACACACTTATTCTTAAGAGATGCATTTCTGTTAGATATTCCCAGGAGAGTTTCCAAGGTGGCAGTTCTAGAAAGAGAACAGTATGAGAATGAAAACAAAAGGGCTAGACACATTTCTAAAAAGTAGTGGAAAATGGCAGTCTATCATTCTTCCATTCCATTGTTATTCCTTCCCCAAAGACTTACCTATCCCTTGAGGAATTTAACAAGGGTTGCCAAGGGTGAGAAAAGTATGTACATTCCAGTTAATACTATAACTTATACAAGAATATTTATAACTTTATATATTCTAAAACCATTGAATTTTAAAGCTGAGAGAGTGCTCATTGTTTATCTGGAGTTACTTCCAGTTACTGTAGAAATCTGTTTAATCAAAGGAATGGCTGTTACTTTGTGATATGATTTATTTCATTTTTTGACAGCTGTAGTTGTTACAAAGTGCTTCTTAGATTGAGGCAAAATCTGTGTTGTGGCATTCACCACATTAAAAGAATTGGGATTCAGTATAAAAATAGGTGGATTAGGATAGCATAGGAGCACAGATGCTCATCCTAGTAACAGGAGATAAAGTGGAGTTATAGAAGGTTTATAGATGAGGTGAGGGAGGGAAAATGTGTATGTACTCATTATATCAATTTCATATTGTCTAATACAGGGAGCAAAGTCATCATGGAGATGAGGAAGGGGGAAGAGGTTCTAGGAAAAGGCATGAAATGGATGGATTCAGGCAGTGTGAGAGTATTGCCAGGCAGTATTAAGGGCCCACTCAAGGTTAGCTGCTGAAAGAGTTGAATTTTTGCCCATTTGGAGTTTTGCTAGGTGAGTACAAAAGAGGGAAGTGGGGGACAAGAGAATTGAGGATATAGTCAAAGGAGTGATTATAATGGTGGACCATGGGATCTAAGGTGGTTAAGTTACAGGAAGAAGGATATGAGGGAGGCTGAAGGGCAGTGAAAAAAGGTGGTAACATTAGTGGGTTGTAGATCTCAGTGGGGTCAAAGATTTGTTGGAATCAGGGTACTGGACGGAGTAATAGAAGGTGAATACAGACAGTCCCTGACTTAGAACAACTTAAAATTGTTCGACTTTACGATGGTGCAAAAGCAATACACATTCAATAGAAATATTCAATAGAAATATTTCTAGTACCTGTACAACCATTCTGTTTTTCACTTTCAGTATAGTATTCAATAAATCATATGAAATATTTAACACTTTATTATAAAATAGGCTTTGTGTTAGATGGTTTTGCTGAACTGTAGATCAGTGTACGTGTTCTGAGCACATTTAAAGTAGGCTAGGCTAAGCCATGGTGTTTGGTAGGTTAGATGTGTTTGATGCATTTTCAGCTTAGGGTATTTTCAACTTACAGAACATTTATCAGGAAGTAACCCCATCGTAAGTTGATTAGTATCTCTACTTGAAATTGAGATTATGGAAGCAATGCAGTTAGTAATGAAAAGGTAAAGGTGTTGTCATGGAGTTGACTTCCGAGGTAGTAAAGAAAGGATAAGGCCAGACATGGTGGGTCACACCTGTAATTCCAGCACTTTGGGAGGCTGAGGTGGGAGGATTGCTTGAGGCCAGGAGTTTGAGACCAGCCTGGGCAACAGCGAGACCCCATCTCTGTTTTTAAAATAAAAATGAAGAAAGAATAAGATCGCAGAAAATTTGGTCAAGGAGCTGAGAGGCCAGGTTATTTTAGTGGGATTATCTGCTACAGACTTTGAAACCACCAGTACTGTTTTATTACAACAGTAATGGTATTGGTGAGAGAGAGTGAACTGGGTACTGACATCTTCATAAAATGAAGGGGAATTAACACTTGTAATTGTGTAAATGACTGCAACAAAGAGGAACAGGGTCATCATGTTGTAAGCATCATGTGGTTTTCCAGAGGGATCGATCATAGAACACAATTTTACTACATTCTTTGATTGAGACATACTTCTGTCTCATCAGTACAGTTTAAGATTACATTAGCTTTCTAACCAATAGAAAGTTACCGATTCATGAATTCATGGGCAATTTGAATATACAGGTCTTTTTTGTATCTCTTGCCGCCAGCTTTAAGCCCCATTCCATACTTGCACTTTGGAGAGCAAACCTTTAAAGTGCAGATTCCATTTTGTTCATTTTAGCTCTTAATCATATTTTGAGTTTTATACTGGGGATCTAGTAAGTTGGCTGTCAGCACATTTGATAAGTCTATTAAAGTGTCAAAGGTTTTGAAGTTTGAAAAATATGATTCTAAACCATTTATAAAGTGCTTAATGGGTCATGGTCCCTAGGTTAATCTTCTAAAATGAATAAGATTGTTGGCAGTTATTTCAATCACACTGTTTGGGTATTCAGCCAACTTCAGAGCCTCTTACCTATACGATTGGCTAGTCCTTAGTTTGTCAACATACTCACAAGAAAATGATGAAAAACTTGAATCCTTTTATCAAGTGATGGTGCATGACTCTAGTATTTGCCCAAAGTACCAGTTGAATAACCATATCCAAACAGGAAATGAGGTTAGTTCAACCATAGTCTTTACTTAATAAAATTTTGGTATACTTATTTCCATAATCTATCCCTTTTCCCATTTTGAAAATGTAAATAACATTAGTGTCTTCTATTACCTTTGTTCTCTTTGGCTTTTAAAAGTAACCTACAGTAGCTGTGAGATTTTTATCCCTGGAACGTAATCCTCCTTAGTAACTAGAAACTTGGGCTCATTTGAAGCCATTCTTTTGCTATCGTACTATCCACATAAACCTTAAAGTCCCTTTCAACAATGTTTATTCTGTTGTTCTGTTTTGAGGATCATATTTGTGGAAGATGGTAGTAAATAGAAGTACCTCTGTTTTAATATCATCAGTTAATATTTTCTGGTCTTTCCTAAGCAATGCAGGTTCATTCATTCATTATTTTTTTTCTGAATATGACTTTAAAAGTTCTTTTTAGGGCCTTAGTTTTTATTTTGTTTTGGTCTTAAAGTTACTTATCCTGGACTTTTATCTTTCTCATGCTGTTCTCGTGAGTTCTGTCTCTTCTCTTGTATATCCTTAGTTACACAGTCTCTTAATAATAGGCTGATACTCAGAGTTTTTCAAAATCTATTGTTTTTTAAGTGGTACCTAACCTTAAGGAAAAGAAAAAGATGAAGTCTGTTTTCCTGACGTTTAGGATACATGCATCTATTACTTTTGTTCTGTTTTATTACTATTTGCAGTTCTAAGATGAAATCGTTTGCTTCCTGAAATTTCTCTTCTTTTCTCAAAATTTCAGTCCCTTCTTCATCCTGCTTTACTGTTTGGAACTGCGTTCAGGATAATAGTTCCCTTCTCTGTAATATGGTAAGAGTATAATCTTTAGAATCAGACAGTCCTAGATTGAATTCTAGGCTCTGCCACTTTCTTGCTGTGTGACTTTTGGCAAGTTACCTAACCTTTCCAAGCCTCCATTTCTTCTTGTGCAAAATAGGTACTAGGAGTTGTTAAGCACAATACAGGTATCAGCTGCTAATTGTGTCCTCTGTCGTTGTCTTCTTTTTTTTTTTTTAAATTGAGACGGAGTTTCGCTCTTGTTGTCCAGGCTGGACTGCAGTGGCGCCATCTTGGCTCACTGTAACCTACCTCCGCCTCCCGGGTTCAAGCAATTCTCCTGCCTCAGCCTCCTGAGTAGCTGGGATTACGGGCATGCGCCACCACACCCTGCTAATTTTTGTGTTACTAGTAGAGACAGGGTTCCTCCATGTTGGTCAGGCTGGTCTTGAACTGCCAACCTCAGGTGATCCGCCCACCTTGGCCTCCCAAAGTGCTGGGATCACAGGCGTGAGCCACCACGCCCGGCATGTGTCCTCTGTCTTCTTAGAGGACATTATTAATTCAATCAGTCGTGTTTGTATTTGGGATAAACTCATAGTCTCAGCTATTTCTACTGTACAAAATTAGACTTCCAGCAAGTGTTAGAATACAAGGTTTCTATCATAATCTCTTTCTTCTTCTATGCAACCTTTGTAATTTATGTCAGTATCACCTGGCGATGATTTCCTTTTATCTTTACCCAAGTGCTCTGTACCATTTTGGAGGAGACTGCATGTAGTAGCTGGTGGGACTTGTCCTGGACAAGGATATGAATGTGGCAGAGTTACCAATAAATACACATATTTAAGGAGAAAGATGGCGTAGGGGTAGGTCGTGGGTACCTAGGGAGGTGTGAGGACAGGAAAGCAATTAAATACATGGTAGGTTGTACTTGGGACAATCATTGTTAAACAGATTGGATGAGAAGCCATGGTTAGAAATTGTTGGTAGGCAAAGATCAGCAGAATGATGGGCCAGCTGGGATTTCTTTTGAGATAGGGATTTGATGAGCAAGTTGCCAGTAATGACCTGAAAGCAGATAGTACTCTCTGGGTCCCCGACAAGTTCACTGAGAATGCACTGGCTCATAATTATCTGGACAAGTTTATAACTTGATTTTATGTAGGGCTATTAACATTCCCTATCTGTAGATTTGTTAGATACAATTGTTACTTTTGAATAAGGTTTATCCACTTGTATTCTCTTGAATTCTGAATCTGAGTGATTTGTTTCCCTTGTGTTAAGTAGCTATTTATTCATTGCCCACTATATGATAAGCATCTCATCAGGTCTTTGTAGATTTCCTGTTTTTTCCACCATGGCTTCCTGACCTGAACTCTCTGCCGCTGTATTCACCTTTGGTTTTTCCAGATGTAGCCTACCTTGTATTTATTTTGGTTCCTCTGCTCCTTGAGTATATAGTACAGTGGTTAAGAGCAGGTCTCTGGAACCAAGTCTATTTGCATTTGCGTCTCAGCTTCATCTTACTAGCTGTGGAGTTACAGGCAAGTTATTTAACCTCTCTGTGTCTCAGTTTTCTCATCTATAAAATGGGACTAATAATAGTACAGTGCGGGCTGGGCGCAGTGGCTCACGCCTGTAATCCTAGCATTTTGGGAGGCCGAAGTGGGCGAATCTCCTGAGGTCAGGAGTTGAAGACCAGCCTGGCCAACATGGTGAAACCCTGTCTCTACTAAAAATAAAAAATTAGCCGGGCATGGTAGCACATGCCTGTAATCCCAGCTACTTGGGAGGCTGAGGCACGAGAATTGCTTGAACCTGGGAGGCGGAGGTTGCAGTGAGCCGAGGTTGCAGTGAGCCGAGGTTGCGCCACTGCACTCCAGCCTGGGTGACAGAGCAAGACTCTGTCTCAAAAACAAAAAACTAATAGTACCGTGCACGGGGTTTTGTGATGATTAAATACAATAATATATAAAAAATGGTTAGAACCTGACTCATTGTAAGCTCTCAGATGTTAATAGTAACTTTATATGATGACTTCTAATTCTCAGAGCTTTTGCCTAAGTAGTCATTTTGCTGGGGAGGCTGAAGTTCAGGGAGATACAAAGTGACTTTCTACAACGTGATGTGCTGTTATCTCACTACCTAAATATGTTTTTTCTGTTGATACAGTATGAAAGAAGTAATACTTGTTCAGAGTTGTCCACCTCTGTTTCTCATAGGAATGGCAAAAGTATATTTAAAAGGGTGAGGGAGGCTTTAGAAAGATGCTGTACATTGATGATGGTAATAAATATTCAGCAAGCATTTGAGTTCCTCTGGAGTGCCAGGCACTGTGTTAGGAGTTAAACACGGTCCTGACTTTGAGTTGACAGGCTAGTGAGTAAAGCAGACAGGTAAATTGATCGAATACTCATTGGTAAGTGTTATGATTAAATGCAGATACTGTAAGAACACATAGGATGAGACTTTTACCCAGATATTTTGGGGGTGCGTTGTGGAATTGGGTTAGAGGAAGAGGTAAATGTGATACATGAAATAATTTTGCTTTCCTTCTCAAAAATAAAAAGATTTTGAAGGAAAGTTTCAAATGTTTGGAGTCTCTTAAAATCTTCCCAGGGAAGTTAGTAATGATGTCTTTTTTTCTCATTAATAAATGTTTCTGTAGGAAATCTGTTATCCACTTAGTTGTGCCCATGTTGGGGTTTTTTTTTCTTTTTAAAATAATGAATAAAAACAAGGATTGGCTTGCTTATTAGTTTACTTTTCACTGTTATATGCTGTTTCCAACAGAGGCTTCTCTTTTTGTTTTGGCTTCCTCTAGAATAGAATGTAATTTCATAGTACCTTTCTTGTCACCAAAAACAAACAACAAACAAAATCCTCGAAAGCCAGAAATCAAAGGATTGCCTTTTTCCCCCCTTTGACCTAATAAAAGAATATATTTAAATGTTAATGTCAGAGGCTAGAAAAAAATTTCATAGGAGGGTCAGGTGCAGGGGCTTACTTAGGCCTGTAATCCCAGCACTTTGTGAGGCTTGAGGCAGGAGGGTTGTTTGAGCCCAGGAGTTTGAGATCAGCCTGGGCAACATAGCAAGACCCTGTCTCTACAAAATTTTTTTTAGAATTAGCCAGGCCTGGTGGCATGTGCCTCTAGTCCTGGCTACTTGAAGCTGAAGCAGGCAGCTTACTACACCCAAGAGGTTGAGGCTGCAGTGACCAGTGAGCTATGATTGTGCCATTGCACTCTGAACAGAGGGGAGACCCTGTCTCATAACATTTTTTTTCATAGGAACTTCTTGGTAATTGATTTTGAGGTAGGAGTGAGTGTTACACTTTGTGGGTAGGATAAAGAGGAAGGTCGGGGTTTGTGAGGATTAGCTACTAATTAACCATCAATTAGTCTTGTTTCTAAAATCTCATCTGTATGTAAATTGGCAGAGGATTTTTTTTCTTTTTGGTCACATAAAGCTTTGGAGTGTAGATGTAATGACATTTGAGATGTACACTGATACAAGAGATTCTTTATTATAAGCAGTGGAATTTAAAATTTGTTTCTTAATTAACCACAGAAAGCAGTCTGGGTCCAGAGAAAATTGCTTAGATGGGTCATCACTAAGAAAATTACTGTTGTTATATATTTCCTTTAATGTCTTTATAAATCCTTTATGTACTAAACTTTGATGGAGTCTTTCATATTAGCATAAAGAAAATCTGAATCTTTCTTGCCACTCTTTCCACAAATAATTTTGGTTTTTTTTTTTTTTTTTTGAGACAGAGTCTCACTGTGTCACCCAGGCTGGAGTGCAGTGGCTCGATCTCAGCTCACTGCAACCTCCTTCTCCTGGGCTCAGGCGATTTTTGTGCCTTAGTCTTTCGAGTAGCTGAAATTACAGGCCACGTACAGCTAATTTTTTTTTTTTTTTTTTGAGATGGTGTCTTACTCTGTCACCCAGACTGGAGTGCAGTGGCGCGATCTCGGCTCACTGCAACCTCCACCTGCCCGGTTCAGGCAATTCTCCTGCCTCAGCCTCCTGAGTAGCTGGGACTACAGGCACGCGCCACCAAGCCCAGCTAATTTTTTGTATTTTTAGTAGAGACAGGGTTTCACCATGCTGACCAGGCTTGAACTCCTGACCTTGTGATCCGCCTGCCTTGGCCTCCCAAAGTGCTGTGATTACAGGAGTGAGCTACCGCACCCAGCCACTCCCACAATATTTTATTATACAGAATTTAGTATGCAAGGGTTAGGAAGAGGGTGTGTGTGTGTGTGTGTGTGTGTGTGTGTGTTTTAGGGTGTTTTATACCTCACTAGGAATAAACATCTGATATTTTCCTGTAACATTAAGTAATTTTTTTTTTAACCTTTTCTCTACCCTGTCATCCTGTAGTTTAAGTAATTTCTTAGGAATCTTGCTTAAGGAAAAAATCCCCTGAACTATAAAATCTTTTCTCATAGATGTACTTGAAGGATATAATGGAACAATATTTGCATATGGACAAACATCCTCTGGGAAGACACACACAATGGAGGTAACGTTTTATAATCTGTACTTAGATGTGGTTTGCAATACATACAGCATTCATTATTTGTGATATTATTTCACCATGCATAAACATTTTAATTTACTCTTTATTGCCTTTTCTCATACAAATAATATACATGTAACATCATTGTTGGAATCTAATCAGTTCCTGAGTTTAAATAGTAAGGGATACCTGTATTTGAGATTATATTTGAGATTGTTTTATCAGTTAGCATAACCATAAAATAAATAACATTTTAGACAAGAATTTTTTGTCACCCTGTTATATGGGAAATTTTGAATGCTTATGTGTTGTTGATTTTATGTAGTATAAATAACTTTTTCCTGTTCTCCTTGGCTCCTCCTTCCTCAAAATAACTGTCACTCTTCTCTGATAAGAATGTTGCCATAATTATCAGTGCTGCTGTTAATAATAGATGTGGACCCACTATAGCTTTGCTTCTAGAAAACAGCCTGTGATTTTCTGCCACTGCTAAAGAGCATCTGTTTTTATCATTTATTTGAGTGTACTATATTAAGTAAATGACTGCTTCTTTTAGTGTGATTCATATTACTGATTTTCATAAAGTCATAGAGAACAAGGACATCCTAGTATTTGCATGAATTTGCCTCGAAGTAGAAGGAACAATGTAGAATTATATGGAAAGAAACTAAAACCTTTTTAATTATGTTCATTTTACAATGAACATTTTACAAGCATGGATAATCTAAATCTAGTGATTAAATGAAGGGTTAAGATCTGTTGGTAACCCATGTGGTTGATGTACAGTACTGTGTATGTGTAATAGTTGAATTGGATTTTTTAGGTATTTACAGAGCCGTTTCCACAAAAATATAGTTCCTGTCCTTTCTTGACTATAAGTTGTAGATTGAAACTCTTTGTTTTTACTTCATATTTTATAATTTATTTAAGAAGTCTAGTTTTGTTTTTTGTTTAGGGTAAACTTCATGATCCAGAAGGCATGGGAA
Source organism: Homo sapiens (assembly GCF_000001405.40). Classification (NCBI taxonomy): domain Eukaryota; kingdom Metazoa; phylum Chordata; class Mammalia; order Primates; family Hominidae; genus Homo; species Homo sapiens. The sequence continues at coordinate 32,039,400 of NC_000010.11, read as the reverse complement.
TTATTCCAAGAATAGTGCAAGATATTTTTAATTATATTTACTCCATGGATGAAAATTTGGAATTTCATATTAAGGTAAATTCCTTGAGGAAAGATTATATTTTATTTTACAGCAAGAATAATGTTCTAAAAAAATAGTAAATGCTGGTTTCTTTAATTTTAAAAATTGTTTTTCTGGAAAGGTACAGTTGAAAGATCATTCAGGTTAGTAAACTTGGATTTTTGTTCATCTGCCATTAGATGAACAGGAATGTTAACTAACGTAAATGATTAAGTCTTTAGCCTCCTTCAAAAAATAAAGGAGGTTGCTTTACTGCAGAACTTGAAGGTTTCTACTACATAAAACTATTCTAATTCATTTTAGATGAAGATAATGTAATTTATGTCCAATGGGAAGACTGCTTAAATAACTAAGCTAATTTGGCTAATTTATGTCTTCCCATTAGAATGTGAGCTATGGCTGGTATGTTGATAACTGTCTCTCTAGTCTAAACAATGCCTAGCACTCAGACCTCAATATGCGAATAAGTTATATAACTTTAGTTGATCGGTGTTTTTTTAAATTTGCCCTTTAGGTTTCATATTTTGAAATATATTTGGATAAGATAAGGGACCTGTTAGATGGTAAGTTAAATTCTTGCTAATCAGTTTTAAATAACATCTGTTAATTCCTTTTTAATAATAGATGTGAGACTATTTCTTTGTAACCTATATGAAATTGTCTTAAGTTATTGGAAATAGACAAAATTTTTTTTCTTCTAAAGTTTTAGTTGAATACCTTTAAATAGAATAACTAGTTTAAAGCGATGTTTATGGGTACTTCTTAGTAGTAATTAGAGCATTGGACTGGGAGTTACATAATCTGAGCCCTGAGTTCTAGTCTTCTGTCAACTGTCAATTAGATACATTGTCCTTAGGCAAATCATTGAACCATTCAGGGTTAATGTTCTTGTTTATAAAATGTGGGTGGTAGGTTGGAGTGGTCCTAAAATTCTATATTGTTGCATTGGTTTCTATTTACATCTCCTGCTGTGTCTGTAAGGTCTGCTTTAGAGCAATGTTTTAATATGTTTTTAGAGTTCAACTATTGCTGTTAGGCTGCTCAGGAAAGCCTATCAGTTATTTCATATCCAGTGTTAAGAGTTTTAGGAGAATGTTGCTAACATTTGTTTTTCTTTCTCAGTTTCAAAGACCAACCTTTCAGTTCATGAAGACAAAAACCGAGTTCCCTATGTAAAGGTATTTATAGTACAGTTGTCTAGAAAACCCTGTAATACTTTTTTTTTTTTTTTAAGACAGAGTCTCACTCTGTCGCCCAGGCTGGAGTGCAGTGGTGCAATCTCGGCTCACTGCAACCTCTGCCTCCAGGGTTCAAGCAGTTCTCCTGCCTCAGCCTCTTGAGTAGCTGGGATTACAGGCATGCGCCACCACGCCCAGCTAATTTTTGTATTTTTAGTAGAGACGAAGTTTCACCATGTTGGCCAGGCTGGTCTTGAACTCCTGACCTCGTGATCCGCCCGCCTCTGCCTCCCAAAGTGCTGGGATTACAGGCGTGAGCCAATTCATTTAATATATGGAGGCTCGCTCTGTTGCTCAGGCTGGAGTGCATGGCATGGTCTCGGCTCACTGCAACCTTTGCCTCCCAGGCTCAAGCGATTCTCCTGCCTCAGCCTCCCAAGTAGCTAGGATTACAGGCACCCGCCACCGCGCCCGGCTAATTTTTGTGTTTTTATTAGAGAAAGGGTTTCATCATGTTGGCCAGACATTAACATATTTTTAAAAATTATTTCACAGGGGTGCACAGAGCGTTTTGTATGTAGTCCAGATGAAGTTATGGATACCATAGATGAAGGAAAATCCAACAGACATGTAGCAGTTACAAGTAAGTAGAAAATAACACTGGTTAGGATTTAAAACCAGCTTAAAATATCCTTATCCAGGTGATTAATTATAAGATTGCTTCAGGGAAATTGTTAAGGGGAAATCATGTTTGTTTATATTTGTTTGTGTAATTTCCTTGCAGATATGAATGAACATAGCTCTAGGAGTCACAGTATATTTCTTATTAATGTCAAACAAGAGAACACACAAACGGAACAAAAGCTGAGTGGAAAACTTTATCTGGTTGATTTAGCTGGTAGTGAAAAGGTAAAGTCTTCATGTATTTTGACAAATATTTAAGCATCTTTGTAAACTTTAGTTTGAGTTGGGAGTTACGCAGGGTTCATTGTTGCATCTTACTTACCAAACTGGATTTGGTAACCTGAGATTTGTAACCGCTGATGCCAGTGCCTTATGATGATATCAGCTGAATAATCAGTTCCAAGTTACTGTTGTTTGACCATACTCTAGTTCAACCCATAAGTGGTTTCTATGACTTAAGATATGTTCATAGTGAGAACTGGTTCAGCATATGTTGTTATAAACTTTATTAGATATCCCTTTTCTAATTTTTGATACGTATTTTATCCATATTGGCAGTGGGGTCCCTATTAAAACTGGTAACTCTCGATTAGTCTTTTCTGGTTTGGTTGGACTTATTTCTTTCCTTTGGATTATTGTTTCATTATTACAATTCTATACAGTCTGATTCTAGTCTATATCAAATTAAGTTTGAATGTTATAATAGGGACCTCTGACCATTTTTGCTGTTGTGCTAATTTTGTTTCTTCTGCTTAGAATGATATATCTATTCCGTTCTACTCTGAAGTCTTACACACATCTTTCAAAGATTATCTAATCTGAGAAATCTCCTAAGCTATTTCTTCAGCCAACATTGCTAATTTATTGTTCTGACCTATCTTTAACATAGATACTAGCTGGGCATGGTGGCACATGCCCGTAATACCAGCTACTGGGGAGGCTGAGGCAGGAGAATTGGTTGAACCCGGGAAGCGGAGGTTGCAGTGAGCTGGGATCAAGCCACTGCACTCCAGCCTGGGTGACAGAGTGAGACTCAGTCTCCAAAAAAAAAACACCACAACATAGATATTTAGATATTTTATATATTTTTAAAAGAAGCAGATTTGCTTATATAATGTGTTTAAAACTCAGTCTCTGTTTTCTAACAGTTACAACATCAACATTATGCATTAGCCAATTTTAGAAGGTTCCTGTTTTCTAATGTAGCAAAGGGGACTAACAGATTAATGAACTACAAATTTACATTTAAATTGGTTATTTTCAAGAGTACCTACAAACTACAGATAAAATTTGATGTCTCTCTAATCAAACTCTTAAGAGTAGTACTCAAGAAATGGTGGTATGCTTGGCAAATAAGATCATGAAGCTTTTCATGTTCTTTTTTCTTTTTTACTGGTTATTGATGACATATGAACATTTTAGAAAATGTAAAGAAAATTATAAACTTGTAATTTTGTTTCATTCTTTTGAAATCTTATGTATAGGTTAGTAAAACTGGAGCTGAAGGTGCTGTGCTGGATGAAGCTAAAAACATCAACAAGTCACTTTCTGCTCTTGGAAATGTTATTTCTGCTTTGGCTGAGGGTAGTGTGAGTATACATGTCTTCTATCTCCCTGTTACCTTATGGGGCATTATTTAAATATAGGTGTATATGTGTGCCTGGGTGTGTATGAGAGAGAGAGAGAGAAAGAGAGATTGAGATTCAATGTGTTTGAATCAGTATGTGTAAGTTAGTTGTCTTTTGGGAGTTTATTTTATAATAACATTTTATTATACTGGTCTTGTTTTCTTTCTTTGTTTTTGTATGCAGACATATGTTCCATATCGAGATAGTAAAATGACAAGAATCCTTCAAGATTCATTAGGTGGCAACTGTAGAACCACTATTGTAATTTGCTGCTCTCCATCATCATACAATGAGTCTGAAACAAAATCTACACTCTTATTTGGCCAAAGGTTTGTTGTTAAGAAAGTACAAAACCTAAATTTAGATAGACCTTTTGTTTATAAAATGTAGGAAAATGTGAGCTGTTATTCCAACCTGTACATACTGTTTTGTGCTAGACACACTCAGTTTGAATTGATGACAGATAATACAAGGTGGGTCTGATTTTTAGACTGCTTGGTTTAAGTTTTAGTACACATTAAAGTCAGATGTAATTTTAGTCAAATTTGTGTGACAAGCTGTAATTTGGTATTAAAGAAAATAAGCATTTGAATCAAATAATGAGGTCAAAGCCTGGCAAACATAATCCTCTGTTAAGCCTGTAGACATGCATGACAGGTTAATATAATCTGTATGAGATGATTAGGAAAATCAGTAATGATGATTCCGTCTTTGACTTTCAACAGTAATTTCTTAATTCAGCCTTGCAAACAAATTGGAAAAATATAGGCCTTTGTCTTTTATTTTTAGTGGTTTGTTGATTTTTTTTTTTTTAAAGCTATTCACAGATTTTGGAGCAGACTCAAATTTAGTTGAGTTGTAAATAACGTCATATGTTGCGGCTTTTAGTATTTAGTCTAAGAGATTACTGGACAAGCATAAGTTTCTTAGCCATATATACATATATTCCATATAGATAAAATTAAAAATAATTTCAGTCTCATCCTTTTTTTCCTCCAATTACATCTCTTAGGGCCAAAACAATTAAGAACACAGTTTGTGTCAATGTGGAGTTAACTGCAGAACAGTGGAAAAAGAAGTATGAAAAAGAAAAAGAAAAAAATAAGATCCTGCGGAACACTATTCAGTGGCTTGAAAATGAGCTCAACAGATGGCGTAATGGTAATAACTTAAGAATTTGTCATCTTCAGTTTGTTAAATACAGATTTAGAGCATAGAAACGTAGAAATAGTTCAGCAAAATCAGTAAGTGACTAGATCAAGAAATTTAATAGACATCGAAATAATTTTTAAAAAAATTAATAGAAATCCTGGAGCTGAAAAATAAAATGAGCAAAATGCAAGAGACCATCAGTAGTAGAATTAATTAAGCAGAAGAATCTGAACTTGAAGACAGATTATTTGAAAATAACACAGAGAAGAAAAAGTTTGAAAGAACGAGGCTGGGTGCACTGGCTCATGCCTGTAATCCTAGCACTTTGGGAGGCCAAGGTGGGCAGATCACTTGAGGTCAGGAGTTAGAGACCAGCCTGGCCAACATGTTGAAACCCCATCTCTACTGAAAACACCAAAATTAGCCTGGCATGGTGCTGAGCGCCTGTAATCCCAGCTAATCAGGAGTCTTGAGGCAGTAGAATTGCTTGAACCCTGGAGGCAGAGGTTGCAGTGAGCCTAGATTGCACCACTGCACTCCAGCCAGGGTGACAGATTGAGACTCTGTCTCAAAAAAAAAAAAAAAAATTTTTAAAGGAATGAAATTGAAATTAGCTTTAGACGTCGTTTTTTTATTAACCACTTTATTTTCTTATTTTAGGGGAGACGGTGCCTATTGATGAACAGTTTGACAAAGAGAAAGCCAACTTGGAAGCTTTCACAGTGGATAAAGATATTACTCTTACCAATGATAAACCAGCAACCGCAATTGGAGTTATAGGAAATTTTACTGATGCTGAAAGAAGAAAGTGTGAAGAAGAAATTGCTAAATTATACAAACAGCTTGATGACAAGGTAGGTATTGCTTGATTTAGGTCTGCTTTATATTAGGATACTATTGACATGGGTGTTTTTATTTTCTAACTTTTCTCATTTCAGTGCTGTGGGCACTTAGGATCTTTATGCATCTTCCTTGATTTCTGTTAATCTTGTAAAAATTATTGTATTAACAAAATAAAAAGTCATAATTTCAATTTCTGTGTGGAAACTGTATGAGCATGTATCTTTTCTTCCCCCTCTTTTTAAGCTAAAAGAACTTTATAAGGCAGCAGTCCCCAACCTTTTTGGCACCAGGGACTGGTTTCAGGGAAGACAGTTTTTCCGTGGATCAGGTCGGGGAGATGGTTTTGGGATGAAACTTCCACCTTGGATTATCAGGCATTAGATTCTCATAAGGATCCTCTAACCTAGATCTCTTGCATGCACAGCTGATAATAGAGTTCGCGCTCTTAATGATATTCTAATGCTGCTGATCTGGCAGAAGGCGGAGCTCAAGTGGTAATGCTTGCTGCTCACCTCCTGCTGTGCTTCTTGGTTCCTAACAGGCTTCCAGTACTGCTTTGTGGCCTGGGGGCTTGGGGACCCCTGTTCTAATGAAAATTTGGCATTGGGTCATTGGGAGCCTCAATGATACCAATTGTTAGAATCAGGGCTCTGAAGACTCCAATAAAAGATGATGTGAGAGATTAAGGGAAACACAATAGAGTGGAAATAATATCTTCCTGCTTTGCATATAGAAGTAATGTCAATAGTATGAATAATAGCAAACTAAGAACGTAATAGAATGGAAGGCAAGAACAAGAGTAGTAAAGAGATTAGAAGAAAATATTTTCTTAAGTTGATATTTTTAATATATTTTAAGCAGAGATGGCAGGTTCGAAGTACATGACCATTATAAGTATTGATAATTGAAAGAAATTCCTTTTGTTTTGCCATTTTCTTAAAAGAGATTAAAATAAGCAATGTTGAATTTAGAGAAATGGTTTTGAAATATTTCTGGGGAGTAGTAATCTTATAACCTGTATTGGGAAACAACTAGAACCAGGTTGTTAGCTACTGGTTAACCGGATACTTCACAATTCTAGGATGAAGAAATTAACCAGCAAAGTCAACTGGTAGAGAAACTGAAGACGCAAATGTTGGATCAGGAGGAGGTGAGTTGAATACCTTTTACATTGCTTCCAGAAAAGCTTTATAGTTTTGTTTTCTGAATCCCATTGACTTTGTCTTTAATAGTTGTATAATTTTGGGTATGACTGTCTTTGTGGGAATAAGAATGTCACATGGATAAAGTGAATTTTTACTTATTCATCGTATCTACCCAGATACAATCTGTTGTTCATTTCCGCCATCTTTTTTTTCACCCTGGTTCTTGACATTTCTCTTCTTGTCACTTACTTTGGATCCTCATTTTATCTTCTCACCCAGCAGAGCAGGGGGATAATTGAAAAGCAGTCCTTTAAATTTTTTTGTGGGGGTGGTGGGCAGGGTGAAGACAAAGACTGCTTCGGTAAGAAAGAGATACTCTCCATCAGTGAACTTAATCCTGGTCAGATCATCTTTCAACTATAGCATTTCATATTTCAACTATAGCATTATTCCTCAAAGGGGCACTATTGATATTTTGCATTGGATAATTTATGTTATTCTGTCCTTTGTATTATAGGACATTAAACATTCCTGGTCCCTACTCCTAAATGCCATTAGCATTCTACCCTATTATTAACACTCCCACAGATTTCCGGATATCCCTACAGGAGAGCCACTAATGTGGATGATTGTGGTTTTCTCCTAACTAGTCTCTTGGCATCCCTGCAGTTCAGATTTTATGTGCTGATACCAGGTTTTGTTTTTGTTTTTGAGGCGAAGTCTTGCTCTTGTTCCCCAGGCTGGAGTGCAGCGGCGTGATCTTGGCTCACTGCAACCTCCACCTCCCAGGTTCAAGCGACTCTTCTGCCTCAGCCTCCCGAGTAGCTGGGATTACAGGCGCCCGCCACCACGCCTGGCTAATTTTTTGGTATTTTTAGTAGAGACGGGATTTCACCATGTTGGTCAGGCTGGTCTCAAACTCCTGACCTTGTGATCCGCCCGCCTCGGCCTCCCAAAATGCTGGGATTACAGGCGTGAGCCACCCCGCCTGGCCCAAATCTAAATTTTTAAGCAACTCTTGTAGAATGCCATTTTCCTTTATTACATTAATTTGCATGTGACTGCAGTCGATCTCTCCTAGCCAACTTCTCCATGAATGAATACTCTTTCCTGTATTACTAAGCACTTTATCTGTCCTGTCCCTCTCTTATGGTTCTGACCTTCTATCTTGTACTGCACTTATTCATGTGCCTATCTTCTCTTCTACTGTGTTCCTTAAACACAGTCTTTGATTTTCTTTCTGCCTTGCAGCATCCAGCACAGTGCCTGCACATAGTTGACATTTAGTAAATCTGTTTAATGAATAAATGTTGCCACACTGAATACCATCCATATTTCACTCCATTTGTTCTTGACAAATGGTGAAGCTTCATGGGTGTTTTTTAAAACCTGTATACTTTTGGGGAAAATAAATTATTTTCTGTCCTATAGCTTTTGGCATCTACCAGAAGGGATCAAGACAATATGCAAGCTGAGCTGAATCGCCTTCAAGCAGAAAATGATGCCTCTAAAGAAGAAGTGAAAGAAGTTTTACAGGCCCTAGAAGAACTTGCTGTCAATTATGATCAGAAGTCTCAGGAAGTTGAAGACAAAACTAAGGAATATGAATTGCTTAGTGATGAATTGAATCAGAAATCGGTAGGATATAGTTTTATTTTCTTTTTTAATGCTTTAGTACAAGTATTCTTAACCTAAAAACTACTTAAATAACTTACTTTTCTATGTAAGTCAAATATCGATAACATCAATTTTCAAGGACTCGGGTTTCAACTTCATTTCTTTCTGTATATGAAGCCTTAGAGGTGGAGGAAGACAGTTATTTTAGTTCCTAAAGGTCTGTTAATATCTAATTTAAATGCTGTTTTAGAGGATGTTTGCTACTCCTAATTTTAATTTTTTTAATTTAGTATATAGCATGTAGAATCTAATGTTACTACTAATGTTAAAGGAAAAATAATTTAAAGCTGCTAGTTGCCCAATAAAGCTATTAGATGATTGTTCAAACAATAAATTAAATATGCAGTACAAATTAAAATGCTATTTAATCAACTGTGAATTATTTGGAATAGATGTAAGGATATGTAACTTAACATAATTTATGTTTTACTTACTGTTACATTTCCACTACGTGGAACAGTGCCTTTTTAGCACAGTGTAGTGGTTCCCAATAGATGGAGATTTTTTTTTTTTTTTTTGAGACAAAGTTTCACTCTGGTTGCCCAGGCTGGAGTGCAATGGCGCAATCTTGGCTCACTGCATCCTCTGCCTCCTGGGTTCAATGATTCTCCTGCCTCAGTCTCCCGAGTAGCTGGGATTACAGGCGCCCGCCACCACGCCCGGCTCATTTTGTATTTTTAGTAGCAACAGGGTTTCACCATGTTGGCCAGGCTGGTCTCGAGCTCCTGACCTCAGGTGATCCACCCACCTCAGCCTCCCAAAGTGCTGGGATTACAGGCGTGAGCCACCGTGCCTGGCGACTAGATGGAGATTTTTACTTGCTGAAAATTGATACAGGACAGACATCGCCAACCTCCAACAATGATGACAGAAATAATACATAGCTATGAATGTTTCAACATCATCATGGAGGAGCTATTTTGTGGTTTTGTTGTGGTTAATGCTAGCTTCTTGTTTAGAAATCAGCATCTAGAGTTGCACTCAGGACCCATGTCCACCACTTATTTCCCTGCTCACATTAACTTGTCTAAAAGAAAGCAGTCAACAGTACAAAATAATGCTTTTAAAAGGTTTCCTGCCCCTATGAGTTCCTTTTCTCTTTTTAATCTACAAAGTTACAGTTAGCTTGAAGTTAACATTCAGTACTGTACAGATCTAAGACACCATTATAACTAACTCTTACTGAGTTGCATTATTAACAAAGCTAATTGTTGTATGAAAGAATAACAGGAGTTTTTTACAACTCTGAAAGGTGGTCCTTGGCCGCTGATTTTAGTCTTTAAGACAGTTATATTTATGTTTCACTTGTGGAGCTGAAATCTATCAGCATTACATTGATAATAGGAGTTAGAAATCCCTAGTGTTTAGCATCTGTTTATATGCTTAGACAGTGTTGCTGTTCAGTTAGAGAGTGTCTGGTAATTTAAACAATTATGGTAGAAGCATGCTATATTATGAGACTTGAAGATAATTGGTATCATATTGTAGATTAACCTGGGTGGATACATACTCTACTGATACTCAGAAACTTAAGGAAATGACGAACTACCATAAGAAATAAGCAGTTGGAATGATGGCATCTTTACTAAAAGATACTGATGAAAAGTCAATAAATGGCATTACAAATACAGTATAGTACAGGCATTACAAATACAGAAGCCCCAAGCGTTTCAGATTTTGGAATGTTTGCATTATACTTACCAGTTGAGCATTTCTAATTGGCAAGTCCAAAATGCTTCAGTGAGCATTTTCTTTGAGCATCATGCAAGCACTCAAAAAGTCCCAGATTTTCGAGCACTTCGGAGTGGGGATGCTCACCTTGTATCTGTTCTGCCATATGAGTTATTTTAAAGTGGGCACCAAACTGGGTTGGACTTTTCAAAATTTGGTGATTTTGTAGCTGTTAAGCCAGCTATGATTTGAGATTTATAATGATAGTCATTAAACTCAGATAATATTACTTTAACACTAGCTCCTGGATAATTGCCTGTATCATAGTATTATCACATGGATTCTTTCCAGTGAGTAAGTATATAGAAAGTAGATGAAGAAAGCATACTAACCATCTAGAAAAGAGTGTCATTGTAACGTTAATTTGCTGACTCACTTTCTAAAGATAAGACATAATATAGTAATAAGTGATAATCAAATCTAGTTAAATTTGAGGCTTCCCATTTTTAGACAGAAAATATTATTCAATCCCAGGAATTTAGTGAAATAACAGAAACTGCCTGCTCTTAATTGAAAACAATGTGGCTACTTTTACCATAGCCTATTAGGTCTAAAATATATTTTAAGTTTGAGCTGGGAGCCCAGAACCTGGTAGATAGTTCAAGAAAAATGAAAGCAGAAAAGACATGGTTTCGTAAGGGCTTGGTGTAAAACTTGAAACACCGATGAGTATTTGATTTGAATTTTCATGTAGTAGATTTAACTATACTTTTTGTTTTGGGTTCTCTTAGGCAACTTTAGCGAGTATAGATGCTGAGCTTCAGAAACTTAAGGAAATGACCAACCACCAGAAAAAACGAGCAGCTGAGATGATGGCATCTTTACTAAAAGACCTTGCAGAAATAGGAATTGCTGTGGGAAATAATGATGTAAAGGTAAATATAATAACTAAGTATTAAGGACAATTATCTGTATACACTGGCACTTTTGTTTACTACTAATAGTTTGTAAAGTTCTTTTCGTATTCATGATCTCATCCTCACAAACAGTCGTGTAGTAGATGTTATTAACCGCATTTTAAATAGATCAGGAGAGAGCAAGAGAATAAGGGCACCCAAATAGGTAAATTCAGTAGGCGGCATTTATTGGACCTCATGTTTGATTCTTTACTATAACATTTTCCCCAACCTGGGCAATGTGGCGAAACCCTGTCTCTACAAAAAATACAAAAATGAGCCTGGCATGGTGGCGTGTGCCTGTAGTCCCAGCTACTGGGGTGGGAGGATTGCTTGAGCCTGGGAGGTCAAGGCTGCAGTGAGCTGCAATCGTGCAACTGCACTCCAGCCTGCACAACAGATCAAGATGCTGTCTCCAGAAAAAAAAAAAATTCGTGCTTAAAAATTACGTTAATAAATTTCCATAAGTGAAATGATTGGAACAACAATTAAGATTAGTTCACGGACCAGACATAGTGGCTCAAGCCTGTAATCCCAGCACTTTGGGAGGCCAAGGCAGGAGGATCACTTGAGCCCAGGAGTTCGAGACCAGCCTGGGCAACGTGGCAAGACCTTGTCCCTACAAAAAATTTAAAAATTAGCCTAGCATGTAGGCATGGTGATACATGCCTGTAGTCCCAGCTATTTTAAGAGACTGAGGCAGGAGGTTAAAGATGCTGTGAACCATGTTTGTGCCATGGCACTCCAGCCTGAGCAACAGTGAGACCCTATCTGGAAAAAAAAAAAAAAAAAAGATTAGCTCAGGGAATAAATTTATAATGAATGGGCTTGTGGTTGCTTTAAATATTTAAAGAAAAGTTAAAGATGAGCACTGCTTTCTTAATTCTTTTTTATTTTAGTGTGAAAAATTTCAAACATATAATAGTAGAGAGAATAATACAATGAACTCTAGAGTTTTCAGTTTTCAAAATATGTCCATATTTTCTTTATACCTCTTTGTCCTAATCTTTTTAAAGATACTAATATTGGTTGTTAGCATTAGGCATTTGACTTGGTGGTAGATTTAAAAACTAAGACCAAAGAACCAAACTAAGACTCTTAACTGAAAAACCATGCATATAACATGAAAGATTTGTATGTTGCAGTAGCTGTTTAGACTTTACCTTTTTGATTAAAGCCTAATTACAATACAAAGAGAGCATATACACTTGGGTTTATATTGAGAGCCTACTAAAAAGCCCAGTCTGTTAACCAGAGTTGGAACTGACGTAAAAGTTTTCAATATGGAGTACACATTTCCATCTTTTGTATTGTTTAATGTTGCTGTTTGCTGTTAACTGATTCTTCAGTTTAAAAATGAAGAAAAAATATTTTTAAAAAATACAAAAAGAATAAAAGATAAAATCAACAAAATAAAAGTTACTGTTTGTTGATGGAGGCAAGGATTCTCATGACTCTTCTCTTCATATGTTATTTCTTCAGTGGACTCACTATGGGGCCACTTGACTTGCTTTCCCTTCACCATCAGTCTGAACATTTCGGCCCTATTCTGTTTATGGTGAAGTAATGTGAGATGTAGAGAAATCTCTAGGATGGAAAAGTACATTTATTTCATATCGCAGAACACCAGAGAGATGTTGTTCAAGATTTGCTTTGTAGATTTGCAACTTTTTAGACAAATCTTATATTTTATGTTCAAATAATTATGATTTAAGTTAAAAAGTGTAAAGAGAGAGTGGAAATGGTTTATGTTTAGTGGCAGAGGGATGAAATCCAGGTTCCATGACTACTAGATTTTTTTTTCCACTATACCATAGCAGTTTGAAAATAAGTCGTCTTTGCAAATAGTTATTCTAATTAAAAAAAAAAAAGGATCCTCAGTATTTTTGTCATTAACAAGTAATTCTTTTCCTCTCATCATATATAAGCTCTGTTAGAGCGTTACTTTTTTTTTTTTTTTTTTTTTTTTGAGACGGAATCTCACTGTGTCTCCCAGGCTGGAGTGCAGTAGTGCGATCTTGGCTCACTGCAAGCTCCGCCTCCCGGGTTCATGCCATTCTCCCACCTCGGCCTCCCGAGTAGCTAGGATTACAGGCGTGTGCCACCACGCCTGGATAATTTTGTTTTTGTATTTTTAGTAGAGATGGAGTTTCACCGTGTTAGCCAGGATGGTCTTGATCTCCTGACCTCTTTATCTGCCCACCTCGGCCTCCCAGAGTGCTGGGATTACAGGCATGAGCCACTGCGCCCGGCCTGTTGTTGTTCTTAAGTTACAGTTTACAGTTTTATGTTACAGTTTACAATGATTGTTGTACTCATTGTATTCTATAGTTGTGTGGATTTTAAGGAGTGCATAATATTATAGGTCCGGTATTTAGAATAGTTCCCACACCACCCTAACAAATTCCCAGTGTTTTTGCTATTCACCTCTACTTCTTGAACTTCTGGCAACCACTGATGTTTTTACTATCTTTATAGTATTGCTGTTTCCAAAATGTTATATAGTTGGAATCATACAGTATGTATATGTAGCCCTTTCAGCTAGTTTCTTTCACTTACCAGTATGCATTTAAGATTCTTCCATGGCTTTTCATGGCTTGATCATTTTTTTAAATTACTAAATTATATTCCATGATATGAATGTACCATGGTTTGTTTATCCATTCACCTATGTGGTTACTTTGAGGTTTTGGCAATTAATGAACAAAGCTGCTATAAACATTCATGTGTAGGCTGAGCATGGTGGCTCATGCCTGTAATCCCAGCACTTCGGGAGGCCGAGGCGGGCAGATCACTTGAGGCTAGGAGTTTGAGACCAGCCTGGCCAAAGTGGTGAAGTCCCATCTCTACAAAAAATAAAAAAACTAGCCAGGCATAGTGGTGCACGCCTATAGTCCCAGCTATTTGGGAGGCTAAGGCACGAGAATTGCTTGAGCCCAGGAAGTGGAGGTTGCAGTGAGCCAAGATGGTACCACTGCACTCCTTCCTAGGTGACAGAGTGAGACTCTGTCTCCAAAAAAAATAATAATAATTCATGTGTAAGTTATTCTTTGGACATAAATTTTCAGTTCAGTTGAGTAAAAATACCTAGAAGTGCTAGGTTGTACGTTATGACTATGTTAGCTTTGTAAGGAACTCCCAAATGGTCTTCCAAAGTGGTGGAAACATTTTGCATTCCTATCAGCCATGAATGAGAGTCTGCTGTTCCACATCATTGCCAGTGTTTGCTCTTGTCAGTTTCTTGGGATTTTACTAATGTATGGTGTTATTTTATTGTCATTTTAATTTGCAGTTGTGTTTTTTCTTATTGTTGAGGTTTTCTTTTTCTTTGAGACGGAGTCTCGCTCTGTCACCCAGGCTGGAGTGCAGTGGCGTGATTTTGGCCCACCATAACCTCCGCCTCCTGGGTTCAAGTGATTCTTCTGCCTCAGCCTGCCAAATAGCTGGGAACACAGGCGCGTACCACCACGCCTGGTTAATTTTTATATTTTTAGTAGAGATGGGATTTCACCATATTGTCCAGGCTGGTTTCGAACTCCTGACTACAGGTGGTCCGCCTGCCTCAGCCTCCCAAAGTGCTGGTACTACAGGCATGAGCCACTGCGCCTGGCCCTGTTGTTGAGTTTTGTTTTGTTTTATTTTGAGATGGAGTCTCGCTCTGTCGCCTAGGTTGGAGTGCAGTGGCATGATCTCGGCTCACTGCAAGCTCCTCTTCCTGGGTTCAAGCAATTCTTCTGCCTCAGCCTCCCGAGTAGCTGGGACTACAGGCTCCCACTACCACACCTGGCTAATTTTTTGTATTTTTAGTAGCAACTGGGTTTCGCCATATTGGCCAGGCTGGTCTTGAACTCCTGACCTCAGGTGATCTGCCCGCGTCAGCCTCCCAAATTGCTGGGATTACAGGCGTGAGCCACCGTACCTGGCCTCCTATTGTTGAGTTTTAAGAGTTCTTCGGCCGGGCGCGGTGGCTCACGCCTGTAATCCCAGCACTTTGGGAGGCCGAGGCGGGCGGATCACGAGGTCAGGAGATCAAGACCATCCTGGCTAAAACGGTGAAACCCCGTCTCTACTAAAAATACAAAAAATTAGCCGGGCGTAGTGGCGGGCGCCTGTAGTCCCAGCTACTTGGGAGGCTGAGGCAGGAGAATGGCGTGAACCCGGGAGGCGGAGCTTGCAGTGAGCCGAGATCCCGCCACTGCACTCCAGCCTGGGCGACAGAGCGAGACTCCGTCTCAAAAAAAAAAAAAAAAAAAAAAAAAAGAGTTCTTCATATGTTTTGGATATAAGTCTTTTATCAGATAGTGTTTTGCATTATTTCTCTGTGTCTTGTTTTTTTTTTTTTGTTTTTTTTTTTTACTCTCAACGTCATTTTTTGAGACTAAAAATTTTTAATTTTAATGAGGTCCAACTTACCAAGTTTTACATTAATAGATTGTGTTTTTGGTATTGTATTTAAAAACTTGTCACCAAACCCAATATCACCTAGATTTTCTCCTGTGTTAAAAGTTTTTTTTTCAGTTTTGCATTTACATTTAGATCTATGATCCATTTGGAGTTAATTTTTCTGAAAGGGGTAAGGTGTGTACCAGGATTCATTGTTTCACATCTGGATGTCCAGTTGAAGAGACTGTCCTCCCTCCATTAAATTGCCTTTGCACCTTTGTCAGAGATCAGTTGACTGTATTTTGTGGTTTTATTCCTGGGCTCTTTATTCTGTTCTGTTAACCTGTTTATCTGTTCTTTGCCAGCACTGTACTGTTTTGATTATTATAGCTTTACAGTAAGTTGCATAGTGTCAAGTCCTGTGACTTTGTTTGTCCTTAGTGTTGTGCTAGCTATTCAGGGTCTTTTGACTTTACATGTAAACTTAATCATGTCATCTGCACAGTTTTATTTCTTCCTGAAGGTGAAGGAATATACAGTGACCACAATTCCTTCTGGTTGAGCTTAAAGTTCATCCTTTCCCTGCCACCTAAACATCCTCTTGTTAAATTTTAAGCTGAACGTGCACATGATTAACAATGAATTTACTGAAGAGGTCCTGTAAAGAGGAAGTGAAAAAATTGAAAGAGGCAGAATTTATTAGTTTGGTTGTATTTTTGTGTTTTCTTTAGGTTTACATTTATTTATTTTTCTTGTTGGCATGTATTAACATTATTCTCAGTTTTTAAAAAAAGGAAGGCAAAAAGTAAGCTGTATTTATTTACCTTTCGTTGAAAACAGTAATAAAAGAAAAAAATAAGATCCAGACTTTGTATGAATATTGAGTAATACTAAAATATATTTTATAAAAAGATTTTATAGCCTAATTGGGAAAACACACATTGAACATTTTTGGCTTTAATTTTTTATTTTACTTTTTCCTTACAGCAGCCTGAGGGAACTGGCATGATAGATGAAGAGTTCACTGTTGCAAGACTCTACATTAGCAAAATGAAGTCAGAAGTAAAAACCATGGTGAAACGTTGCAAGCAGTTAGAAAGCACACAAACTGAGAGCAACAAAAAAATGGAAGAAAATGAAAAGGAGTTAGCAGCATGTCAGCTTCGTATCTCTCAAGTATGTTATAGAACAAAGTTTATTCATTTTTTTGAAACAGCCACATAGAAATTTTATTTATTATACAAGTTTTCAGAAAAATGTGTGTCTATAGGTGAAATTTAGTTGTTTTTTTCCTAGTCTAGCTGCAGTAAATTTGAATGATTTAACTGAGTTATATTTGCCTAACATAAATATGGGTTATGTATAGAAATTTACCAGAATGATGTGACTGGTGGTAACTTGTTAAAGACTTCAGAATTCCAGGGTGGGCAAAACTGCAGGGAACCAGTTTCCTGGCTTGGCAACTGAATGAATGGGGCCATTCACCACTATCAGAATTTCACAAGGAGGGAAGATGGTAACGTTAGATGGTGGTATCTGTAAAATTAGTATTTCATATTTGAGTCTTCAGTGCCTTAGTTTGCAAGTTATGATCACCAATGAATTAATTGATTACATTCTTTAACATTTCAAAATTGGCTCCTGAATATTTTAGTTTTAAATATTCCCAAATTTATCATATATAGATAATGAAATGTTTACTGTCAAATATTCTTAAAGTGTATGCATATGTTTTCCACTTCATATCAGTATATTTTTTCCAAAAGCATGAAGCCAAAATCAAGTCATTGACTGAATACCTTCAAAATGTGGAACAAAAGAAAAGACAGTTGGAGGAATCTGTCGATGCCCTCAGTGAAGAACTAGTCCAGCTTCGAGCACAAGGTATAGCTTCCAACTGTTTATGAGTTACATCTGTGTTCTTATTTTAGTATAATTGTAGTAAACTTAATATTCACACTGAAAGAAATAGTAGGAATATGGCTGATTTCGAATGGTAAACAAATCATACATATTAATGTTGCTTTGAAACATTTTTTTGTTGTTGTTTTGAGACGGCGTCTTCACTCTGTTGCCCAGGCTGGAGTGCAGTGGCACTATCTTGACTCACTGCAACCTCCACCTCCTGGGTTCCAGTGATTCTCCTGCTGCAGCCTCCCTAGTAGCTAGGACCACAGGCACATGCCCCCACGCCTGGCTAATTTTTTACCTTTTTTGTAGAGACAGGGCTTCACCGTGTTACGCAGGATGGTCTTGATCTCCTGACCTCGTGATCTGCCTGCCTTGGCCTCCCAAAGTGCTGGGATTACAGGCATGAGCCACTGTGCCTGTCAAAACATATATATATATATTTTTAAGATTTTGTTTGAATATGGAAATAGCCAATCTGGGGATTTCCCACAGTTACGAAGCGGGGTGTGTGTGTGTGTGTGTCTTAACATAGGGGACTTAGGAGTTATCTCATTTCTTTACCATTCCCTTAACTAATCTGTTCTGGATTAGGCCAAAAAAAAAAAAACCAAACAAACCATAAAGGAATACATAATACCAACACAATGGATGTAACTTGTATACTAGTCTACATGTCATTGAACTTGGAGAGCAGGTGACATTTGGGTAATTTGAAGTTGAATATTGCTAAGGAAAATGCTTATTGTAAAATCCATTTGCTCCTTGGTTTATATGAGGAACCTTAAAGGCTTATTTCACTCTTCTATTTTCTCTCTATTCAAACAGAGAAAGTCCATGAAATGGAAAAGGAGCACTTAAATAAGGTTCAGACTGCAAATGAAGTTAAGGCAAGTTTGATGTCACATTTCTAACAGCTTTAATTAATCAGTATTAATTTTGATTAGTCTGACTTTAACATCCTTTTCCCCCCCAAAATTTTAGCAAGCTGTTGAACAGCAGATCCAGAGCCATAGAGAAACTCATCAAAAACAGATCAGTAGTTTGAGAGATGAAGTAGAAGCAAAAGCAAAACTTATTACTGATCTTCAAGAGTAAGTATTATACTTCTCTAGTTAGGAGGAAAGAATCGGTTACTGATGGTCATGGTATATATTCTTATTAGAAACCTGCAGTTTTCATCAAAATTACATTTTTATCTTGGAAAATAAAGAATTTTCTCATTTATGAGTAAAACTTCTAAATTCCAGGTGAAATTTTTGAGGCTTTTTTTTAGGTCTTTTGATCTAAATTATTCAGTAAAAGAAAAAAATCCCCAACCTAAGTCTATTATTGCATACCACAGTCTTCTCCAAATCCTTTATTTAGTTTCCTTTTTTAAAAAAATTCTTGGCTGGGTGCAGTGGCTGATGGCCTGTGACCCCAGTGCTTTGGGAGGCTGGGGTGGGAGGATCACTAGAAGTCAGGAGTTCAAGACCAGCTGGGCAACATAGTGAGACTCCATCTCTACAAAAAATAATTTTTTAAATTAGCTGAGCTTGGTGGCACATGCCTGTAGTCCCAGTGACCCAGGAGGCTGTGGCACGAGGATTGCTTGAGTATTGGAATCTGAGGCTGAAGTGAGCTATGATTGTACTACAGCCTGGGTGACAGAGCGAGACCCTGACTCAAAATTCTTAACTGGGAAAAACTTTTCTGGAAATTCTATGGATTTTCAAAGGTTTTTTTTTTTTTAAGTTGTCATCTTAGTTTATCTAGAAGCAATTTCCCTGCCTCCATAACCATGTGCACATACATAGAGTTTATGGAAGTCAGAGTTTGCAACAATTTGAGTAGGAACCAAGAAGAGAATAACATAACAAAATAATGATGAGGTTTGGGGCGTAGGTCTTACTATGAATACCTGATGGAAGTAGGCATAAGGATTCAGGAAGATGAAAGACAGAGGAGAACAGAATCATGATTTCAAACCAAAATACGAAAAATTTTGTATGTCCACAAGTAGCCAGGTCCCTTTCCTCTTTTCCTCCATAGGGTATAGGATAACAGAAAAGTCCTTGATGAGATTATAGAATTTAAAAGTTTGGAAATTTTAATGATGACATTGAGAAAACTGTGATATTGATACTGTGTTAATTATTTTTTTCTTTCGTCAGCCAAAACCAGAAAATGATGTTAGAGCAGGAACGTCTAAGAGTAGAACATGAGAAGTTGAAAGCCACAGATCAGGAAAAGAGCAGAAAACTACATGAACTTACGTGAGTAATTGTTTTTAATTAAAGTTTAAAAATAAAAGCTAAATTAGAGGATTATAGGCATTACCTTTGGATATAGCCAGTGGATACATATTTTACTTTGTATGGGCTAAAGGATTTTTTCTTAAATCCACTGAGTTGGTTTGATTTATATCTAAATACTTGGAATATATACTTGCATTTGAGTGAAAGCAAGGTCTTATATTTCATTGTGGTTAAGATTAAGGTTTCTCTTTATTAATCTGCTTGCTGTTTCTTTATCTCCATATTACTTCAGGATCCAGCATAAAAATGAACCTAAAACAATATATTAAGTAACTTCGAAGATTTTAAGATCTAACACAAAAACTGAGTTTTTGTTAAATTTTCTCTTGCATAAAAGAGCATTGTGGTGTTTAGCCTTGCCATTTTGAACAGAGGTTTTCATGGTTTACCTTTTCTCATTTTCTCAAAACTCAGTTTTCTAGAATCTTAGCAGGTAGAAAGTGCATGATTATAATTTTTCACATACCTTGAGTTTGTGAGACAATTTGCAAATCAACTGATATTGTTAGGATAGTTAGAACATCAGGACCAGTTCAGAGTGGATTATATGAAGATTCTGCTAACTTGCAGCTGTAATTTTGTTTAGAATACTTGTAATGTAAAATATTTTAGTCTTTGACAGTTTATAATCTATAATTAATCAGTATCATTTTGGATAAATAGCAGTATAATACATGTGGCATATTTTAAAATATAAATTATAGAACTATTCCTTATTCTTTGAATTCTGCCACATTTTATTTCATCTCTTCCATTGCTATATATGGAATGTATAACAATAGACTGTTGTTTAGAAGGCATATGAAAATTTTTTGAAATTGCAAAGCTGCAGTGGCTCACACCCATAATCTCAGCACTTTGGGAGGCCAGGGCAGGAGAATCAGTTGAGCCCAGTGTTTGAGAATCAGCCTAGGCAATATAGTGAGACCCCGTCTCTACAAAAATTTTTTTAGACAGGGCTGATTGTACATGCCTGTAGTCCCAGCTATTTGGGAGACGAGGTGAGGAGGATCACTTGAGCCCAGGAGGTTGAGGTTGCAGTGAGCAGTGTTTGGGACAGAAACTCTGTGTCAAAAAAAAAAAAATTTTTTTTTTGAAAGACAGCACAGGTAAATTGTTTAAAATAGGCATCTTGTATTTATTTAAATTTAAGAATTTATCCTTTCAGACACAAAATATTTTATTCAACTCTCATGCTAAGTACAATATACAGAATAAAATTTGAAAATATATGTTTGTTCTTCTACTGTTAGGGTTATGCAAGATAGACGAGAACAAGCAAGACAAGACTTGAAGGGTTTGGAAGAGACAGTGGTAAGAAAAACATGAAAATAAACAGGATTGGGAAATATTTTGTGGGTTTTTTCTACCATGATTATTCTAAATTTAAAGTCTGAGCTCCAAAAATATCGCTGTTCTTAATCCAAGGCAAAAGAACTTCAGACTTTACACAACCTGCGCAAACTCTTTGTTCAGGACCTGGCTACAAGAGTTAAAAAGGTAATGTAACTATGCCGAGGTAGGCGTTTGCATAAATGGTGCTTACTTCTAGGTAATTATTTGTATTCAAAGTGAAATAACTTTACAGTCACGTCAATTTTTGTATAGTTAAGCTTAGTTTTTTTTAATTTTTTTGTAATACTTACCTTCTTTTCTCAGAGTGCTGAGATTGATTCTGATGACACCGGAGGCAGCGCTGCTCAGAAGCAAAAAATCTCCTTTCTTGAAAATAATCTTGAACAGCTCACTAAAGTGCACAAACAGGTACTAAAGAGTATATTTTCTGGTAGCTGCAAGATAGTAAAAATCAAAAATTGAGGATTGGCAAGTGAGTATTTCAATCTTTCAGAGTCCTCAGGAATTTTTATACCCTGAGCCATTTTATCAGAAATTATATAAAGAAACCATAAGTAACTTTTAGAGGAGTTAATATTTTTAACAACGTTATTATCAAAAGAGGCAGTGAAAACATGTATTCTCATTTTCCCTTTAGGATTTTAAGACTGTGCATTTTCATAATTTATTCATGGTAATTTTGAAATCTCTACTACACAAGACTGCAGTTAAAGTACTGCAAAGTCTTTTGGGGAGAGTGGTCTTTTTATACCTAATACCCCAGTGTGTCAGACATAATGACGCAGTTTTCATTTAACCAGATTAGTTGTCTTACTGAAGAAACATAGCACTATCTTGTAATGTATTGTCTTTGCCTAGTAGAGGGAAAGAACAATTCTCCCCCTAAAAAATTAAAGGAAATTATACCTTTGTGAATAAACTAGATGTGTGCACGCTATGTATAGATGGATGTATTCCTTGCGTGTTTCTGCCTAAATTAGATAAATGGGAAACAATATAAAATGCAGTTTTACTTTTCTAAAGAGCAATTATGAAATGCTCATACTTTTTCAAGTCATCCTGTTAAATCTGGAATCCTTGTTTTCTTTGTGTACGTTTAGTTGGTACGTGATAATGCAGATCTCCGCTGTGAACTTCCTAAGTTGGAAAAGCGACTTCGAGCTACAGCTGAGAGAGTGAAAGCTTTGGAATCAGCACTGAAAGAAGCTAAAGAAAATGCATCTCGTGATCGCAAACGCTATCAGCAAGAAGTAGATCGCATAAAGGAAGCAGTCAGGTCAAAGAATATGGCCAGAAGAGGGCATTCTGCACAGATTGGTTAGTAGAACACATTAAAACCTTTAAACCTTGCTCAATTTGAATGCTTTCATTTAGTGGAAAACGTAATCCGAATTTTATGTGTTGTCATGGTGCATCTGTCTCTATTTTCTAACTTAGCAGAGTGGCACTGTTGGGAAAGAGGAATAATCACATTAGCAGAAAAAGAAGATAAATGAGAACTAGAGAAGCAAGCAAGAATGGTCATGGAATGGAGAAACTATATAGAGCAATATTATTAAAGCCAAGAGAATTGCAAGAAAATAAGCCATCAGCAATGATTTAACGTTTAAGAATAATCATTGGTGGCTGGGCGCAGCGGCTCACGCCTGTAATCCCAACACTTTGGGAGGTCGAGGCGGGTGGATCACCTGAGGTCAGAAGTTCGAGACCAGCCTAACATGGTGAAACCCTGTCTCTACTAAATAAAAAAAATTAGCCAGGCATGGTGGTGAACGCCTGTAACCCAGCAACTTGGGAGGCTGAGGCAGGAGAATCGCTGGAACCTGGGAAGTGGAGATTGCAATGAGCCGAGATTGCAATGAGCCAAGATTGCACCATTGCACTCCGGCCTGGGTGACGAGCGAGACTCCATCTCAAAAAACAAACAAACAAACAAACAAAAATTGGTGCAGGAAGTGTTTTTTTTGTGTTTTATTTATTTATTTATTTTTTGCTTGTTTTTTGAGATGGAGTTTCACTCTTGTTGCACAGGCTGGAGTGCAATGGCGTGATCTCGGCTCACTGCAACCTCTGCCTCCTGGGTTCAAGCGATTCTCCTGCCTCAGCCTCCCTAGTAGCTGGGATTGAAGGTGCAAGCCACCATGCCCAGCTAATTTTGTATTTTTAGTAGAGACAGGGTTTCTCCTTGTTGGTCAGGCTGGTCTCGTACTCCTGACCTCAGATGATCCACCTGCCTCGGCCTCCCAAAGTGCTGGGATTACAGGCATGAGCCACTGCCCAGCCATTTTTTTTGTTTGTTTGTTTGCTTGTTTTTTATGACACAGGGTCTTGCTTGTCACCCATGCTAGACTGCAGTGGTGCAATTATGGCTCACTGCAGCCCCAGCCTCCCAGGGTCATGCAATCCTCCCACCTCAGCCTTCCAAGTAGCTGGGACTACAGGTGCACGCCACCACACCTAGCTAATTTTTTTATATTCTGTAGAGACAGGGTTTTGCCTTATTGCCTAGTCTGGTCTTGAATTCCTGGACCCAAATGATCCACCCACCTCAGGCTCTCAAAGTGCTGGGATTACACAGGTATGAGCCACTACGCCTGGCCAGGAAGATTTTTAAAGGCTAAGAATTGTATAGGTCCTAGAGAAAAGGATGTTACAGAAAAGAAAAAGTGATGGAGAAACAAAAAGGCAAAGAAAAACAAAACATTTGGGAATTTGTTGTGAATAAGAGAAGAAACCTTAACAGTCATTGCAGTCACATCTTAAACTTTATTCTAAAGTCTGTCTTTATTTTTCATATTAGCTAAACCTATTCGTCCCGGGCAACATCCAGCAGCTTCTCCAACTCACCCAAGTGCAATTCGTGGAGGAGGTGCATTTGTTCAGAACAGCCAGCCAGTGGCAGTGCGAGGTGGAGGAGGCAAACAAGTGTAATCGTTTATACATACCCACAGGTTTGTTATTTATATCTGGCTTTTCATATCTGTTTGTGGAAAATTGGTTGTTAAATAGGTTTTTTGGTTTTAAAAAATTCTCACATTAGTGTTATGATTTTTTTAACTTAAGCATTATAAAAGTAATTTAGTTTGATCTTTTTGTGTAGTTTAGATCATACTATATATTCAAATTTGTGGTCTTAATTGTTTTGAAATCTAGCATTGGACCATTTGTAATAGCTTTTGATACTGTGTCTAATGGATGTACCATGGTTTATAAACATTCCTTTCCTTTTGGCTAGACATGTAATTATATTAATTTTTTCCATAATTGAAATTTTCAAAAACCAAAATTTTCATATATGAAATTTGAAACATCTTTTTTTTTTTTTCTTTTTCTTTTTGAGATGGAATCTCACTCTTGTCGCCCAGCCTGGAGTGCAATGGCGTGATCTCAGCTCACTGCAACCTCTGGCTCCTGGGTTCAAGCGATACCCCTGCCTCAGCCTCCCAAACTGGGATTACAGGCGCCTGCCACCATGCCTGGCTAATTTTTGTGTTTTTAGTAGAGACGAGGGGTTTCACCATGTTGGTCAGGCTGGTCTCAAACTCCTGACTTCAGGCGATCTGCCCGCCTCGGCCTCCCAAAGTGCTGGAATTAGAGGCGTGAGCCACCGCGCCCGACCTGAAACATCTCCTTGTATTCCCTAACCTGTTAGAGATTATTTCCAGAAGGTTCCCAGAAATGCAATTACAAGGAAATATGAACATTTTTAAGGCTCTTGCTACATATTAACACATTGGTTTCTAGAAAGACTGCACCAAATTGCTTATGAGCCCAGCTTACTAACAGATTTCTGAGTTTTATTTATAATTATATAAGTAATATCTGTTCTTTGTAGGGCATAAAACAGTCACAAATTAGAAAAAATCTAGAGATACTACACAATATACTATCTCTCTCTCTCTCTCTCTCTTTCTGGAGCTTTCTGTATTAGTTTTTAAATTTAAAAGTTTAAACTGTTGATAACTATTGTAATAGACTCCACTTATTCTACTACATATGCTGCTTCGGAGCCTGCTTTTTTTTCCGGCCCCCTGCCCCCACAAACCCCACACCCCCCTGCCCCACTCCGAGACGGAGCCTCGTTCTTGTTGCCCAGGCTGACATGCAGTGGGGTGATCTTGGCTCACCGCAACCTCTGCTTCCCAGGTTGAAGCGATTCTCCTGCCTCAGCCTCCCAAGTAGCTGGGATTACAGGCGTGCACCACCACACCGGCTAATTTTGTATTTTGTAGCCTGCTTTTTAAACTTAGCAATATATTCGGAACACTTTCTTCTACAACGTGATTGGTTAGTGGTTGCCTAATAATTGGTCATATAGCAGCAACTCTGATTGTAACTAACTCTTCAGGAAGTCCCTGATGTGTGTATGTGCTTTGGAAATAAAAAATACTAGATAATTATGAAATGATCAGCTGTTTCTGACAAATACTAAAGCTAGTTTATTTTAATGTTGCTTGTTTATACTTCGACATTTTGCATAATACTGGCTCTAAGTTGAGTAGAGAATTAAGAAATATTCTGAAGGATTCACATTTCTAGCAATTTTAAACGTTTTGTTCACACAATGTAGGATTTAAAACAGTGGTAGAGTGAAAAGAACAGGGACTATGGAGTTCCATCCAAGTTGGAATCCTGACTACTTTTATGAACTTGAGCAGATAAACTTTTTAATAGTTTTTTTCTCATTCTGACTTGTTTTACAGTACTTCATAAAAATTATGGATTTATTGCTTAACTATTTAATGAATCTCTAAAATAACATTTTTCTACATAGCCACAATATTATCACACCCAGTAAGATTATATTTTTAATATTATTTAATACCATTCCATATTCAGATTTTTCCAATTTCTTTTTCACTATCCTGTACAGCTGGTTTGTCTAAACCAGAGTACAATTCAGGACTGCTGTTTGCGTTTAGTTTTATCCCTTAAATCTCTTCTGATCTTGAATGAGCACCCTCTTTAGTGATATTGACTTACTGAGTAGGCCCAGTTATCTTGAGGGTATAACACCTGTGTCTGATTGTTTTTATGTGTAGTCACCTTGTTCTCCCTCTATTTCTATGCAAAAGCATTGATTAGACTCAGCATAAACATTTTTGACAAAGTTATGTCATAGATAATATGTACTTAATATCAGTAGACATACAATAGCTGGTTTTCATGATAATTAGAGATAACTCCTGTGTTTTTCCCCTTTGGACTCATAGCAGTTTTATTAGTAAAATGGAAGTCATTCTTAAGAATTACATGAGTTGGCCGGGAGCAGTGGCTCACACCTGTAATCCCAGCACTTGGGAGGCTGAGGTGGGTGGGTCACCTCAGGTCAGGAGTTCGAGACCAGCCTGACCAACACGGAGAAACCCTGCCTCTACTAAAAATACAAAATCAGCAGGGCGTGGTGGCACATGCCTGTAATCCCAGCTACTCGGGAGGCTGGGGCAGGAGAATCGCTTGAACCCAGGAGGCGGAGTTTGCAGTGATCCGAGATCGTGGCATTGCACTCCAGCCTGGGCAACAAGAGCAAAACTCCGTCTCAAAAAAAAAAAAAAAAAAATTACATGAGTTAAGATGTTACCCAGCACACAGTATTCAGTAGATGCAAGCCTTTTCCTACCTTTCTGGAAGTGGGAGCTGGGCAAGGGGATTTTCAAAGCATAGATAGAAAGTTTATCCTTTTTGGATATTGTCCTCACATTAAAATTCATATGTCAACTTTAAACTTACCTCATTGTAGAGAGAGGACAGACCATACTTTTGTTAACTATTGCTGATAGCAGTAAAGTGACACCAGGTTAGCACATAAGGGAGGGAGCTAACCCAGCCAAACTAGGTTTTCAAGACTTGAAAGTTATGATGTAAAAATACAATTATTTACAGGTTTGTTTTGATGCTGGTCCAAAGATAGTGGTTCTTAGTTTTCAAACTCTTATAATCTATCTTAAACCATGATTGGGGAGTATATGATTCACTTAAGTGATAAATTGTTTAAATGTTAAATAATTTGCACTGGAGTGCAGTGGCAGGATCTCGGCTCACTGCAACCTCTGCTTCCCGGGTTCAAGCAGTTCTCCCTGCCTCACCCTCCCGAGTAGCTGGGATTACAGGCGCCCACTACCACGCCCGCCTAAGGTTTTTGTATTTTTACTAGAGACGGGGTTTTGCCATGTTGGCCAGGCTGGTATTGAACTCCTGACCGCAGGTGATCTGCCTCCCTCAGCCTCCCAAAGTGCTCAGATTACAGGTGTGAGCCACTGTGCCCGGCGAGAAATTTTTTTAATGTTAAGAAAAACATTTCAAGTCACTGTGTTTATTTTTGGAAAGGATGACATTTATAATACTGATACTTTTAGTTCCCAGTTTTACATGACTAGTCTTCTGCCTTGCATAGTACTTTAAATAGGTTGCTTTTCTAAATGCATAGGTAAGTAGGCAGTTTAATACTACTAGAATTATTTATTTCACTGTTACTTTTCCTACTGTATACACCTCTTGTTTATCCCTATTCCTCTCCCCCTTTTTTTTTTAAAGCTTCTATGTATATAACTAGTAGTTGCTGGTTAGTGTTCCTTGGTTTAAGAAGGTCACTGACCACTGTCTGCTGGTTAAAAGATTAGCCGTCTTTTTCTTTTTTAAACAAATACAATTCATAAATCAGCTTACCCATAGCTTTATTTGGGAGAATAAAAACAAAGGGAGGGCTGACCTCCCTTTAAACATTACTGCTTCTAAACAGTTCTACTTAGGTAGTATATAAAAGGAAACCAAATCATTTAATATTGCCATCCTTCTAATTTTGGGGAAAGTAGCCACAGATGTTGGCTAAAATGTTTATAATAAACTGTTGGCATATTTTATTTTGTTTTATTCTTCATGATTATCTCAAACACCAATTTTGTAAAACTAAACATATTTACTCTATGCTTTCTCCCATTTTTAGGTGTTAAAAAGTAATCGAAGTACGAAGAGGACATGGTATCAAGCAGTCATTCAATGACTATAACCTCTACTCCCTTGGGATTGTAGAATTATAACTTTTAAAAAAAATGTATAAATTATACCTGGCCTGTACAGCTGTTTCCTACCTACTCTTCTTGTAAACTCTGCTGCTTCCCAACACAACTAGAGTGCAATTTTGGCATCTTAGGAGGGAAAAAGGACAGTTTACAACTGTGGCCCTATTTATTACACAGTTTGTCTATCGTGTCTTAAATTTAGTCTTTACTGTGCCAAGCTAACTGTACCTTATAGGACTGTACTTTTTGTATTTTTTGTGTATGTTTATTTTTTAATCTCAGTTTAAATTACCTAGCTGCTACTGCTTCTTGTTTTTCTTTTCCTATTAAAACGTCTTCCTTTTTTTTTCTTAAGAGAAAATGGAACATTTAGGTTAAATGTCTTTAAATTTTACCACTTAACAACACTACATGCCCATAAAATATATCCAGTCAGTACTGTATTTTAAAATCCCTTGAAATGATGATATCAGGGTTAAAATTACTTGTATTGTTTCTGAAGTTTGCTCCTGAAAACTACTGTTTGAGCACTGAAACGTTACAAATGCCTAATAGGCATTTGAGACTGAGCAAGGCTACTTGTTATCTCATGAAATGCCTGTTGCCGAGTTATTTTGAATAGAAATATTTTAAAGTATCAAAAGCAGATCTTAGTTTAAGGGAGTTTGGAAAAGGAATTATATTTCTCTTTTTCCTGATTCTGTACTCAACAAGTCTTGATGGAATTAAAATACTCTGCTTTATTCTGGTGAGCCTGCTAGCTAATATAAGTATTGGACAGGTAATAATTTGTCATCTTTAATATTAGTAAAATGAATTAAGATATTATAGGATTAAACATAATTTTATACGGTTAGTACTTTATTGGCCGACCTAAATTTATAGCGTGTGGAAATTGAGAAAAATGAAGAAACAGGACAGATATATGATGAATTAAAAATATATATAGGTCAATTTTGGTCTGAAATCCCTGAGGTGTTTTTAACCTGCTACACTAATTTGTACACTAATTTATTTCTTTAGTCTAGAAATAGTAAATTGTTTGCAAGTCACTAATAATCATTAGATAAATTATTTTCTTGGCCATAGCCGATAATTTTGTAATCAGTACTAAGTGTATACGTATTTTTGCCACTTTTTCCTCAGATGATTAAAGTAAGTCAACAGCTTATTTTAGGAAACTGTAAAAGTAATAGGGAAAGAGATTTCACTATTTGCTTCATCAGTGGTAGGGGGGCGGTGACTGCAACTGTGTTAGCAGAAATTCACAGAGAATGGGGATTTAAGGTTAGCAGAGAAACTTGGAAAGTTCTGTGTTAGGATCTTGCTGGCAGAATTAACTTTTTGCAAAAGTTTTATACACAGATA
The DNA here is from genome assembly GCF_000001405.40 of Homo sapiens. Lineage (NCBI taxonomy): Eukaryota > Metazoa > Chordata > Mammalia > Primates > Hominidae > Homo > Homo sapiens. The sequence goes on along the minus strand of NC_000010.11, from coordinate 32,010,072 downwards.
TTTGTATTAAATTTGGAGCCATAGTCAGAAGACTCAGATCATAATTGGCTTATTTTTCTATTTCCGTAACTATTGTAATTTCCACTTTTGTAATAATTTTGATTTAAAATATAAATTTATTTATTTATTTTTTTAATAGTCAAAAATCTTTGCTGTTGTAGTCTGCAACCTCTAAAATGATTGTGTTGCTTTTAGGATTGATCAGAAGAAACACTCCAAAAATTGAGATGAAATGTTGGTGCAGCCAGTTATAAGTAATATAGTTAACAAGCAAAAAAAGTGCTGCCACCTTTTATGATGATTTTCTAAATGGAGAAACATTTGGCTGCATCCACATAGACCTTTATGTTTTGTTTTCAGTTGAAAACTTGCCTCCTTTGGCAACATTCGTAAATGAAGCAGAATTTTTTTTTCTCTTTTTTCCAAATATGTTAGTTTTGTTCTTGTAAGATGTATCATGGGTATTGGTGCTGTGTAATGAACAACGAATTTTAATTAGCATGTGGTTCAGAATATACAATGTTAGGTTTTTAAAAAGTATCTTGATGGTTCTTTTCTATTTATAATTTCAGACTTTCATAAAGTGTACCAAGAATTTCATAAATTTGTTTTCAGTGAACTGCTTTTTGCTATGGTAGGTCATTAAACACAGCACTTACTCTTAAAAATGAAAATTTCTGATCATCTAGGATATTGACACATTTCAATTTGCAGTGTCTTTTTGACTGGATATATTAACGTTCCTCTGAATGGCATTGATAGATGGTTCAGAAGAGAAACTCAATGAAATAAAGAGAATATTTATTCATGGCGATTAATTAAATTATTTGCCTAACTTAAGAAAACTACTGTGCGTAACTCTCAGTTTGTGCTTAACTCCATTTGACATGAGGTGACAGAAGAGAGTCTGAGTCTACCTGTGGAATATGTTGGTTTATTTTCAGTGCTTGAAGATACATTCACAAATACTTGGTTTGGGAAGACACCGTTTAATTTTAAGTTAACTTGCATGTTGTAAATGCGTTTTATGTTTAAATAAAGAGGAAAATTTTTTGAAATGTAATGACTTTCTTAAAACTTAAGTGTTAGGTTGATTTTACATGGCTGAGTTCAGGCCTTCTGTCTTGACAGAATAGTGACTGATATGTCATTATATTTATGTATATTTTGTTTCCTAATGTCTTGCAGCCTTTTGGACCGCAGATATTAAATGTATAGGCTAAAGAGCTAGAAATGAATGACCAGTCTCACATATAAAACTTTTTTTTTTTTTTTTTTTTTTTTTGAGATAGAGTCTTGCTCTGTCGCCCAGGCTGGAGTGCAGTGGTGTGATCTCGGCTCACCGCAACTCTTATCACCTGGATTCTAGTGATTCTCCTGCCTTAGCCTCCCAAGTAACTGGGATTACAGGCATATGCCACCACGCCCAACTAATTTTTGTATTTGTATTAGAGATGGGGTTTCACCATGTTGGCCAGGCTGGTCTCGAACTCCTGACCTCATGTGATCCTCCTGCCTCGGCCTCCAAAAGTACTGGGATTACAGGCGCGAGCCACTGCACCCGACCGGTGTCACCTGTATTTTACTTTGTATAGTCCCCATTGTTCATCTGAGTCTGGTTGTTTTATTAACCAGGATAAGAACACTTGTTAACGTTTGTGTTTTAGATACTTCCTCAATGATCATTCAGGTCTAGCTGAAGAATAACTTTAAAAAGACTGTTCCTAAATTCAAGTGGGTATTTGTTTTTTCTTGTTTTGGGGGGCATTGGGCTTTATATGTTTTTATACTGTTGTGGAAAATTTTAATCAGATATGAAATCAGACAATAATAATGAGTAATACCAGTTAGTCTCAACAATTATCAACTTACAGCTAATCTTGTTTCATCCGTAATCTACTCATCTTCCCCCAACAACCCCCCGCCCCGCCCCGTGTTATTTTGAAGCAATCCTAGAAAAACATATGCTGCTTTTTTTTTTTTTTTTTTTTTTTTTTTTTTTTTTGAGACGGAGTCTCACTCTGTCGCCCAGGCTGGAGTGCAGTGGCATGATCTCAGCTCACTGCAAGCTCCGCCTTCCGGGTTCACTGCCATTCTCCTGCCTCAGCCTCCCAAGTAGATGGGACTACAGGCACCCGCACCATGCCTGGCTAATTTTTTGTATTTTCTTTTTTAATAGTAGAGATGGGGTTTCACCGTGTTAGCCAGGATGGTCTCGATTTCCTGACCTCGAGATCCGCCTGCCTCGGCTCCCCCAAAGTGCTGGGATTACAGGTGTGAACCACCGGGCTAAGTATTTCAGTATGTATTTTTAAAAGATAAGGACTCCTTAAAACATACCCAACAAATACCATTATCACATCAAAAAATTTATAATTTCCTGATATTCAAATATTTAGTTTTTGTAAACAGTTTGAGTCAAGATCCAATGGAAGTTCATATATTAATGAAGAGTCCGACTCTTACTAATTTTTTCATTGCAATGTATGAAGAAAATAACTTTTTTGCCCTGTAGTTTCCCAGATACTGCAGTTGCATCCCTTTCATATCATTTAACGAATTTCTGTGGCCTTTATGTTTCCTATAAATTTGTTTCAGATCCACAGACGTAATCAGATTCAGATAGTTGTTTTGTTGGATGGGGACAGTATTTATAGGTGGTGGTATTCCATCAGGTGGCACATAATGTGTACTTGTCTCTTCTTGAGCTATTAGTCACTATTGATGATCAGTGCCTAGATCCATCTAAATAGGGGATACAGACACAGCATTTTTTTCATTTGTTTGCTGCAGTAGAGAAACTTGGTCTCTTACTTTATAGTTATCTAGTGGGTGTGTTTGTATAGTTATCTAGTGGGTGTGTGTGTATAGTTTGTGTAGGAAAGACAAGGTAAATGCTTCTTTCCGTTTATTTGTAAGTAAGTTTCAAAATGAGCTGCTTCACTACTGTCTTCCAGTAGTGACTAGTTTCGTATTTTTTCCTTTTTGGTTTTTTATTATTTTATTATCTTTTAGGTGTGCTCTATAAGCCTTTGTATTAATTTTTTTTCCTTTCCTGGAGAAATTTGAAAACAGTTTTTTTTCCAAATTAAAAAAAATCGCAGCACATCTAAGGAATAGGATGCAAAAGGGAATATAGGAGTGATAGAAACTAGTGAGAAAATTTATACACTCATGCAGGCAAACTAGGATAGGGGATGGATAATTAATACAGTATCATAACTGATGGCCAGAGAACTTGATTTTTTTTTTTTTTAATTGAGACAGGGTCTCTCTTTTTTCTTTTCTTTTTTTTTTTTTTTTGAGACAGGGTCTTGCTGTCACCCAGGCTGGAGTGCAGTGGTGCAGTGGTGCGATCTCAGTGCACTGCAACCTCTGTCTTCCCAGCCCAGGTGATTCTCCTACCTCAGCTTCCCGAGTAGCTGGGATCACAGGCATGCGCTACTACGTCTGGCTAATTTTTTTTTTTTTTTTTTTTGGATTTTTGGTAGAAATGGGGTTTTGCCATGTTGTCCAAGCTAGTTTTGAACTCCTGAGCTCAGGTGATTCACTCATCTTGACCTCCCAAAATGCTGCGATTATAGGCGTGAGCCACTGTGCCCAGCCTCCAATGCTTTTTTTTTTTTTTTTTTTTTTGAGATGTAGTTTCCCTCTTGTTGCCCAGGCTGGAGTGCAATGGCGCAATCTTGGCTCACCGCAACCTCTGCCTCCTGGGTTCAAGCGATTCTCCCCTCAGCCTCCCGAGTAGCTGGTATTTTAGGCATGCACCACCACGCGCAGCTGATTTTGTATTTTTTAGTAGAGACGGGGTTTCTCCATGTTGGTCAGGCAGGTTTTGAACTCCCGACCTGAGGTGATCCACCTGCCTTGGCCTCCTGAAGTGCTGGGATTACAGGCGTGAGCCACCGTGCCTGGCCCGATGCTTTTTAAATTTTTCTTGAGAGAGGGTCTGGCTCCGTTGCCCAGGCTGGAATACAGTGGTGTGATCTTGTCTCACTGCTACCTGTCTGTCCCCCAGGCTCAAGCTGTCCTCCTGCCTCAGGTTCCCTAGTAGCTGGTACTACAGGCATGTGCCACCATGCCTGGCTAATTTTTGTACAGATAGTTTCACCATGTTGCCCAGCCGGGTCTCAAACTCCTGAGCTCAAGTGATCCACTCCCTTCGGCCTCTCAAAGTGCTGGCATTACAGGTGTGAGCCCCTGTGGCTGGTCAGCTTTTTTAAAAGATGGGGTCTTGCTCTGTCACCCAGGCTGGAGTGCAGTAGTGCAGTCAGTCTACTGGGGATCCCATGCTGGTGGATCATACAAAACTCTCAGTGGCTGCTTGAGGCTCTGTCGTCAAGAAAGGCAAACTCACATTTTTCTGTTAGAACAAATTGCAGGCCCTCCTGGGATAGGAGACTCTATGTACTCAACTTACCACCAAGTTGCTAGTTGGTTTCTTCAAGGGACAGTTGAACTCAATATTGCTGGTAGGACGTTAGGCAGCAGACGTAATTGGATCAGCCTTTGTAAGTGGGAGCCGTTGCTACTGGACGTGCATAGCTTTCATCTCCCACTGGCCACACCATTCCTGTGCTCACGATACCAGCACTGCAGCGATGGATGACAGACTGGCGGATGACAGACTGGCTGATGTCAACCATTGGTTAAATTCCTCTTCCCTAGTAGATACTGTCTGGTAGGCATTAACATGTCACACAAGATCCTCACATCCTTTGCTGATACCCCTGTCTATGTCTACGGGAAGGGCAGGCACAGCAGCTTGAGACTTCTGTTTGGCCTTTGTCACTATACAGGATAACCTGTATCCAACAGGCCAAAGATGTAATGTAGTGATCATGCCAGTTACCAAGTGTGTCAATTCTAGTTAGACATCAGAGACACGGAAATGACCAGCAGAGGGATCCACAGAGCATGTGCTGCTTTAATGTGAGCACTATATGTTACCTAAATAGAACCATACCTCCATCTGCGGCCCCTATGATGATGCTTTAGGTTTCTAGGTACAACGTCAGCTTAGACCCTGTATCCAACAGCCTTCAAAATATTTGGGTGTTCCCTTTTGTCCATTGTTCAGTAACCTGAATAAATGGCCATCATTCTTTTGAGGGCAGGACTGGGGAATTGTAGTCGGTACTGGGTTGTTGCAAGGTCTTTCCTCCTGGGGACTGGACCTCATGACTGCAGAGGTAATCAGGTTAAAATGCAGTCATTTTCCAATATAACTTAATCCAATATAACTTAAAGGGAATGCATAGAGGGGAGATGATTAGCAGAGATGGCATCTACAGGCTAAGGAAAGGGGCCTTGAACAGCTCTTTCCCTCACAGACCTTAGAGGGAATCCATTCTGCCAACACCTTAATTTTGGACTTGTAGCCTCCAGAACCATAAGACAATACATTTCTGCTGTTTAACCCACCCAGTCTGTGGTACTTAACAGCAGCCCTAGCAAACTAACACAATAGCCTGCTCTGATAATTCAGCAGGACCCTCTAGGCATTTCTCCTTAGCATGGTCAGCATAAGCTTTGTACAGTTGAGCTTTGTCAGTACAAGAGAAAGGGGCTACTTTTCTCAGGTCTGGCATGCTTCCCCTGGCTGCTTATTACCATCCTGTTGTCAGGCATGGCTCAGCCCCAGCTGTGACCCGAGTATGCAGTCAGTTAGCCAGCTTTCAGCTCTGGCCTTGGCCCTGTGACTACCTCGCTAGCTGGCAGGTGGCTCCCTCTGAGCCTGTCCTTCAGCCTCAGCTCACACATAGCCTGGAGAGGCACTCCCTGCTTGTGGCTGCAGTTTTCTGTCCTCTTGTACTCTGGAGGAGTGTGCCAGCCTCAGCCCATGTGTACCCCAATGGTGTGTTTCCTTCTTGCCCGTCCTGGCCATGATTCCCTGCTTGCCAGTGGCAGCCTGAATGTACCTCAAAGGAAAGTTCCTTGGTGACTGACTCAGCTGTCACCCAGCGCAATCCAGCAAATGTCCCTGCCATACAGTGGGCTGCAGCCACACCTCTGCAAGATCTGAAACCCAAACTTGGGGAGGGACATCCCTATCTAAGAGTTTGATCCTTCCTTGGGTACTTTCCCTTAACCCTAGGGTATCCTGTAAAGTTTTATGTATCCATTTGTAAGGCAATCCCCTTGGACCTTGACTGATACAAAGGGTGATATGTAAGTTTATACTCAGAATCTTATTTATTATTTATTTACTGAGACAGAGTTTCGCTCTTGTCGCCCAGGCTGGAGTGCAATGGCATGATCTCGGCTCACTGCAACTTACACCTCCCAGGTTCAAGCGATTCTCCTGCCTCAGCCTCCTAAGTAGCTGGGATTGCAGGCGCCTGCCATCACGCCCAGCTAATTTTTTTTTTTTTTTTTTTAGACGGAGTCTCGCTCTGTTGCCACGCTGGAGTGCTGTGGCACAATCTTGACTCACTGCAGAAAGTAGGAAAGAAAAGACCAGAACAAAAGGCCTCAGATCTGAATAATAAGCATGCCATAAAGAGAACAGAAGAAACAGCAGAGGAAATCACCAATGAAACTGAAAGCCATGGCTTTCCAGTGCCCAGCACAATATATAAAAACAGACCCGCACTAGGGTATGCCATTGTGAATTTCACTACAAGGAATACCTGAACTAGAAAAAATTTTAAAAGTTTCATACAAAGGACTGAGAATCTGAATGCCTCAAATAACATCAGATATGAGAAGAAAGTAGATCAATATCTTTAAAATTCCAAGGGAATGTTATCTCCAGCCTCAATTAGTGTAAGGGTAGGTGGAATAAAAAGGTTTCCAGGCACACCAGTTCCCAAAAATGTTACTTCTTTATTTTTATTTTTTAAGACAGGCTGCGGTGGTTCAGTGGTGTGATCTCAGCTCACTGCAACTTCTGCCTCCCAGGTGCAAGAATCACTTGATTCTCATGCCTCAGCCTCCCAAGTAGCTAGGACTACAGGCATGCACCACCTCCTGGATTCAAGCAATTCTCCTGCCTCAACCTCCTGAGTAGCTGGGACTACAGGCGCGTGCCTCCACGCCCGGCTAATTTTTTCATATTTTTAGTAGCGACGGGGTTTCGCCATGTTGGCCAGGCTAGTCTCGAACTCCTGGCCACAGGTGATCCACCCGCCTCGGCCTCCTAAAGTGCTGGGATTCCAGGTGTGAGCCACTGTGCCCAGCCTGTATTCAGAATATTTAATGCTTAGCACTTTCCCCTACTTGGCTGTCTGAATGCTGGTAGCCAGGCTTATGCTTCCAGCCAGGAGATGAGAAGATTCTGTGCAAAATTTGGCAGCTGATATTGGGGGTCTCCAGGGAAGCAGCAGTTTCAGGAATGCCAGAGTCAACAAATCCTACTCCTATGAGCCGGTTGCTTCCAGTCAGCTTATTGTCCCCCTCTTCAATATGTGCAGACAGGCAAGGATCACCAGCCATTTGAGGAATGCCTCTAGGGTGAAAGGTAGAATCAAAACCCACAACCCAAAATGGAGCAAAGTGGGACTGTGAAGGGAGAAGAAAACATTTTTAAGGAACTGCCACTAATATCCTCAGGTTTTGAAATTGTAAGGTTTTTCTCCATCTAAGAAAAAAAGAATATTCAGAAAATAAGTCCTGAAAATAGAAATTAAAAACTCAATAGAAGGGTGAGAAGATGAAGTTGAGGAAATCTCCCACAAAGTAGTACAAAAAGAACAGCTGGAAAGTAGGAAAGAAAAGACCAGAACAAAAGGCCTCAGATCTGAATAATAAGCATGCCATAAAGAGAACAGAAGAAACAGCAGAGGAAATCATTAGTGAAACTGAAAGCCATGGCTTTCCAATGCCCAGCACAATATATAAAAACAGACCCGCACTAGGGTATGCCATTGTGAATTTCACTACAAAGAATACCTGAACTAGAAAAAATTTTAAAAGTTTCATACAAAGGACTGAGAATCTGAATGCCTCAAATAACATCAGATATTAGAAGAAAGTAGATCAATATCTTTAAAATTCCAAGGCAATGTTATCTCCAGCCTCAATTAGTGTAAGGGTAGGTGGAATAAAAAGGTTTCCAGGCACACCAGCTCCCAAAAATGTTACTTCTTTATTTTTATTTTTTAAGACAGGTTGCGGTGGTGCAGTGGTGTGATCTCAGCTCACTGCAACTTCTGCCTCCCAGGTGCAAGCAGTTCTCATGCCTCAGTCTCCCAAGTAGCTAGGACTACAGGCATGCACCACTATGCCCGGCTCGTTTTTTTATTTTTGGTAGAGATGGGGGTTTCACCATGTTGGCCAAGCTGGTCTCAAACTCCTGTCCTCAAGTGATCCACCCACCTCGGCCTCCCAAAGTGCTGGGATTACAGGCATGAGCCACCGTGCTGGCCAGCAAAAATGTCACTTCTTATGTACCTTTTATCGGGAAGCTGTTCCTCAACCACAATAAGGGAGTAAACTAAGAAAGATGCAGGGCATACAAAAGAACAGAACCCCCAAGGTGACAGCATACACAGCAACCAGTCCAGACAAGAGCCAGTCAGAGACGCTTCCAAGACAAAATGGAGAGTAATTGATATATTTGAACATTTTGAGAGGAGATTTATAAAACTGGAGAGTTTAGGGTGGAATAAATGATTGGTACAAAGAACACTAAGAAAAAAATTACTATTCATAAAAGAATCATATAAGCAAGAAAGGGAAAGTCATAGTCTAATTACATGGCTCAGTTGTGATTGGCATGTCGTTGTCATAATAATGTAAACAAGGATTATTAACGAAATTCATGATATGCCCTTATTGGGAAGAGGAGGAGTTGAGGGGTGTGTATGTTTGTTGATGGTAGTGAAAGAGTCCTCATCTCCCTTAGTGATGAGACAACTGATAATGCTTAAACATGAATAATTCGGAAGTACTGGAGATCTGGAGATGAGAACAGAGAAAGTGGTTGCTTCTGGGGAATGCAAAGAATGTGAAGCGGGAAAAGCAACTGCTGGTTTTTCAAGGATGTTTTCTAGAGCTTGTTTGACTTTTTGGGCCTCAGATTGTATTTTGCCATCAAGCTCCCTGGGAAGTACAGTCAGCCCGCCATATCCATGAGTTCCACATCTGTGGATTCAACCAACCACAGATGAAAATATTCCAGGAGGGAAAGGCCGGGTGCAGTGGCTTATACCTGTAATCCCAGCACTTTGGGAGGCCAAGGCAGGAGAATCACTTGAGTCTGGGAGGTCAAGGCTGCAGTGAGCTATGATCGTGCCACTGCAGTCCAGCCTGGGTGACAGAACAAGACCCTGTCTTACACATAACATAAAATTTACCATCGTGACCACTTTTTTTTTTTTTTTCAGAGTCTCACTCTGTTGCCCAAGCTGGAGTGCAGCAGCACAATCTCTGCTCACTGCAACCTCTGCCTCCTGGGCTCAAGCGATTCTCCCGCCTCAGCCTCCTGAGTAGCTGGGATTATAGGCGCAGGCCACCACGCCTGGCTAATTTTTTATTTTAGTAGAGACAGAGTTTCACCATGTTGTCCAGGGTGGTTTCGAACTCCTGAGCTCAGGCAATCCGCCCGCCTCAGACTCCCAAAGTGCTGGGATTACAGGTGTGAGCCACTGCGCCCGGCCTTGACCACTTTTAAGGCTACAGTTCAGCAGTGTTGGAAAAGAAGCAATTTTTTAAAAGGAAATGTACACGGAAATCAGTTCAGAACTGGAAGTGCTAATATCTTTTGCTGTATTTGTTTCATGCTCTGCACTGAAATATTTGTTTAATGTTCTTTAGTTCATATTAACTTGCCAGAATAATGTTAACATAAAAACTTTCAATTGTTTCCACTGTAGGTAAAATTAGAACCTATTACAACTAGTTAAAATATTCAATAAATTAACTCATTTTCCCCCCACTTCACAGTTAAGAGCCATTTGAAATGAAAAAGGAATGTTACTAAATCTAAGCAATCCCAAATAAATGCCCATTGTTTCTTGAGAGATAGACAAGACATCGCCAGTATGAGTGACAGAAGAACACCCACAACAACATCCTGGATATATTATTTGCTCTCTGAATAAAAGGCGCATAGCTTTTCTATACAATAACTGGAATTGTGCATGGTCCCCCTCCACATTGCTCTGAAAATGAACTTTTGTTTTATGCAGATGTAGGCGAATTAGAATGAACAAAGGCCCACATTTTAAGGCTGAGAACATTCAATTGAAAATGAAAAATGGATTTTTCTTCTATTAGACAGGAGAGCAAATGTAAATGTTTTGCAGCGGGCAGGCTAAGGCAGACCTGAGGTCCCAGAGTTGTCTCCTTTGAAAGTGGCTGGCTACTGGCAAGTACTAATAGTTCCTGAATGCTCCCATCAAGGGTCCTCATATGGCCCATCAGAAGGGATAAACAGAAAGAAGTCAAAACCACTTTCCTGTGTCCTCTGGCCCAGTATCTGCACAAAGGACCAACTGCTTCTCACACTTATTATAGTAGCTGGTTCATTTCAAGGTCTGGACCACTTGCTAGAGGACTGGACCTACAGAGATCTATCTACGGGGCTGGGAAACTGTCCAAGACCCTTCAACAGAACTTTTACAGGAGAAAATCCTGGAGACCATTCTTAAGAGGGCTGATGACTAGTTATTAAGGAATGTTGAGGTCCAGATCCCTGAGCCTGGGCACAGAGGCAACCTTCAAATCCCCTTCCATCTCCCTTCCCTGCCCCTCCCCAACACCTGACAAGGCTAAGTTCACTCTAATACCTGACAATAGCTCCATGGAGAATTCACAGCCAGCAAACCTCTACTGTGTTGTCTTCAGCTGTAGTCATTGTTCACAGTCCAGAATGATCGATCACCCCTCTGCTCTGTCTGATTCCTCCTTTCTGCTCCACAATTAGCTTTCCTCACTTCCTACCTCATCATAGACTCTCATTCACCCCTTAAACGCTGATGTTCTCAGAGCACTCTTTTGGCAACACATGCTTTCTGACATACACCCATGTGATTTTAATTTAACTCTCATCTATATGCTGATAAATATAAACCTAAAATCTGCTTCTCCAACCCCAATTTCCCTTATAAATTTCTAACTCATATATCCAACTGCATGCAGGCCATATCCAGGTGAAGCCTCCACAGGCATCTACAACTCAACATGTCCAAAAGTGAACCAACAAAGACACATGTGTGGGTAAATAAAAGTCACAATCTCTTACCTAAAACCTTGGACAAATGTTTTATGAAATTGTAAATTTTCAGATTTTAGAAAAGATAATACACAGTATATAACACCGCAGTTATTTATGTATTTCTATCAAACACAAGTTTTCATTCAGCAACAGTTTTTTCTTCCAGCTCTTTATATGAAGTGGAATACACAAAGAATACAAACAGCCTAATGTCAATTGAGGTCATGTTATCAAGTGAGTTTGTACCACATTTACAAAAAAAATTTTTCAGAGCTTTTTAGATACTGGAATTGTAAAAAAGTGACTATTAAACTTTACTTGTCACATGTATGACATTAAAGGGCTAATATCCTTAATACACACAGGGCTCTTAGAAATAAAGAATAAAAAGATGAAAACCCCACAGGAAAATGGACCAAGGACATGAATAGACCATTTAAAGAAAATATGTTTTAAATGTTCAATCTTATTGTAAAAAAAAAAAAAAAAAAAGGCAACTCGAAATAGGTATTTTCTGCTTATCAGATGAGCAGGGATAAAAAATAAGTTGGCAAAAGTATGGAGAAACAGGCACTCACACTGTTAGTAAATGTTTGTAAAAAGCTTAGAACAGTTGTCTAGTAAGCACATAGTAAGCTTTATATAAGTGCTTGTTAAATAACTTGGTGGAAGTTTGTAGTGGTACAAACTTTTGGGAGGACAACTTATCAATATCTATTAAAATTTTTTTTTTTGAGACGGAGTTTTGCTCTTGTTGCCCAGGCTGGAGTGCAATGGCGTGATCTTGGCTCACTGTAACCTCCGCCTCCTGGGTTCAAGTGATTCTCCTGCCTTGGCCTCCCAAATAGCTGGGATTACAGGCATGCACCACCACGACCGGCTAATTTTTGTATTTTTAGTAGAGATGGGGTTTCTCCATGTTCATCAGGCTGGTCTCGAACTCACAGCCTCAGGTGATCTGCCCGCCTCGGCCTCCCAAAATGCTGGGATTACAGGCGTGAGCCACTGCACATGGCCAATATTTATTAAAATTTTTAATGTGTATATCCCATTATCCAACACTTCCAATTGTAAGAATTTATTCTACCAAAACTACACAGATGTGCAGAGCTCAATTGCGTGGAAAGATGTTCACTGAATCACTCTAATAATGAAATCTGAAAACAACACTGCCAGCGCTTATGCTGTGTTTTTCCTCAGGCCAGCGGGAAGATGGCCGCATCACATTCAGATGCATTGGTAACCAGAGGATGGAGAGAGAGTGTCTCTCTTTCTGTGGCTCTGTCTTACGAGTGGAAAAACTTTTCCCAGAAGCTTCCCATCAGATTCCCTCTCCTGTCTCAGTCGACAGAACTGGACCACAAGGAAATTCCCAAACCAATGCCTGACAAGGGGATGGGATTATTCTAGGCTAGTGGTCCTCAAATATTTTTATCTGAGGACCCATTTGGACTCAAAAATTAGGGCCAGGTGTGGTGGCTCATGCCTGTAATTCCAAAACTTTGGGAGGCCAAGACAGGAGGATTGATGCCAGGAGGTCAAGGCTGCAGTGAGCTATGATTACCTACTACGCTCCAGCCTGGGTGACAGCAAGACCCTAAAAAAAAATAATAATATTGAGGATCCCCAAAAATCTTTGCTTTTATGAGTTATATCTATCACTAAAATTTTGAAATATTTATTGATATAAAAATAAGAAATCTAGGCCAGGCGCAGTGGCTCACACCTGTAATCCTAGCACTTTGGGAGGCTGACACGGGTGAATCACAAGGTCAGGAGTTTGAGACCATCCTGGCCAACATGGTGAAACCCCGTCTCTACTAAAAATACAAAAAATTAGCTGGGCATGATGGCAGGCACCTGTAATCCCAGCTACTCGGGAGGTCAAGGCAGGAGAATTGCTTGAACCCGGGAGGCGGAGGTTGCAGTGAGCCAAGATCACACCACTGCACTTCAGCCTGGGCAACAGTGCGAGACTCTGTCTCAGAAAGAAAAAAGAAGAGAAGAGAAATCTGTTACATATTCACATAAGTAACATTTTCATGAAAAATAGTAACATACTCCACAATTAAAACATTTAAGAAGAAGAGTAGCATTGCTTTACCTTTTACAAATCACTTTAATATTGGGCTTAATGTAAGACAGCTGGATTCTCATATCTGCTTTGGCATTTAATCTGCTGCAATCTGCTAGTAGAAGTATATATATATTTTAAAAACCCAGCCTCATTAGGATATGTAATTGCAAAACAGAAACTCACAGAGCCCTGAAATGAATCTCAGAGACCCCAGGAATGTTCAGCCAAGGTTGTTTTTTTTTTTTTTCCTTGAGGCAGAGTCTCACTGTGTCATTCAGGCTGGAGTGCAGTGGCACAATCACGGTTCACTGCAGCCTTGACCTCCTGAGCTCAAGCGATCCTCCTGCCTCAGCCTCCCAAGTAGCTGGGACTACAGCCATGTGCCACCACGCCCAGCTAATTTTTGTATTTTTTGTAGAAAGAGGGTCTCTTGTGTTGCCCAGGCTGGTCTCAAGCTCCTGGGGTCAACAGATCCTCCCCTCTCAGCCTCTTCAAGTGTTGGGATTACAGGCGTGAGCTACTGTGCTTGGCCCTCACCCACATTTTAAGTACTACTGCTCTAGGCCAGTGAGACCTCCCGTGAAGAAGAGGTTGGAATCATCCTTTCCTGGAGCACAAGGCCACAAGGCCATCTGGGGAAGGGGTGGATGCTTGAACTTCCCACTATGCTAGGAGAGAAAGAGGAGGAAATGGATACTGTTAGGAAGAAGGGAAGATATTGACCGATAACCAGCCATGCCCCTTTCCAAACTTTTCTCTAGAACATACTCAGAGTAAGCTTTTTTGTTTTTAAATTTTCACTGTGACAAAATACACCTAACATATAATTTACCTTCCTAATCTTTTTTGTTTGTTCATTTGTTTGTTTTGAGACAGAGTCTTGCTCTGTCACCTAGGCTGGAGTGCAGTGGTGCAATCTCGGCTCACTGCAACCTCCGCCTCCCGGGTTCAAGCAATTCTCTTACCTCAGCCTTCCAAGTAGCTGGGACTACAGGCGCCTGCCACCATGCCCAGCTAATTTTTGTATTTTTAGTAGAGACGGGGTTTCACCATGTTGGCCAGGCTGGTCTCGAACTCCTGACCTCAGGTGATCCACCCACCTCGGCCTCCCAAAGTGCTGGGATTACAGGTGTGAGCCAGTGCGCGAAGCCTTCCTAGCCATTTTTAATGCACAGTTCAGTGGCATTAAGTGCATTTCATTATTGTGCTACCATCACCACCGTCCATCCAAGAATGTTTCCATTTTGCAAAACTGAAACTCTATACCCACTAAACAATAACTCCACAGCCCCTTCCAGCCCCGGTCTCTATGAGTTTGGCACGAAGTTCTACTTTCTGTCTCTGTGAGTCTGACTACTCAAAGTACCTCATGTAAGTGGAATCATACAGTATTTGTCTTTTTGTGACCGCCTTATTTCACTTAGCATAGTGTCCTCCAATTTCATATATGTCGTAGCACATATCAGAATTATTCTCTTATTCTTAAGGCTCAGTAGTATTCCACTGTGTGGAGAGACCATATTTTGTTTGTATATATATCTGTCAATGGACATTGGGTTGTTTACACCTTCTGGCTATTGTGAATAATGCCGCTATGAGTGCAAATCTCTATTCGAGTCCTCGCTTTCCATTCTTTTGGGTATATACACAGATGTGGAATTGCAGGATCATATGGTAGTTCTATTTTTGCTTTTTTGAGCAACTGCCATACTGTTTTCCACAGAGACTGCATCATTTCACATTCTTGCTGGCAGGGGATAAGGGTTCCAATTTCTCCACATTCTTGCTAACACTTTTTGTTTTTTTGATAGCAGCCATCCTAATAGGTGTGAGGTGGTTAGAGTAAGCGTAAGTTGATAATGTCATTTTCCTGGTAGAATTCTACCACGGCTTTTAGCCGCCTTGTAAAATTGAAGTTGATGATGATTAGGACTGGCAAGGCCCTATTGTTCTGACCCTGCCCTCCCCTCCACCCTCATCCCTTATTCTCTCCTTTGCTCACTGTCCTCCAGCACACAAACCTTTCTGTTTTTCGAACGTGCCAACAGGCTTCCATCTCACAGCCTTTGCACATCCTCTTCCCTCTGCCTGGAAACCTCCATTTACAGCTTCCCAAACACTTTCCCTTCCTCAATTCTCAGCTTCAATGCAGGGACTTCCCAAACATCCCCTGCCAATCACTATCACATCACCTTGCTTTCAACGTTTGACAAATATTTTCTTGAGCACACATTCTATGACAGGCCCTATGCTAGGTGCTGGGGATACAGCAGTGAACAAAGCAGGCTAAAATCCGTACTTCTATGCAGCTTACATTCCAGTGATGGTCTTCAGCGCATAATCACTACTGCAATTATCTTGTTCATTTTCCTAATATTTGTTGCACTGGCTGATCATTTCAGCAGTGTTTATAAAGCAAAAGAGTTGGAAATAGCCCAAAGGCAGAATACTAGAGGTTAGTTTTTAAAATTTATAGTTCACCCTTATACAAAGCCATAGTTATAACATAAAATGAAATATAAAATTATAGTTCATCCTTAATACAAAGCCAGAGTAATAATATAAAGCCTTATAATGTAAAGCCATACTTCTGTTTCATGTGCTGCCATGGAAAGGTGACCACGATATACTGGTATCAGACATAAGGATATATTCCTTCTCAGTCTGCTTAGCACCACCACCTCCTAGACCCTCAGCCTCTTGTTCCTGCTTAACACATAGTTCTACCACTTGAGCCCAGTTGCTCTGGGAGAGCAAAACTGTCACCTCTTGCTACCACTACAAAGCCAGGCCAACCAGATACCCAGAGTTTCTACCTACTCCTCCTACTTTTGGACTTGGATAAAACCACACAGCTGGGCATGGGATCTGACATCCTAAACATCTACCCAAGAGTATAGGTGATGCAACTCAGGAGCTTGAATGACTAACACTCCATGGGAAATTTTTGCTTTTCAAAATTATTGAGATCTTAAAAAAGATTCCTTTTCTTTTTTTTTTTTTTTAAGAGATGGGGGGTGTCTCACTATGTTGCCCAGGCTGGACTAGAACTCATGGGCAGAGAAGGGAAGATGGAGCCGCCATCTTGAACTTGTCTGTTCCCCTAGTTCCTGCTGGCATTCACCTGTGCAAGCTCCCAGCTTGCTTGTCTCTGCCTGCAGCTCAACCTTACAGGCTGCTCTTTGTTACAAAATGATTTGGGGCTGCTTTTCATTAAAAAGAAAAGCCTTACCGAGGACTCCCATACCCTTACTATCTGCCTAAGTGATTTCTTCTTAACTCCTATGTCACTTCCACCTTGGCCTCCTGAGTAACTAGCTGCATGCCACTAGGCCCAGCTTTAAAAAGCTTTTCTTGATGTGGTTTACATCTGTCCATGTTTATCATATTCAAAATTAAAGCTGGGAAAATTTAAAAGTATTAATTGATTTTTAAATAATAAGTCATTATTTGCTAACATAAGTACATATTTTATGTAAAATAAAATATATTTTTCCAAAACAAAATTAAGCAAAAAGAATAGTATTGTTTTATACTTTGGCAAATCTCTTTAATTTCTGGTTTAACAGAAAGCTCAATTCTCATCTGCTTTGGTATTGTCTGTTGCAGTATCTTGTTTTGGTTTAAGTATCCGAATAACTTAGCCTTATACCGATGTGTGGTTGGAAATGAGAAACATAGCTTTTTCAAATAACTGGATATTCTTCTTTGATATTACACCAAAACTTGACAGTAGTACTTTCTGAAAGGCTAGTTGCAATGTAGAATCTGGAACCAAATCAATGAACTCTATGTATTCCCTTATATTAAATTCCATTGTTCATTTGTACTCTTGTTGAATCTTTTACCCATGAATAATATTGATCTTGCAGATCCCCCTGAAAGGGTCTTACATCCTCCAAAGGTCCATGGACCATACTTTGACAAATGATGATTGATTGGTTTACTTGTTCATAGTTGGCTTCTTCCAACTCTACCCTCTAGAAGTAAGCTTTTAGAAGGAGCAGGAATCGTGTTTATTTGGTAACCCTTGAACTTATCATAAGATCTAGCTCACTGAGGGTACTCAATAATCATGAGTTCAATGAATGAACCTCTGTGATTCTCCAAGGGGTGTCCTGTGAAGTCATCTGTTATTTCATGGAGGTGGTTAATGGTTCTATGTGATGTTGATACTACATCAACCAATTTCTCCAGGTTTTAAAAATCAATGTCATATAGATAAATTCACTTAACACTAACTGGCTGCAAAATCATCAAATTTTGCCCTTCAGAAACAGATTGTGATTTTCAATGACCAATATTTATTTCAGTAATCATTCAATACAGTATTACAATAATCCAATGTCAATACATTTTATGAACTCTGCAGTATAAAATGCTATATGTTGGAAACAAGTTTATCTAACCAAAGATTTATGAAGCAGTTCTCTTTCTTTAAGGGTACAGTATTGCTGGGTGCAACGACGTGCCTGTAGTCCCAGCTACTTGGGAGGCTGAGGCCAGAGGATCACCTGAGCCCAGGAGTTCTGGACTGCAGAGAGCTGTGCCAATCAGGTATCTGCACTAAGTTCAGTATCAATATAGTGACCTCCTGGCAGTGGGGGACCACCAGGTTGCCACAGGAGGGGTGAATTGGCTCAGGTCTGAAATGGAAGAGATCAAAACTCCTGTGCTGATCAGTAGTGGGATTGCGCCTGTGAATAGCCACTGCACTCCAGCTTGGACAACATAGCAAGACTGCTTCAAAAAAAAAAAAAAATGGCTACAATATTATGGAGAAAGAAGAGTAAATGAGATTAGACTAAAAGAATGTTGTAATTTTTAAAAAGATGAAAACAAAAAATGAGAAAAACTTACATGGCATCTTTCAGGAAGATCCATAATACTCATGTATACATGCATGTGTATTCTAACCACTTCCAAAACAATCCAAAATAATCTTTGTAATAGAATTTGACTACATTATGTGATCTAGACCCTCGCTGCTCAAAGGGCTCTGAGCAGCACTGGTGTCACCTGGAAGTTAGAAGTGAATGAAGAGTCTCAGGCATCTCAGGCTCCACCAGACCTACGGTGGCAGATGACACTTTCCAAATATGGCCGCCACAATATGTTCCTCCCCAGATGCTCTTCTTTCACTGTGAAGTTGACAATCCCCTGTTAAATGATGAGGTCAACATCCCCTTAAACCTAGGCAGGCAGACCTTTATGACTGCCTTGCCCAATAGGGTATGGCACAAATGATGTTATGTGACTTCTGAGGCAAGGTCATAAAAATGCCATGCAACTGCCACCTTGCTCAGTTGGGATACTTGGTGGAACCTGGCACCACGTTGTAAAGGAGCCAAGCATCCCCATGGGGAGGATACCTGTGGGTTTAGTGGTCAAGAGCCCCACCTGGGGTCCCAGTCAACAACCAGCATCAACCACAATGAGAGTACATGAGCCTCCAGGTGATTTCAGTTCCCCGCCATCAAGTCACCTTCCGAATCAAACTTTCCCATTTAACCATGTTTGGGGACAAGACAACCCCACCAAACCCTGCCCAAATTCCAGATTTGTGAGCAAAATAAATGATTAATCCTTGAATGGCTGTTTTAAGGCACTTGTTTGGGAATATCTGCTATATAGCAACAGACATCCAGAACAGCTACTCTATCATGATTTGCATTTCATCAAGATCCTCAGTGACTCACATGCACATAAAAATGTGAGAAGTGTTGATTTTATTCACTTATTTTTTAGAGAAAGAGTCTTGCTCTGTTGCCTAGGCTGGAGTGCAGTGAAATCACTGTAACCTTGAACTCACTGTAACCTTAAACTCCTGGGCTCAAAGGATCCTCCTGCCTCTCAGCCTCCCAAGTAGCTGGGACTACAGGCATGTGCCACCATGGGTGGGTAATTTTTTTTTTCTGTATTTTTTTGTAGAGATGGGGTCTCACTATGTTGCCCAGGCTGAGCAACTCCTGGCCTCAAATGATCCTCTTGCCTTGGCCTCTGAAAGTACTGAGATTACAGATATGAGCCACTTGCCCCTGGCCAGTACTGATTTAAAGTAAAATTGTGTAACATTTAATTTTCCTACAGCTCTTAACAACATTGATGGCAAATTATGAAAGGCTGTATAATGAGTGAAAATCATATTTAAGGTAATTGTTTCCAGAAAGCTGCATTATAACTGCCTGTTAAATGTGCTGTGTTCTTCAGGTGTCAAGACTGGTCCAAATCTTGGGTCAGACTCACATTTGGAGAGTATCGTCTCCATGAGAGTCAGAAGAAAATGGGCAAAGTAATTGAGGAGGCGAGCTACAAGATTTCCGAAGCTGACACTCCTGAAATATAAAGATGAGGACTGAGGGTGGGTGACTAATATCTAGCAAACCTTGTATCAAAAGCAATCATCATTTTAATAACAGATGGCACAAAAAAATCTTTTGAAAACAAATTACGTCATGCTACCCAAGTTAAGGGTAGATGAATATGTGCAGGTGCCTGCTATTGTTAAGGCATAACAACAAAGCTACAATTCATATTGCTTTCCTGAGGTCATGCTTTAACAGTAAATAGCTAAAAGTCCACTGTCTCATACTGCAATATATAGGGTAGCGTTGGTACCCACTAGTTAGTATGTGTGTGGTTCATTAGCCTATACTGAAGGTCTTTGTCCATTTCAGTTTAGCATTTCCCTCATTGTATTCTAAATTCTAAATAAGTTCAAATCACAAAGATTAAAGAATAACAATCATCATGGCTGGGTGTGGTGGTTCACGCCTGTAATCCCAGCACTCTGGGAGGCCGAGGCGGGTGGATCACTTGAGGTCAGGAGTTTGAGACTAGCCCGGCCAACATGGTGAAACCCCATCTCTACTAAAAATACAAAAAAATTAGTCGAGTATGGTGGCGTGTGTCTGTAGTCCCAGCTACTCGGGAGGCTGAGGCAGGAGAATCGTTTGAACCAGGGAGGTGGAGGTCGCAGTGAGCTGAGATCACGCCACTGCACTCCAGCCTGGGCAACTCAGTGAGACTGCCTCTCAAAAAAACAACAACAAAAAAACCCAATCATCAGCTGTCACATCATGTTGAACAACTGGATATCTAGGAACATCTAAAATGGTCAATTTAAGTGAATTAATTTCAACAATTAGTTTTTAAGTTACGTAATGCATTTTTCTAGTTTCCAACCAGATATTTTGCAGCCCGGTCATTTAGCATTTCCTCTGAGCCATCTCAGGCTCACCTGGGTTTAGACTATTCCGGCAAAGAATGGCTCCATAGCTGCTACGGCTTGCTTTATTCATTTTCCAGTTTTTAAAAGTAACTTGTTAGTAAAAGTTTTTGGTTGTGTGCAACAGAAAAAGATTCTGGCTAACTTAAGCAGAAAAGGATTTATTGACAGGTTAAGAGGGGCTCATGAACACAGTGGGAGGACAATGACCAGGCTTGGGAAAGGGCAAGGACCAAGGAAGTCCCAGAGGATGGGACACTGTCAGCAGAGTCACATTACCAACCCCACCCACTCCCCACCCACAGTGCTGCCAGGATGCTAACAATGCCCTCCAAAATATCCACCATTCTTGTAGCACAGCCTCTGGGATCAAAGCCTTGTGGCTTCCGTAAGTGAGAGGTGGATATGAGATGTGGAAGCCAAAAATCGCCTTTCTGGCAGAGGGGAATGGATTATTCCACATAAGAAAACCAGGATGTTAGAAGGAAGTGGGCTGATGCTGGACGTGCAAAACCTAATATACGTCTGCTATAAATAATATGTATAAAGCACAAAAGCACAAAATAATGCATGCTTATTGTGGAAAATACATAGTATAGCGCCTTCCTGTATTTTTTTCTAAAATTGGGATATTGTACATATTCTTTTTATTTTATTTATTTATTTATTTTTGAGACAGGGTCTTATTCTGTTGCCCGGGCTGGAGTGCAGTGGTGCTATCTCGGCTCACTGCAACCTCCACCTCCCAGGGTCAAGCGATTCTCCTACCTCAGCCTCCTGAGTAGCTGGGATTACAGGTGCCCACCACCACACCCAGCTAATTTTTCTATTTTTAGTAGAGATGGGGTTTCACCATGTTGGCCAGGCTGGTCTCGAACTCCTGACCTCAGGTGATCCACCCACCTTGGCCTCCCAAAGTGTTGGGATTACAGGCGTGAGCCACCGTGCCTGGCCATATTCTTTTTTTTAAATTTAATTTAAAGTTCTGGGATACATGTGCAGGACATGCAGGTTTGTTACATAGGTAAACATGTGCCATGGTGGTTTGCTGCACCCATCCACCCATCACCTAGGTATTAAGCCCCACGTGCATCATTAGCTATTTATCCTGATGCTCTCCCTCCTCACCCCGCCAACAGGCCCCAGTGTGTGTTGTTCCCCCTGTGTCCATGTGTTCTCATTGTTCAACTCCCACTTATAAGTGAGAACATGCGGTGTTTGGTTTTCTGTTGCTGTGTTAGTTTGCTGAGGATAATGGCTTCCAGTTTCATCCATGTCCCTGCAAAGGACATGATCTCGTTCATTTTTATGGCTGTATAGTATTCCACGGTGTATATGTACCACGTTTTCTTTATCCAGTCTATCATTGATGGGTATTTGGGTTGATCCTATGTCTTTGCTATTGTGAATAGTGCTGCAATGAACATATGTGTACATGTATCTTTATAATAGAATGATTTATATACCTTTAGGTATATGCCCAGTAATAGGATTGTTGGGTCAAATAGTATTTCTGGTTCTAGGTCTTTGAGGAATTGCCACAGTCTTCCAAAATGGTTGAACTAATTTACATTCCCACCAACAATGTAAAAGCATTCCTATTTCTCCACAGCCTCACCAGCATCTGTTGTTTCTTGACTCACATCTGACTGATGTGAGATGCTATCTTATTGTGGTTTTGATTTGCATTTCTCTAATGATCAGTGATATTGAGCTTTTTTTCATATGTTTGTTGGCCACATAAATGTCTTCTTTTGAGAAGTGTCTGTTCATGTCCTTTGACCACTTTTTAATGGGGTCGTTTGGTTTGGTTTTTACTTGTACATTTATTTAAGTTCCTTATAGATTCTGGATATTAGACCTTTGTCAGTTGGACAGATTGCAAAATTTTTCTCCCATTCCTTAGGATGTTTATTCACTCTGATGGTAGTTTCTTTTGCTGTGCAGAAGCCCGCTAGTTTAATTAGATCCCATTTGTCAATTTTTGCTTTTGTTTCAATTGCTTTTGATGTTTTTGTCATGAATCTTTGCCTGTGCCTATGTCCTGAATGGTATTGCCTAGATTTTATTTTAGGGTTTTTATAGTTTTGGGTTTTATATTTAAGTCTTTAATCCATCTTGAGTTCATTTGTGTATAAGGTGTAGGAAAGGGGTCCAGTGTCAATTTTCTGCATATGGCTAGCCAGTTTTCCCAGCATCATTTATTAAATAGGGAATCCTTTCCTCACTGCTTGTTTTTATCAGGTTGGTTGAAGATCAGATGGTTGCAGATTCTGTTCCATTGGTCTATGTGTCTGTTTTTGTACCAGTACCATGCTGTTTTGGTTACAGTAGCCTTGTAGTATAGTTTGAAGTCAGGTAGCATGATGTCTCCACCTTTGTTCTTTTTGCTTAGGATTATCTTGGCTATACAGGCTCTTTTTTGGTTTCATATGAAATTTAAAGTCTTTTTTTCTAATTCTGTGAAGAATATTAATGGTAGTTTGATGGGAATAGCATTGAACCTATAGATTACTTTGGGCAGTATGGCCATTTTCACCATATTGATTCTTCTTATCCATGAGCATGGAATGTTTTTCCATTTGTTTGTTTCCTTGAGCAGTGGTTTGTAGTTCTCCTGGAAGAGGTCCTTCACTTCTCTTGTTTTGTACATATTCTTTGTAACCACCTTTTAAAATGTTATTTTATTTTTTTTGAGATGGAGTCTTGCTCTATTGCCCAGGCTGGAGTGTAGCCATGTGATCAAGGCTCACTGCATCCTCTACCTCCCCAGCTCAAGCAATCCTCTGCTTCAGAGTAGCTGGGACTACAGGCATGTGCCATCATGCCTGGCTAATTAAAAAAAAAATTATTTTTGGAGAGATAGGGGGTCTCCCTATGTTGCCCAGGCTGGTCTTAAAACTCATGGATTCGAGCAATCCTCCCACCTTGGCCTCCCAAAGTGCTGGGAATACAGGCATGAGCCACTGTGCCCAGGCTATAATCAATTTTTTTTCACCTAACAATATATTGTGATCATTTTCCATATCATTAACTATTCATCTGCAACATGATTTTTAGTGGTGGTATGGAATTTTTTCTCTGTATTTATTTTAAATCACTTAGGTACTTTCTATTTTACTTTTTATCACTGTAAATACTGCTGGGATGAACATATACTTTTTTTTTTCTTTTGCTTAAGTATATTGAAATCTTACCATGCATCAGGCACTACACTAAAGTGTTTTCTACATTATCTCATTTACTTCTCACAATAGCCCTGTAAGGTAAATGCTATTATCATGTCCATGTTACAGATGAGGAGCGTGCTGCATGGAGGCTGGGAACAATTCGCCTAAGATCATGCAGTGCTGATGCCCCTAATTCACCTGAGGGTCACACTGCAAGTAGATGGCAGAACCCGCTTTAGTGTGAACTCAGACTTGTCTAACTGGGGAGCTCGGCTCTGAGCATCTTAACTTCCTTCCCAAGTAGATATTATTGAGTAATCCATGAATATTTCCTTACAATAAGTCAGAAGTGGAATTGAGGGAGTAAAAGCATTTAATACATGCTGTCAACCTGCCCTCCAGAAAGTTTGCACCAATTTACACTGCCCCCAGAAATAGAGTAAAGTACCTATTTTTGCCTGGGCAAGGTGGCTCATGTCTATAATCCCAGCACTTTGGGAGGGTGAAGCTGGAGGATCGCTTGAGCCCAGGAAGTTTGAGATTAGCCTGGGCAATATGGCAAAAACCCGTTTCTACAAAAACTAAAAAATGAGCTGGGCATGCTGGTATGCACCTGTAGTCCCAGCTACTTGGGAGGAGGAGGTGGGGGGATTGCTTGAGCCTGGGACGTCAAGTCTACAGTGAGCCACGATCACGCCACTGCACTCAGCCTGGGTGACAAAGCAAGACCCTGTCTCAAACAAAAATTCAAAAAAAAAAAAAAAAGTGCCTATACTCTTGGCCCATACCTGCTAGGGATTATCTTCATCAGAATCTTTGCCAGTTTAGCTGGTGAAAAAAGCTATCATGGTTTTTAGTTTTCCCATATTTTGTATTATAGTATAATGCTGGCTACCTTTTATGATGGTTTACTGTGTGTTAGGAGAATGTAAACCCTGAGAGGTTTGAGACTGCTGTCTGTTTTGTTCACTGCAGTACCCCCGGCACCTGGCAGAGTATCTGGTACACAGTAGCCACTCAATAAAAATTTGATAAATAATTGAATAAGTGAGTGTGCTGGTCATTGAGGTCAGCACTTTACACAGATAATGTCATTAGTCTTCACAGCACTCCAAGGCCTTAGCTAGTATTCATACCATGTGCGCAGTCCCCTCTGACCCAATGGGCACCCTGAGGGCCTCAATTTGACCCTCAGGTTCAGCTGCTCCAAAGGAGGATTGCCCATCTCCCTTGATTTCCCTATAATCCCCCAAAATGAATTATTTTCAATTTTTAATTTTTTAAATTTTTTGTAGAGATGGAGTCTCACTATGTTGCCCAGGCTGGTCTGAAATTACTGATTCAAGCGATCCTTTCCCCTTGGCCTCCCAAAGTGCTGAGATTACAGCGATGCATCTGGCCAAAATGTACTCTTTGTACAACACATAATCTATATTTCAAGTCAGATCACCCCATTATATATCTACATTTGGTGAAAATATGCCCATCCATTTCCCTATAATGTAATGGCAGAAACACAATTGTTTTATAAGGCTTTTGATTTAATTATTCAAAAAAGCTTCAATTTAAAATTTAGCTTTGTGGGCCAGGCGCGGTGGCTCACACCTGTAATTTCAGCACTTTGAGAGGCAGAGGTGGGTGGATCACGAGGTCAGGAGATCGAGACCATTCTGGCTAACACGGTGAAACCCCATCTCTACTAAAAATACAAAAAATTAGCTGGGCGTGGTGGCACATGCCTGTAATCCCAGCTACTCGGGAGGCTGAGGCAGGAGAATCGCTTGAATCTGGTAGGCAGAGGTTACAGTAAGCCAAGATCGTGCCACTGCACTCCAGCCTGGGCAACAGAGCGAGACTCTGTCTCAAAAAAAAAATGTAGCTCTGTGACTCTGCCCAAGCCTTCAATGCTTTCACAGTGATTTTCTGCTCCTCACTAAGAAAAGCACACTGATCTTGTCACAGATATATTTAGTGCACATCGAAGCACCACGGGCCCTGCTAACATGCTTTTGTTTGTTTTAGACAGCATGTTAAGAATTTTAGGTCTCATGGCATAAACCTCTCCTGGTCGGCCTGAGCACATCCCATACCCAGATTTTGGTGCTGTCTCACTCCTCTTGGTATAAAGCTAAACAATTCCATTACCAGAGGCTCAGGCCAGCCTGGTCTTTTTTGTTTTTGTTTTGTTTTGTTTTGTTTTGTTTGAGACAGGTTCTTGCTCTGTGGCCCAGGCTGGAGTGCAGTGGCACGATCTCAGCTTGCTGCATCTACCTTCCAGGCTCAAGTGATCCTCTCGCCTCCACCTCTTAAGTAGCTGAGACTTCAGGTGATGCCACCACATCCGGCTAATTTTTTGATTTTTTGTAGAGACGAGGTCTCACTATGTTGCTCAGCCTGGTCTTGAATTCTTGGGCTCAAGTGATTGATCTTCCCACCTCGGCCTCCCAAAGTGCTGGGATTACAGGTGTGAGCCACCTCACATGGCCTACCCTAGTCTTATTGGCAGCTATATCGTAGGATAGCCTACAAGGGCATATCAAATGCTGGACCATTTTGAGTGCTTCTAGAAACGGAAAAAGAATCAGAAAACTAATTATATTTATAGAGCTTGGAAAGAGCTCTATTAAAAACATTAACCATAATCCTTTTTTATATATTTTGCAAATATCTTCCATTATTTTCATTTGCTTTTTAATTCTATTTATGGTGTTTTGTTTTAACTTGCAGATGTTTTACCTTTTCTGGTAGTAAAATCTATCAGTTGCTCCTTTATGGCTTCTTTGCTATTGTACATAGAAGGCTTTTCTACCTTAAATTGACTAATAACCCCACATAGTAACTAACCATTTCTCTGTGGAATTCCCTGGAGTCAGAATACAAGCCGTGGCTTTCCAAAGTAAAATCAAGGTGGCGGTGCACAGGACTCCATTTTCACATAAAAGCACCAAATGAGCTTTGCCACTGCTCCAAGGTGATCTCAACCGCCCAGGCCTGGGGTGCCAAGGTGCTTGACTCTGGGTGAGGATATGGGAGTATCAGTTCCATTTCTTCTCCAGGTCCTACAGGCTGGTGCTATACTCTCTGCAAAGCATCCACCACAAATACTATTGCAGACCCTTGGGGGTAAAACGCTGGGTTTTACCTAAACCTATAGGTAATAAGGATGTATGTTTGTGGTAATTAACATGTGTATATTCATTCATACAATTTTCCTCATAAGGCTTCAAAGGACTGGACAACAAAAACTAAATAGCTTCAAAACAGTCTCCTACGGTAGTAGAAAATTAGATAAGGATGGAAAAGAACATTAACAAACTAAACCAAATGTCATTGTAGGTCAAAAACCAGAATTTTCTATGTATATGAGCGAGAATTAGTGAAGACGAAGGAATTTACAACATGCAAATGAGTTAACTGTTAATGAGTAGTAATGAATTCTAAGTATTTATTGAATTCCAATGAATTCCAAGTAAAGGGCCCTGCTTTCAGTCCCTTGTGAGAAAACATGGAGCCTACAAGTGGGAGGATGGCTTTTTTTTTTTTTTTTTTTTGAGATGGAGTCTCGCTCTGTTGCCCAGGCTGGAGTGCAGTGGCCTGATCTCGGCTCACTGCAAGCTCCACCTCCCGGGTTCCCGCCATTCTCCTGCCTCAGCCTCCCGAGTAGCTGGGACTACAGGTGCCTGCCACCACGCCCGGCTAATTTTTTGTATTTTTAGTAGAGACGGGGTTTCACCATGTTAGCCAGGATGGTCTCGATCTCCTGACCTCGTGATCCACCCACCTCGGCCTCCCAAAGTGCTGGGATTACAGGCGTAAGCCACCGCGCCTGGCCGAGGATGGCATTTTTAAAGGCCTTTATTTTGATTCTACATTGAGCTCAGGAATGGTCTGGATACAGTTAAATCTTACAGAAGTAACAGTGAATGTAATATTGTTCCCTGTGCTACATAGTTATCAAAAGCACCTTCAGAACTTATTGCAGCCTCCCTCTGTCATATTAGAAGAAGATATAAAGTTACAACGGCAGCATGAGGGTGTGTGATGACAAGGTGGAATGGTAATTAGTTGCTAATTAGAACTTTCTGAAACATTAGGGTAATCATCATAGGAAAATCCCACTCAATGTTGTATGTAAGTTAAAAATGCCCCAGGGTAGCTATTAATTCCTGAAAATAGCAGCAGGTATGAGCACTTCAGCTGAAGTTAATCAACATTTCTATTACCTACTCGGTTTCTAGAGGTTACAATTTTATATTTTTCATGGTGGAACATCAGTCTGGTATTTATACCCATATTATGTGATTTATAAATTTAAAAACATCTCATTTTATTGTAAAGCTGCTGTCAAGGAGAAAACAGGTTTTAAATAAAATTTGCTTTAATAAACTTTTTTTTTTTTTTTTGAGACAGAGTCTCACTCTGTCGCCCAGGCTGGAGTGCAGTGGCGCGATCTCGGCTCACTGCAAGCTCCGCCTCCTGGGTTCACGCCATTCTCCTGCCTCAGTCTGCCGAGTAGCTGGGACCACAGGCGCCAGCTACCACACCCGGTTAATTTTTTGTATTTTTAGTAGAGATGGGGTTTCACCATGTTAGCCAGGATGGTCTCGATCTCCTGACTTTGTGATCCGCCTGCCTCAGCCTCCCAAAGTGCTAGGATTACAGGCGTGAGTCACCGCGCCCGGCGACATTTTTTTTTTTCATATTGGATGTAGTCCACTTTGTTTTTCCCTTGGAGATATTTTCCTTTTCATCAAGAAAGGTACTTAGGTAACCCACACACATGAAGGCATAAACAGAGCTCAGAGACAAGTCATATGGTCCTTACATGAACCTTTACTTCGTGTTGATACATTTCAGATCTTTAAACCATTAGAGGCCAGGCGTGGTGTCTTACACCTGTAATCCCAGCACTTCGGAAGGCTGAGGCAGGAGGATGGCTTGAGGCCAGGAGTTTGAGATGAGCCTGGGCAAAAAGTAGTGAGACCCTGTCTCTACGAAAAATTTTAAAATTAGCTCAGTGTGGTGGCACACACCTGTTGTCCCAGCTACTCAGGAGGCTGAGGCAGGAGGATCGCTCGAGCCCAGGAGTTCAAGGCTGCAGTGAGCTATGATCGGGCTACTGCCCTTCAGCCTAGGTGACAGGGTAAGACCCTGTCTCTTATTTTTAAAAATGTATATGATCTCTTAGTTTTTGGGTCAGGACTCTGGGAACAGCTTTCCCAGGTGTCTCAGGCTCTAGGTCTCTCATGAGCCTGCAATGAAGCTGTCAGCCAGGTCTGCAGTCTCATCTGAAGACTACACTGGGGGAGGGTCCACTCCTAAGCTCACATACCTGGTTATTTTCAGTCTCAGTAAATACACTTCCAAGCTCACTTACATGTGCCTCTCCACAGGACTCACTAACAAGGTGGCTGGCTCTCCCCAGAGTGAATGATTCCAGAGAAGGCCAGAAAGAGTCACTGCATCTAAAACGGAACCTGCAGTATTTTGTAACCTCATCTCAAAAGTGACAAACCATCACTTCTGTCATAGTCTTGTCTTTAGAAGTCAGTCAATTCAACCCACGTAGAAAAAGGGGATTGCACAGCAATCCCATTACTGGTTATATACCCAGACAAATATAAATCATTCTACCATAAAGACACACGCTTGTGATTGTGAATGTTCACTGCAGCAAAGACACAGAATCAACCTAAAGGCCCAACAATGACAAATTGGATAAAGAAAATGTGCTACATATACAACGTGGAATACTACGCAGCCATAAAAAAGGAGATCATGTCATTTTTGCAGGAACATCGATGGAGCTGGAGGCTATTACCATTAGTAAACTAACTCAGGAACAGAAAACCAAATACTGCATGTTCTCACTTATAAGTGGGAGCTAAATGGTAAGAGTGATGAAGGCAAAGAAGGAAACAACAGACACTGGGGTCTACTTGGGGAGGGAGGGTGGGAGGAGGGAGGAGCAGGAAAGACAACTACTGGGTACTGGGCTTAACACCTAGTGATGAAATAATATACACAACAAACCCCTGTGACATGTTTTTACCTATGTAACAAACCTGTGTATCTACCCCCAAACCTAAAATAAAAGTTAAAAAAAGGAGGGGATTATACAAAGGTGTTAATACAAGGAGCCAGGGATGCTAGGGGGTCATCTTAGAGGCTGCCTACCACAACTGGTAACTGGTATTTTAAAAATTTTATCTACTGATGTATCAATCTATCTATCTACCTATCTATCATCTATCTATCTGTCTCTCTGTCATCTATCTAGTCTCTGTCTGCCTGTCCTTCCTATCTATCTATCTATCTATCTATCTATCTATCTATCTATCTATCTATCTATCTATCAGTCTTGCTCTGTTGCCTAGGCTCTAGAGAGCAGTGGTGTGGTCACAACTCACTGCAGCCTCGACCTCCCAGGCTGAAGTGATCCTCCCACTTCAGCCTCCCACCAAAGTAGCTGGGACTACAGGTCTGCATTACCATACCTGGCTGGGCTTTTGTTTGTTTGTTTTGTTTTGTTTGTAGAGACCCTGTCTCTACTCACTGTGTTGCCTATGATGGCCTCAAACTCCTGGTCTCAAGTGAGACTCTTGCCTCTGCTTCCCAAAGTGCTGGGATTACAGGTGTGAGCTACCACACCCAACCTTTTAAGTTAGTTTTAATTTTTGTCATTTGGAACAAAAGTGGTCCTGACTAATATATCCAGATGTCATGAATCTAGCCCCAAATAGTCTAGCTTCCCTTAATAAAGCCATCATAACAATGCCTTTTATAAAAGTATCTAAATATGTTGAGTACATTCATATTTTTCAGCCTTATTAGTTTAACACTTAGAAAACTCACACCCTATTGTGTGAACTACTACAGAAAATACTTTCTTGTTCCATTTAAGTTCCCCAAGAGCAAAGAGAAATGCCTTAAGTATTATAATGCTTCTCAACATGTCACATAGTATCTGGTCACACAGTGGATTCTCAACAAAGGCATTTTTTTTTTTTTTTTAAAGATAGGGTCTCACTCTGTAGCCCAGGCTGAAGTGCAGTGGTGCAATTTTGGGAGGGAGGTGGGGGGCAGCCCCCGCCTGGCAGGAGGGAGGTGGGGGGCAGCCCCCGCCCGGCCAGCCGCCCCGTCCTGGAGGGAGGTGGGGGGCGCCTCCGCCCGGCCACTGCCCCGTCTGCGAGGTGGGGGGCGCCTCTGCCCGGCCGCTCCGTCTGGGAAGTGAGGAGCCCCTCTGCCCGGCCGCCACCCTGTCTGGGAGGTGTACCCAACAGCTCATTGAGAACGGGCCATGATGATGATGGCGGTTTTGTCGAATAGAAAAGGGGGAAATGTGGGGAAAAGAGAGAGATCAGATTGTTACTGTGTCTGTGTAGAAAGAAGTAGACATGGGAGACTCCATTTTGTTCTGTACTAAGAAAAATTCTTCTGCCTTGGGATACTGTTAATCTATAACCTTACCCCCAACCTCGTGCTCTCTGAAACATGTGCTGTGTCCACTCAGGGTTAAATGGATTAAGGGCGGTGCAAGATGTACTTTGTTAAACAGATGCTTGAAGGCAGCAGGCTCCTTAAGAGTCATCACCACTCCCTAATCTCAAGTACCCAGGGACGCAAACACTGCGGAAGGCCGCAGGGTCCTCTGCCTAGGAAAACCAGAGACCCTTGTTCACATGTTTATCTGCTGACCTTCCCTCCACTATTGTCCTATGACCCTGCCAAATCCCCCTCTCCGAGAAACACCCAAGAATGATCAATAAATACTAAAAAATAAAAAAATAAAAAAATAAAAAAATAAAGATAGGGTCTCACTCTGTAGCCCAGGCTGAAGTGCAGTGGTACAACTTTGGTTCACTGCAGCCTTGACCTTCCAGGGCTCAGGCAATCTTCCCACCTTAGCCTCCCAAGTAGCTAAGGCAACAGGCACATTCTACCATGCCCGGCTAATTTTTGTATTTTTGCTGAGATGGGGTTTTGCCATGTTGCCCAGGCTGGTCTTGAACTCCTAGGCTTAAACGATCCTCTCACCTCAGCCTCCCAAAGTGCTGGGACTACTGGTGTGAGCCACCCCGCCTGGCCTATGGATCTTCTAAGTATAAGTTAGATGATTTTTCCCTAAATTCAGTATCTTCTTTTTGCTGATGTGTGCAATATTTTCTGCCTATTCACATAGCCTCACACTAACTTTAGGTTATTCTCATATAGTGGGGATTTTCATGATCAGAAGAACTTAATGTCACTGTACCTACCCACCTTCAATAATTCATAAAAATAGTAAACAAGGATACTCATAGGGGAATGCCAATGTTTACACTCCTTCCTCCAAGAAGTGCCTTTTCCTGAACCATTGTTTCTTGTCTCTAAGCAACTTCCTCATGCATTGCACCAGTCTCCATCATACCATGATGATTCAATTTTTAAAACAGTCTTTTGTGTGGAGCTTTGTGAAAGGCTTTTTGCAAATCTAAATAGATGCCATTCATGAGCTTTTGTCCCTATGCATATGTGCCTCCTAAAAGAGCTTTAATAGGTGGATGATGCCAATTTCCTCTCATTGAAACCATACGTTCTCCTCCAGCTCCTTCCTTGACTCTGGCAGTCATATTGGCATGCAATTATCTTTTGGAGGAGTAGGGCTCACAGCCCTTCCCTGTTGATCTGCTTTGATTGGGTCTTTAATTGGGTCTAAATTGGGTGAGATATTGTAGAAGAATGCAGGGTTAAGATCGCCAAAATCTAACTACCCTAAAAGAGACTAATCACTATGGTTAAGATAGCATGCTGAGATCAGAAACAGGGAAATATGGACGTATGTGTGGTAAATATGGGCAGAGAAAAGGAAGTAAGGTTAGAAATACAGGAAGTTGGTGGTTGTCAGTCAAGGGTCAGGAACGTTTTAGGGTCATGCCCTTTAAGAATCTGACACTGTTCTCCATTTCCCTTTTCTTTAAATTCTCTCCTCCTTCGATTCCCTCAATGCTGTGCTCTCAACCTAGCTTGGTAGATGTTCCTGCTCAGACTCCTTTCCTGGAAGCTCTTCTTCCTGTCTCTTTAATGTGGTTTTTTTCCAGGTTCCATCCTTGGCTTTATCTTGTCTCCCTCTATAGGTTCTCCACTGTCAATTTCATACATTCCTATGGATTTAGGTAAACATAGATTAATAGAATAAAAATGGGAATTTGAGCTTTAGGTAAGTCCATTCATCTGCCTAGTGTAGATTTCCACACTGATATCCCAGACACTCCAATCTTAACATGTCCAAAAATCAAAGGCATCATCTTTATATAAGCTAAGGACTTCTTCATTTTATGTGACAAAAAACCCTTATTTCATGGGCTCTAAGGAGAAGCCAAATAGCACAGGGATAGAGCTAGATTCAGAAACAACTCGAACCAAGACCTGGAAATTGCAATGATTTATTTCTCTTTTTTTTTTTTTTTTTTTTTTTTTTGAGACAGAGTTGCTCTGTCATCCAGACTGGAGTGCAGTGGCATGATCTTGGCTCACTGCAACCTCCACCTCCTGGGTTCAAGGAATTCTCATGCCTCAGCCTCCTGAGTAGCTGGGACTACAGGAGGGCGCCCCCACACCTGGCTAATTTTTGTATTTTTAGTAGAAAAGGGGTTTTGCCGTGTTGGCCAGGCTGGTCTCAAACTCCTGACCACAAGCGACCCGCCCACCTCGAACTCCCAAGGTGCTGGGATTACCAGTGTGCACTGCCACGCCGGGCCCATTTCTCCAAATTATACATCAACTTTCCTCTGAATGTCTGTTTCTTTCTCCCTTTGTTGCAGATTGATGATTTCTGCTGCTCGGCCTATGTGGTGGAAAACACAAAGATCTCCATGTTTCTGCTTTAGTCACCCAGAGTGAGA
Source organism: Homo sapiens (assembly GCF_000001405.40). Classification (NCBI taxonomy): domain Eukaryota; kingdom Metazoa; phylum Chordata; class Mammalia; order Primates; family Hominidae; genus Homo; species Homo sapiens. The sequence goes on along the minus strand of NC_000010.11, from coordinate 31,976,552 downwards.
CTAGTTTGATTCTGGGTCCTAAAACTCACTGGCCCAGCCATGTTCAAGGTGTCCAGCCATGGATCAATCAACTTTGGCCTCAGATACAGTGTATGCAACTTGAAGTTGCTTCATAGCTCACTGATGCTTTGCCTTCAACCTTTTTTCACTGTTTCATTTTAGATAGTTTTTATTGCTACATATTCAACTATACTACTCATTTCTTCTGCATTGTCTAAACTCCTGTCAATCTCAATCCCATCCAGTGTATTTTTCTCTCCCTTTTTTTTTTTTTTTTAGAGACAAGGTCTCACTCTGTGGTCCAGGCTAGGGTGCAGTGGTACTTTCATAGCTTACTGCAGCCTCAAACTTCTGAGCTCAAGCAATCCTCCTGCTTCAGGCGTCTGACTAGCTGGGACTACAGGTGGGTGACACCACACCTGGCTAGTTCCTCGTATTTTTTGTGAAAACGGCATCTCACTATGTTGCCCAGGTTGGCCTTGAACTCCTGGCCTCAAGTGATTCTCCAGCCTTGGCCTCCCAATTTGCTGGGATTACAGTTATGATGCCTGGTCCCAGCATATTTTTCACTGTAGATATTGCATTTTTCATATCTAGATGTTCAATTTGCTCAGTCTTTTCTGTAGACTTTAAACATGGAATATAGTTATAATAACTGTTTTTAATGACTTTGTCTATTAATTCTTTGACTAATGTGCATGCATTTCTGGGTTGTTTCTATACATTGATTTTTCTCATTATTGATTGTATTTTCTTTGTTTGCAGCCTAGAAATTTTTTATTGGATGCTAGACACTGTGAATTTCACATCCTTAAGTGTTAGTCTTCTATTCCTGTAAACATTTTCTTGAGCTTTATTCTGGGAAGCAGTTAAATTGTTTGGAAACAGTTTAATCTTTTTGAAGCTTCTCCTAAGCTTTGCTAGGCAAGATGAAAGCAGCCTTTATTCTAGACCACAGAGGAAATGCTCTTTAGAGTACTCTACCTGATACCCTGTGAATTACAAGGTTTTTCATTCAAGGATTATTCCCTCTGCTCTGATCTCATGGTTCTTTCTTGAGTCTTGAGTAGTTTCTGCACGCTCATGCGTGGATTAGTACTCAGCTGAAAACCTGAGGGCCCCGATCTCTGGAGCTCTCTCTCTGTGCCGCAGTCTCCCCTCTGGAACTCTGCCCTGTGAACTCAAGATGCCATGGCCTGCCTGGGCCCCCAGGCTCCACCCACGTTTCCCCTCTCTAAATGCTCTCTCCATGCAATGAGCTCAGGTAATCACAGGCCTCACCTCATTTGTTTTCCCTCTCTCAGGAATCATTGTTCTCTGCTGCCTGGTGTGCAGTGTCTGAAATCTGTTGTTTTACGTATTTTGTTTGTTTTTTCTGTCCTTTCACATGGGAGGCTGAATCCAGTCCCTGTCACTCCACCTTGGCCAGAAGTGGAAGTCCAATTGTCTTCAGGAACTATTTGCAGTTATTTAAACTCTGGGCTCTTGCATGTCTCTGCACTTTTATGTCAGTTTGACGTTTTTCCCTTCCACCCTGTCTGCCTGGCAAGACTCAGTTCAAGCATTATCTCCTCCCAAACCTGCCCAGCACTCATCCCACGTCAGCATCCCCTCTCCATGCTCCCTGACATCATATCCACAGTGTGGAGCTTGGTTCCCCTCACTGAACTCTAAGGCCTGTGTGCAAAGATCATGGCTTATTTATCATTTTTAAAATTGAAAAATAATGATATACATTTTTATGGGATACATAGTGACGTTTCATACATATAACGTATGGCAACCAGTAAGGGTAATTAGCATATCCATCATCTGAAACATTTAGCATTTCTTCAGTGGTTTTGTTTTGTTTTTTTCAGACAGAGTCTTGCTCTGTCACCCAGGCTGGACTGCAGTGATGTGATCATGACTCACTGCAGCCTTGACCTCCTGGGCTCAAGCCATCTCCCACCTTAGCCCCCAGAGTAGCTGGGACTACAGGCATATGCCACCATGCTGGCTAATGTGTGTGAGTGTGTGTGTGTGTGTGTGTGTGTGTGTGTGTATGTGTGTGTGTGTGGAGACAGGGTCTCCCTATATTGCCTAGGCTGGTCTCAAACTCCTGGGCTCAAGCCATCCTCCCTCGCTGGCCTCCCAAAGTGGGATTACAGGTGTGAGCCAACGTGCCTAGCCTATCTTTGTTTTCAGACAGAGTTTTGCCCTTGTCACCCAGGCTTCAGTGCAGTGGCACGATCCAGCTCACTGCAACCTCTGCCTCCCAGGTTCAAGCGATTCTCCTGCCTCAGCCTCCCGAGTAGCTGGGATTACAGGTGCCTGCCACCACATCCAGCTAATTTTTTGTATTTTGAGTAGAGACAGGGTTTCACCATGTTGGCCTTGCTGGTCTCGAACTCCTGACCTCAGGTGATCCACCTGCCTCGGCCTCCCAAAGTGCTGGGATTACAGGTGTGAGCCACCACGCCTGGTCCCTATCATTTTTTTATACTGGGAACATTTGACATCCTCCTTTTAGCTTTTGAGGTTTATTCATCTTTGATTTCTGAACCTAGCACAGCAACTGAAACAGTAGCTACCCATCATATCCTTGTTGAAATGAATTGTTTCTTATATTTCAGTGGACTATTTAAAGTGAAACATTGGGTTGGGCACTGTAGCTCACACCTGTAATCCCAGTGCTTTGGGAGGCCAAAGCAGGAGAATCACTTGAGCCCAGGAGTTTGAGGCTGCAGTGAGCTATGATTGTGCCACTGCACTCCAGCCTGGGCAACAGAGTGAAACCCAGTCTGAAACAAAACAAAACAAAATCAAGTGAAACACTGTATATAATTACCCCGAAACAGAGAATAATCTTCACTGTTTATTCCAGAGTATTTTATAAACTGTTACCTGCAAAAATGGGCTGGAACTTAAACACTTATGTATTCTCAAGTTCTGATATTGCATTTCTTTGAATCAAGTATGTCATTTAGCAAAATTTTCTGAGGCGATTCTCAACAAAGTGGTTGTGTTAGAAGTATGTATGTTTGTAGCCTTCCCTTTAGAAGGGTTCTGGATTTTGGGGGCATATTTCTATGTAGTTTGGTTTGGTTACTTATGAGAAGCATGAAATCTTTTCAAATATTTACAACTCATGCTGTGCAGAATGCAACTGCAAAGTGCCAAGCAAACAACCTCATGTAGTGAAACCCTTCCTTGACTCAATAGCCAGGTATGGTGGCACACGTCTGTAATCCCAGCTACTCAGGAGGCTGAGGCACAAGAATCACTTGAACCCAGGAGGTGGAGGTTGCAGTGGTTTGAGATTGCACCAGTGCACTCCAGCCTGGGTGACAGAGTGAGACTCTGTCTCACGAAAAAAAAAAAAACATACAAAGTCACACTGTAATCTCTAGCACGGCATTATATCACATGTAGGTTTAATAAACTGTTCAGGGGAAACAGATGCCAAACTTTGAGGCTGGGCATGGTGGCTCACACCTGTAATCCCAGCAATTTGGGAGTCCAAGGCAGGAGGATTTCTTGAAGCCAGGAGTTCCAGACCAGCCTGGGCAACATAGTGAAGACCCCGTCTCTAAAACAAAATACAAAAATTAGCCAGCATGGAAGTACATGCCTGTAGTCCCTGCTGCTCAGGAGTCTAAGGCGGGAGGATTGCTTAAGCCCAGTAGTTTGAGGCTGCGGTGAGCTATGATTACACCACCGAACTCTAGCCGGGTGACAAAGCAAGACCTCTGTGGAGTCCTAATTAGGGAAAAGGAATCAAGCTGGCAGGACCAGGGGAAAGCAAAAAGAAGCAGCAGATAAGCTATCAGTCTGCCTTTCTTCATGGTCCAGGACACGTAGCCCTCCTGTGCAAATAACTCACAATCTCCCTGCACCCAACTATCAGAAACCTGCAAGTTAGCTCACCGCAACCTTGGTGTTATCACTACTGCACAGAGCCTTCCTCAGCATACAGCATACGCACTATTCTATACTATCCCCAGCATGCCTTTGTCTCTTGGAAGTCATCGGCTCCTTTGGGCTGGCCTGCCTGTTGCTCTCTTGCCGTGTATTTTCATACTTTCTTTAATAAATTTGCCTTTCTTTACCTACAACTGTCTTGGTAAATAAATTTTTCGTAACACCCACACCACCAGCTCAGATAGTTGCTGCTCACCGGTGACAACCCCGCTTCAAAAAATAAAATAAAATCAACTTTTACATGAAATTTGCTAGGAATGAGACCTGTGAGACTCCATCATGGGTCCTTTGTGGACTATACATGCTCTTATGCTAACATGTTTCCCCTCTCACCACATCACTGGGACACTCTGTGTCTCGCCTCAGCCTCCCAAAGTGCTGGGATTACAGGTGTGAGCCACCACACCCAGCCTAAAAGTTTGACATCTGTTTTTCCTGAGCAGGTTATTAAACCTACGTGTGATATGATGTGGTGCTACAGATTTCAGTGGGACTTCATGGCTTTTTTTTTTTCTGTACTTAAACCTACTTGAGGCCTCAATGCTTTCTTTTTTTTAACCTGTATAAAAAACTGACATAAATAGGTAAATAGGGCATGTTAATTATAGAAAAAACATTGTGTGTGTGTGTGTGTGCACACATGAGTAAATGAGTAAATATCACTTGCAATTAAACCACTCAGAGTGTCATTATAGCCTTTCGGTGTGTATCTTTCCTGCTACATATATACACACACACACACACATGTTATGTAGCAGGTACAATATGGTATAGAATATGAACTCATGAATTGATTCATGAATATAATATGATTCATGAATTCATATTCTATACCATATTGTACCTGCTACTTTTTGTAATCTGCTTTCCCTCATCATATCTTTCTAAGTCAACTAATATCTTTTTTTTTTTTTTTGAGTATTTATTTATTTATTTATTTATTTATTTTTTTCTTTTTTTTTTTTATTTTTTATTTTTATTGATCATTCTTGGGTGTTTCTCGCAGAGGGGGATTTGGCAGGGTCATAGGACAATAGTGGAGGGAAGGTCAGCAGATAAACAAGTGAACAAAGGTCTCTGGTTTTCCTAGGCAGAGGACCCTGCGGCCTTCCGCAGCGTTTGTGTCCCTGGGTACTTAAGATTAGGGAGTGGTGATGACTCTCAACGAGCATGCTGCCCTCAAGCATCTGTTCAACAAAGCACATCTTGCACCGCCCTTAATCCATCTAACCCTGAGTGGACACAGCACATGTCTCAGAGAGCACAGGGTTGGGGATAAGGTCACAGATCAACAGGATCCCAAGGCAGAAGAATTTTTCTTAGTACAGAACAAAATGAAAAGTCTCCCATGTCTACTTCTATCCACACAGACCCAGCAACCATCCGATTTCTCAATTTTTTCCCCACCCTTCCCGCCTTTCTATTCCACAAAACCGCCATTGTCATCATGGCCCATCCCCAATGAGCCGCTGGGCACACCTCCCAGACGGGGTCGTGGCCGGGCAGAGGGGCTCCTCACTTCCCAGTAGGGGCGGCCCGGCAGAAGTGCCCCTCACCTCCCAGATGGGGCGGCTGGCCGGGCGGGGGGCTGACCCCCCCACCGCCCTCCCGGACGGGGCGGCTGGCCAGGCAGAGGGGCTCCTCACTTCCCAGTAGGGGCGGCCGGGCAGAGGCGCCCCTCACCTCCTGGATAGGGCGGCTGGCCGGGCGGGGGGCTGTTCCCCCCACCTCCCTCCCGGACGGGGCGGCTGGCCGGGCAGAGGGGTCCTCACTTCCCAGTAGGGGCGGCCGGGCAGAGGCGCCCCTCACCTCCCGGACGGGGCGGCTGGCCAGGCAGGGGGCTGATCCCCCCACCTCCCTCCCGGACGGGGCGGCTGGCCGGGCGGGGGGCTGACCCCCCCCACCTCCCTCCCGGACGGGGCGGCTGGCCGGGCAGAGGGGTCCTCACTTCCCAGTAGGGGCGGCCGGGCAGAGGCGCCCCTCACCTCCCGGACGGGGCGGCTGGCCAGGCAGGGGGCTGATCCCCCCACCTCCCTCCCGGACGGGGCGGCTGGCCGGGCGGGGGGCTGACCCCCCCCACCTCCCTCCCGGACGGGGCGGCTGGCCGGGCAGGGGGCTGACCCCCCCTCCCCCCTCCCGGACGGGGCGGCTGGCCGGGCGGGGGGCTGACCCCCCCACCTCCCTCCCGGATGGGGCGGCTGGCCAGGCGGGGGGCTGACCCCCCCACCTCCCTCCTGGGCGGGGCGGCTGGCCGGGCAGAGGGGCTCCTCACTTCCCAGTAGGGGCGGCCGGGCAGAGGCGCCCCTCACCTCCCGGACGGGGCGGCTGGCCAGGCGGGGGGCTGACCCCCCACCTCCCTCCCGGACTGGGCGGCTGGCCGGGCGGGGGGTTGACCCCCCCACCTCCCTCCTGGACGGGGCGACTGGCCGGGCAGAGGGGCTCCTCACTTCCCAGTAGGGGCGGCCGGGCAGAGGAGCCCCTCACCTCCCGGCCGGGGCGGCTGGCCGACCCCCCCCCCCCCCCCCCCCCCCCCCCCCCGGCCTCCCTCCCGGACGGGGCGGCTGGCCGGGCAGAGGGGCTCCTCACTTCCCAGTAGGGGCGGGACGGGGCGGCTGGCCGGGCGGGGGGCTGACCCCCCCCACCTCCCTCCCGGACGGGGTGGCTGCCGGGCGGAGACGCTCCTCACTTCCCAGACGGGGTGGTTGCCAGACGGAGGGGCTCCTCACTTCTCAGACGGGGCGGTTGCCAGGCAGAGGGTTTCCTCACTTCTCAGACGGAGCGGCCGGGCAGAGACACTCCTCACCTCCCAGACAGGGTTGCGGCCCAGCAGAGGCGCTCCTCACATCCCAGACAGGGCGGTGGGGCAGAGGTGCTCCCCACATCTCAGACGATGGGCGGCCGGGCAGAGACGCTCCTCACTTCCTAGATGGGATGGCGGCGGGGAAGAGGCGCTTCTCGCTTCCTAGATGGGATGGCGGCCGGGCAGAGACGCTCCTCACTTTCCACACTGGGCAGCCAGGCAGAGGGGCTCCTCATATCCCAGACGATGGGTGGCCAAGCAGAGACGCTCCTCACTTCCCAGACGGGGTGGCGGCCGGGCAGAGGCTGCAATCTCGGCTCTTTGGGAGGCCAAGGCAGGCGGCTGGGAGGTGGTTGTAGCGAGCCGAGATCACGCCACTGCACTCCAGCCTGGGCACCATTGAGCACTGAGTGAACGAGACTCCATCTGCAATCCCGGCACCTCGGGAGGCCGAGGCTGGCGGATCACTCGCGGTTAGGAGCTGGAGACCAGCCCGGCCAACACAGCGAAACCCCATCTCCACCAAAAAAAAACGAAAACCAGTCAGGCGTGGCGGCGCGCGCCTGCAATCGCAGGCACTCGGCAGGCTGAGGCAGGAGAATCAGGCAGGGAGGTTGCAGTGAGCCGAGATGGCAGCAGTACCGTCCAGCTTTGGCTCGGCATGAGAGGGAGAGGGAGACGGGAGAGGGAGAGGGAGACGGGAGAGGGAGAGGGAGACGGGAGAGGGAGAGGGAGACGGGAGAGGGAGAGGGAGACGGGAGAGGGAGAGGGAGACGGGAGAGGGAGAGGGAGACGGGAGAGGGAGAGGGAGACGGGAGAGGGCAACTAATATCTTTTCTAATTTCCCAAAGCGGTAACATGTAAAATGAAATCGTTCACAAACATTACTATTACAGTCCCTCTCTCTCTCTTTCGTTCTAGAGTATCAGCTTTTTATAGAGAACTATTGAAGACATAATGCCTAAGAAAAGTGAATTACTGTCAAGTGCTGGAATTTTAGGCATAGTGAGATGCATATTCTAAGTGCTTCTAAGTGCTATATTCATATCATTCATGCATAAGTTTAGCTCTGCCATATTGTGAATAACAATAACAATATCACTAAACAGGAAAAGTAGGACTAGAGGAGACCATTTAAAAATTCCAAATGTAATGTTTCAATATATCCTAAAAGACAGCTATTTTTAGCGACAGCAATGAGACCTGGGAAGATTTACTCCCAAAATGAGAAAAAACCCATGATTTGATACCTTGAACATATTCCAACAACCTACTGAAGATCAATTTATCTAATTTCATTTTATATTTTGATGTTGTGTTAAGACAGTTGACAACCAATTTCTTTCCCCTTGTTAACTGAAAATATCATACTTTGAAACAGTCCAATCTAGGCTGGCAAAAACATATATATATATATATATATATATATATATATAAAACATATTATCTATCTATCTATCTATCTATCTATCTATCTATCTATCTATCTAAATATATTTGAGACAGTGTCTCAGTGTCCACATTGCCTAGGCTGGAGTACAGTGGTACAATCTCGGCTCACTGCAACCTCCGCCTCCTGGGCCCAAATGATCCTCCCATCTCAGCCTCCTGAGTAGCTGGGACTACAGGTGCACGCCACCATGCCCGGCTAATTTTTGTATTTTTTGGTAGATGGTGTTTCACCATGTTGATCAGGTTGGTCTCGAACTCCTGACCTCAAGTGATCCACCCACCTTGGCCTCTCAAAGTGCTGGGATTACAGGCAGGCATGAGCCACCATGCCCGGCTGAGGCTGGCAAAATACTAATGTTCCGATTTCTTTAGAACGATATAGTTAAGTTCCATGATGGCAGGAATGATGTCTACCTCTAGTGTCTAGCACAGTACCTTGCAAAGAGAATAGGCGCACAATACATATTTATAGACTTTATCAAGTGACAATACGTTTGGAAGCGATTAAGTATAATTGAGTAATAATCAATATTTGTATTCAAAAACAAAGTATCATCTAAACATTAATTTCTTTTTTACCTTTATGTTTTAGAAATGACATTGATATACAAACATGCATATGCACTCCCCCCTCAACACACACACCAGGGTTTCTCAACCTTACCACTAGTAACATTCTCTGTTGTGTGGGACAATTCCACTAGCACCTCTCTTCTCCAAATTGTGATGATCAAAAAGATTTCCAGGCCAGGTACAGTGGCTGGCATGTGTAATCCCAGCATTTTGGGAGGCCAAGGCAGGAGGATCACTGGAGCCCAGGAGTTCGAAATCATCATCCTGGGTGACATGGTGAAACCCTGTCTCTACCAGAAAATACAAAAATTAGCTGGGCGTGATGGTGTGTGCCTGTAATCCCAGCTACTCGGGAGGCTGAGGTTGGGGGGATCACTTGAGCCCAGGAGACTGTGGCTGCAGTAAGCCATGATTGTGCCACTGCACTCCAGCCTGGGTGATGGAGTGAGACCTTGTCTCAAAATAAAAGTTTGCAGACATTGCCAAATATCCCCTGGGTGGAAGTGGGGGGAAGAGGATTGCTCCTAGTTGAGAAATACACACACACACACACACACACACACACACACACACACACACGAAGTCAAAACTCTTAAGAAACAATTATAAGAATTCTTTAAGAAGATCTGTCATTCAAATGATAGATTACTACTAACACATCAATTCAAAGGAGAGATTGGTTTAAGAAGAAGGAATACTGGCTGGGCGTGGTGGCTCACCCCTGTAATCCTAGCACTTTGAGAGGCTGAGATGGGTGGATCACTTGAGTGCAGGAGTTTGAGACCGGTCTGGGCAACATGGTGAAACCCCGTCTCTACAAAAAATATAAAAATTATCCAGGTGTGGTGGTGCATGCTGGTAGTCTCAGCTACTCGGGAGGCTGAGGCAAGAGGATTGCTTAAGCCCATGAACATGAGGCTGCAGTGAGCTATGATTGGACTGCTGCACTCTAGCATAGGTGACAAAGCAAGACTGTAAAAAAAAAAAAAAATAAGTAGGAATGTGCAGAAAATGCAATTTGCAGAAAAATGGCTGGTTATCTTGATATTAACTGATTTCTGGAAAAAAAGAACCACTAATACTATGTAAAAAACACCCCCTTTGAAATGGTCTTCCATTCATTTTATTCAGCCTGTTATTTATCTACTTCAATTTTAAGAAAAACACCATCTGAAATCAAACTGGCACCAATATCCTAGTGATTAAAATGATTACATTTAAATTCCTTCAAATTGATTCCTTAAAAATTAATTCTTATTTTCTCATTTTCTTAACCATGCAGCATTAATTCTCAATAATCACCATAGGGACTCTTCTGGCTCTGCTGATGACAAGTTTTATGATCTTGGGCAAGTGGTTTATCTATTAGGGCCTCCATTTCTTCATCTGCAAAATGGAGATAATATGAATATGTACACCTAGATGTGTTGTCAGATTAGAAAGAATTACCACAAGTAAAGTGCTTAGAACAGCAACTCACACTCAGAAAACACCCAACGAATGCTAACGATAGTTATTTATTTATTTAGAGACAGGGGTCTCACTATGTTGCTCAAGCTGGACTTGAACTCCTGGGCTCAAGTGATCCTCAACCTCCTGAGTCGTGGGACTACAGGGATGCACCACCACACCCGGCTGACAGTTGTTATTCACATTTACCAATTTGCAACCAGTTTTTCACATCAGATAATCCATCCTTCTTCTTCCTTGCCATATATGATTTTTGGCTAATTAATTCCACTGAAATATACTAAGCAAAGTAAGCAAATTTCAAGATAAGATTATATAAAATATAATTGAGGAGACACAGCTGTCTCACTATTTTATTAATGCTAATATTCTTCTCTATAACTATGAATAGAAAAATAAAGAATTTTTTTTTTTTGAGATGGAGTCTCACTCTGTCTCCCAGGCTGGAGTGCAGTGGCACGATCTCAGCTCACTGCAAGCTCCGCCTCCCGGGTTCACGCCATTCTCCTGCCTCAGCCTCCCGAGTAGCTGGGGCTACAGATGCCCGCCACCACGCCTGGCTAATTTTTGTATTTTTAGTAGAGATGGGGTTTCATCATGTTAGCCAGGATGGTCTCGATCTCCTGACCTCGTGATCTGCCCACCTCGGCCTCCCAAAGTGCTGGGATTACAGGCGTGAGCCACCGTGCCTGGACAAGAATTCTTTTTAAAATGTTTCTAATTTTTAATTTTAATTTTTAGAGACAAGGTCTCACTCTGTCACCCAGGCTGGACAACATTGGTGCAATCCTAGCTCACTGCAGCCTCAAACTCCTGGGCCCAAGTGACCCTCCTACCTCAGCCTCCTGAGTAGCTAGGATTACAAGCACATGCTATCATGCACAGCTAATTAAAAAAAATGTTTTTTGCAGAGACGGGGTCTCACTATGTTGCCCAGGGGGATCTTGAACTCCTAGTCTCAAGTGATCCGCCTGTCTTGGCCTCTCAAAGTGTTGGGATTATAGGTGTGTACCATCATGCCCAGCCCAAGAATTCTTGAGAAAAGAACAACAGTGACTTTAATAAATTCTCAATATTTTTCCTCAAGTTAAAAATCAATTTTAAATTTATTTTTCAGGTACAATTTTTTTTCTATGTAAATCAAGTCAACAGGAATAATGATTACTTACATAGATAGCATTTACTCTCTGCCAGGCACTGTTCAAAACAAATTATTTAATCCTCAAACAACCCTATAAGATAGGTAATTTTATTATTTCTATTTTAAAGATGAGGAGCTGTGGCCAGAGAGGTTGCATAACTTGCTCAAGGACATTCAGCTAATAAGTGGTAAAATTTAGATAAGAGCCACAGTCTGGCTCCAGGGTCCATGTGCATAAGATTATATGATTGTAAAACAATAGCTAGATCAAAAACACAGACATTGGGCTAAAAGCTTTAATAAATTCTCAATATTATTCCTCAAGTTACAAATTCATCTTAAATGTATTTTTCAGGTACGATTTTTTTTTCTGTGTAAATCAAGTCAACAACAGGAATAACGAGTACTTACATAGATGACATTTACTCACTGCTTGGAGAGGAAATCCTGGATTTACTCTGTCGCCCAGGCTGGGGTGCAGTGGCGCAATCTCGGCTCACTGCAAACTCCGCCTACCAGGTTCAAGCAATTTCCCGCCTCAGCCTTCTGAGTATCCAGGATTACAGGCATCCGCCACCATACCTGGCTAATTTTTGTATTTTTAGTAGAGACAGGGTTTCACCCCGTTGCCCAGACTGGTCTCAAACTCCTGGGCTAAAGTGATCTGCCCGCCTTGGCCTCCCAAAGTGCTGGGATTATAGGCATGAGCCACCACACGTGGCCCAGCTCCAGAATTTCTGCTTGAGTCTTTTAAATTATCTCAATCTCTTTGTTAAATTAATCTGATAGAATTCTGAATCCCTTCTCTGGGTTACCTTGAATTTCTTTGAGTTTCCTCAAAACAGTTATTTTGAATTCTTTGTCTGGAAGGTCATATATCTGTTTCTCCAGGATTGGCCCCTGGTGTCTTATTTCATTCACTTGGTGAGGGCCTATTTTCCTGGATTGTCTTAATACTTTCAGATGTTTGTTTGTGTCTGGGCATTGCAGAATTAGGTATTTATTGCAGTCTTCACTGTCTGAGCTTGTTTGTACCCGTGCTTCTTGGGAAGGCTTTCCAGATAATTGAAAGAACTTGGGTGCTGTGATCTAAGCTGTATCTGCTTTAGGGACAATATAAGTTCAGTAACACTATGATTCTTGCAGACTTGTAGAGTTACTACCTGATGTTCTTGGATAAGATTTACCAGGCAGAGACTCTTGTTCTCTCCCTTTACTTTCTCCCAGACAAGCAGAGTGTCTCTCTATTCTGAGCCATCTGAAGCTTGGGGTGGACTAATACAAGCACCTCTGTGGCCATCAGGTATGACTGTGCTGGATTAGAGCTAAAGCCAGCACAGCACTGAGTCTTTCCTAAGGCCTGCTGTAACCATTCCGTGGCTATGGCCTATGTTCACTCACAGCCTGGGGCTCTACAATCAGCATGTGGGAAAGCCAGCCAGGCCTGTGTCTCTCCCTTCAGAGTGGCAAGTTCCCCCAGTCCCCAGGCAGGTCTAGATGCCATCCAGGAGCTAAGGAGTAGAGTCAAAAACCTCAGAAGTCTACCTGGTGTTCTACTGTATTGCAACTGAACTGACACTCAAACCACAAGATGCAGTCCTTCCCACTCTTCCCTCCCCTTTCCAATAGGAGAGGAGCCTCACCCCACGGCCAGTGCCACCACAGGCCCACAAGGAGTACTGCCAGACTACTGCTGATGTTCCCTTATGGTTCAAGGGCTCTTCAATCAGCATATGGTGAATGCTGCCTGGCCTGGGACTCACCCTTCAGACCAGTGAACTCCCGTCTGGCCCCAGGCAGGTCCAGAAATGCTGTCCAAGAGGCAAGTTCTGGAATCAGGGACTCCAAGAGCCTGCTTGTTGCTCTATCCCTCTGCGGCCAACCTGGTACCTAAGGTGCAAGACAAAGTCCTCTTTACTTTCCCCTCTGCTTCTCTAAAGCAGAAGGAGTCTCATCTCATAGCCATCACAGCTAGGAATGTGCTGAGGTTTACCTGAAGCTAGCAAGTCTCAGAGTCCCACCAAAGGCCCCTGACATACTGTTACAGTACATAGCTAGTGAGGCATGAGCAGAGCAGGAGAGGGCACTCCCCTGATAGGAATGTCAGGTGACTATCAGGTGTTGGGAGGCAGTTGTCACACTGTCTCTCTAAAATAGTAATTGGTCACAGCGAGCACCAGGGAAAGGCAGTCTCCCAATAGATAGAAACACTTGAAACTGGTGATCAGCAGATTCCCAATAAGATCTCAGGAGTTCAGTGGGTGGGCTCAAGCATGCATATTAAGAGGCAAAATATCAGAGATGAACTGGTATATGACTTTCCAGGGACATTCCACTAGTAAGGGAAGAATGTCTCAAGTGAGCATGTGTACAACTCCACTACACACTGCACATGCTCATTTCCCAAGTGCTTGCAGGCCACTGCACATGTGGACAGCCCACCCCAAGGGAAGAATAAGGGGAAAAGGAACGTAAGACCCCAAAAGTACACCAATGTATAAAACCCCAAGTCAAAAGGTCAAACTGTGTACTTGTCTTTCAAGTTGCCTGCTTGGCCCTCTTTCAAGTGTATTTCCTTCCTTTTGTTCCTGCTCTAAAGCTTTTTCATAAACTTTCACTCCTGCTCTAAAACTTGCCCCAGTCTCTCCTTCTGCCTTCTGCCCCTCAGTCAAATCCTTTCTTTTGGCCGGGTGTGGTGGTTCACGTCTGTAATCCCAGCACTTTGGGAGGCCAAGGCAGGTGGATCACCCGAGGTCAGGAGTTTGAGACCAGCCTGGCCAACATGGTGAAAGCCTGTCTCTATTAAAAATACAAAAATTAGCTAGGCATGGTGATGGGTGCCTGTAATCTCAGCTACTTGGGAGGCTGAGGCAGGAGAATCGCTTGAACCTGGGAGGCAGAGGTTGCAGGGAGCCAAGATCATGCCACTGCACTACAGCCTGGGTGACAGAGCAAAACTCTATCTAAAAAAAAAAAAAAAAAAAAAAAATTATAATTCTTTCTTCTGAGGAGGCAAGAACTGAGGCTGCTGCAGACCCATAAGGATTTGCCGCCAGTAACACGATTTGGTGCCATGACTGGGATACATTCTGCTACTAACATATTTTGGTGCCAATTGATTCTGATAACTTCCACTGCTCACATACTTTGATGCTGCATGACTCAGATACGTTCCCTTGTGGTAAGACATCTCTATGCCCTGCCTTCTCTGCCTGGAGGCATTCAACCTCCGTACACAATTTTCTTCTTCCTTTTTCTCTCGTGCTTACTAACCAAACCCCAGAACAATTCCTCTTGGCCATATGTGACTCTGTTCCCCTGGGCTGATTGCTCAGCTCACCCTGATTGGTGGCTCACAGGGGTGGGAAGTACCTTGAGGTTCACGCTGAGGCACTAATGGCTTTCCTGGACAAGGGGCTCACAAGAGTGGTAGGGCTAAAGCCTAAAACTGTACAATGTCAGGTTTCTTCTTCTTTTTCAGCTAAAATTTACTAAGAACCCTCACTGCCTATTCTTCTTTTTTTTATGTGTGTGTGTGTTTTGAAATGGCCTTGTGCACCTGCTGGACCATCTGCCTTGGGGGCAAGTCTGCCTCTTTGCTTTCACTTCACATGCCACATGACTTCTTAAACACACACTCCCTGTTATTTGTGTGCCCGTGGCTTTTACTGTGTTTGCATGGCAGCAAAGACACGAGCTCCCTTGCAGATATCCCGAGATTTATACTTGTTCTTACCCTACCAGCTTCCACGACTCTAACCCTTTCCCTGTCTGCTGGCACATGGCCAGGACAGACATTAATTGGAACTCCAGCTCTGCCAGCTCCTTGACTTACCACATGCTTTTTGTTCCTGTTATGTCCCAGGGCCAAGTTTTCCAGTGGGTTTTGAAGTAGTCTGTCCACCTGCATAGGGCCTCACTCTGACGCTTTAAGGATCCCACCTATTGGCTTTTTTGAGTTAGCACTCCACTGAGAGGAAAAGATATTCTTCCTTTGCCATTTGCAAGTTCTTACCCCAAGCCCCAAGTCCTCCGGAGATTACTACTTTACATCAAGAGGGCAAATAAATGGGGCCAGGCGCGGTGGCTCACACCTGTAATCCCAGCACTTTGGGAGGCTGAGGCTGGCAGATCACGAGGTCAGGAGTTCGGGACCAGCCTGGCCAACATGGTGAAACCCTGTCTCTACTAAAAATACAAAAATTAGCCATGTGTAGTGGTGCACACCTGTAATTCCAGCTATTTGGGAGGCTGAGGCAGAAGAACTGCTTGAACCCGGGAGGCGGAGGTTGCAGTGAGCCAAGATCACACCACTGCACTCCAGTCTGGGCGACAGAGCAAGACTCTGTCTCAAAACAAAACAAAACAAAAAACAAAACAGGAGGGCAAATAAATGTTAGGGCTGCTATTTTTGCAAGCATATGAAGGCTTTCCATGAGTATTCCTCTCACTTCCTCCTGTAGCTTCCATTCTCTAATTACTTCTACACCCTTCTCAACGTGCTTCAAGGTCATATTTAAAAGGGAGTCGGGAGGGAAGAACATGGGAAATGGGAATCTGAGAAAAGAGAAAATCACATTTTTTGCTAGAATGCTCCAAATGCGAGTCACTGTAAGGTCATGGAGACAAGGACATAGGTGAGCCAAAGGCTGCAGGGGCAAGAGCCCCATAGGACAGAGATGAAGGTTGGTCCCAGGCTAACAGATTACTGTTAGAACAGAGATGAAAGCAAGGTTAGGGTTACATGGCAAGATCGGTTATTCCAGAACCCCAAGGATGAACAGGGGGCCCACGGTTCACTCTAGTATCTCCTCTCTTCTCAAGTAGGTAATTGTGACAAGATGGAACCAAGGCTACTTGGTAGGACCGGTTCATTCTGGAACCCTAAGGACCACGTGGGATGCCTCATTCAGGATAATAGGAAAGTAGACGAAAAGCCTTCTTTTTCCTCTTTCCCTTTTTTTCTCCTCTGTTCTCTCTTCACAAACGGGTAATTGCATCTCCATACCAGAAGACACACCCCTTGGATGCATCCCCCAAACTGGGAAAAGTTTGATTCCCACCAACCTTGACACAAAAAACTAGTTTTCCTTTGTAATACTGTTTGGCCTAAAAAGGAACTGGGAGGAAATTGCAAAAGTCAGCCTTCGAACCAGTGACCCTGTGCAGGAGGGTCTAAAAATGAACTGGGAGGAAATTACAAAAGTTAGCCTTGGAACTAGTGACCTTGTGCAGAAGGTCCTCAGATTAGCCTTCTCAGTCTTTTATAACTGAGAGTAGAATAAGGAGAAGAGGGCTAAGGCAAAGGAGAAATGCAGGGATCAGAGGCAGGCTCAACTATTGGTTGCTTTACAAGCTCTTCCAGCTCCCTCCAGGTTACTACCATTATCACAGGGAGCTAGGCCACTGGAAGGCAAACTGCCCAATGGGACAAATGGGAAAAAGCTGCACATGGCATGCCCCCTCTGCCACATGCTCAGCCAGTGTAATGGGACTGCCCTGAGGGCCAAAGGGCCTTGGGACAGGATCGCAAACCTTGATGGCCTTGAGCTGAAGGGGCTCTTTCCTCTGGCTGGCTTCCAAATCAGACATAGTCATCAACAGAACAAAGCCAAGGGCAACTCTTGAGATGGCAAGTACAATTATAAATTTCCCTTTTGGGTTCAAGAGCTGCCTACTCTGTGCTAATCTCCTTCTCTGAGCAACTCTCCTCCAAATCCTGTTGGGTAATGGGGACAAATGGCACCTCCTCCCTCCAAAAGAAAAGATTCATACCCTTCATATTACTTAAAGAACCAATTACCATTCTCCCACCAGTCCCTGGTAATGTCTAATGTTTCCCACCCCACACCTCACTGAGGCAAAAATATACTTTCCAAGATGGTGCTTACTTAATATTTACCTGACCTCTGAATTCATCTTTCTCTAATAGCTCTATTTCTTCTGGTAAAGCTAACTAAAGCTTTAACCAATAACTTCAACCTGGACAGTCCTACCTCAGGGGTTTAGAAATAGCCCACACTTCTTTGGACACGCCCTAGGAAGAAATCTAACTGAGCAATCTCTTGAGAAAGAATAACTTCTACAGTATGTAGATAACCTCTGTATTTGCTCCCCCTTCACACGACTCATAGCAACATGCAGTACAAATCATAGTTTCCTAAAAGATGGAAAATTACTTGTCTAATACAAAAGTTATAAAGGTGAAAAGGTATTTCTGGTAAGGAATGTTAAAAAGAAGAGATTTTATCTGAGAAAGGATCTCAAGTGGTAAATTCTTGTCCTAAAGTAAAATAACTGGTTATTTAAAAAGAAGGATGTTGGCCAGGTATGGTGGCTCACACTTGTAATCTCAGCACTTTGAGAGGCTGAGGCGGATGGATCACCTGAGGCAGGAGTTTGAGACCAGCCTGGCCAACATGGTGAAACCCCGTCTCTAATAAAAATACAAAAAATTGTTTTAAGTTAGATAGGATAAAGCTAAAGGTTTGAGCAAGTTGTGGAAGGTCTGTGAAAGATTAATCTTGTCAAAGAAGATCTGTGTGTGAATACATTAGCTAAAATTAAAGGGGCATTATTCAATTTATTCATAAATTGAACATTGGAATAAAGACACAACACAGTTTTCTTAGAGTATTATTCTGCTCTTTAACAGAACATTCTAAAGGGTTATAAAAAGTTTATAAAAATTTTTACCTTCGTTTGGCACAGTGGCTCATGCCTGTAACACCAGCACTTTGGGAGGCCGAAGCAGGTGGATCACCTGAGGCTGGGAGTTTGAGACTAGCCTGTCCAACATGGTGAAATCCCATCTCTACCAAAAATACAAAAATTAGCTGGGTGTGGTGGCACACGCCTGTAGTCCCAACTACTCAGGAGGCTGAGGCGGGAGAATTGCTTGAACCCGGGAGGCAGAAGTTGCAGTGAGCCAAGATCATACCACTGCACTGCAGCCTGGGCTGCAGAGTGAGACTCTGTCTCAAAAACAAAACAAACAAACAACAACAACAAAAATTTTACCTTATGGTTAAACTGATTAAGACTGAATAGAATGGGAGGCTGAGGTGGGTGGATCACAAGGTCAAGAGATCGAGACCATCCTGGCTAACATAGTGGAACCCTGTCTCTATTAAAAATACAAAAAATTAGCTGGGCGTGGTGGCATGTGCCTGTAATCCCAGCTACTCAGGAGGCTGAAGCAGGAGAATCACTTGAACCCAGGAGGTGGAGGTTGAGCACAACTTGCTCGTACTTTTAGCTTTATCCTATCTATTTCCACTTGAACCCGGGAGGCAGAGGTTGCGGTGAGCCGAGATCACGCCAGCCTGGGTGACAGAGCGAGACTCGGTCTCAAAAAAAAGACAAAAACAGAAAAAAAAGGCTGGGCGCGGTGGCTCACATCTGTAATCCCAGCACTTTGGGAGGCCAAGACCAGCGGATCACGAGGTCAGGAGCTCGAGACCAGCCTAACCAACATGGTGACACCCCATCTCTACTAAAAATACAAAAATTAGCCACGCATGGTGGCATGTGCCTGTAGTCCCAGCTACTTGGGAGGATGAGGCAGAAGAATCGCTTGAACCCAGGAGGCAGAGGTTGCAGTGAGCCAAGATCGCCGCACTGCACTCCAGCCTGGGCAACAGAGTGAGCGAGACTCCATCTCAAAAAGAAAACAAAATTGAATAGATTTGTCTGTAAGGTTAAGAGTTGGGTTTGACATCAATAGTGCACTAATGCTAAGGTAACATCTGGCTTTCTTTGGACTGTATTTGTGTAAATGTGTTATTGGTATGTGTTCCAAAATTATGCAAAACTCCTATAATTCTAATATAACATAGTATATACATTAGGCTGGGCGTGGTGTCTCATGCCTGTAATCCCAGCACTTTGTGAGGCCGAGGCAGATGGATCACCTGAGGTCAGGAGTTCGAGACCAGCCTGACCAATATGATGAAACTCCATCTCTACTAAAAATATAAAAATCAGCCGGGCATGGTGGCATGTGCCTGTAATTCCAGCTACTTGGGAGGCTGAGATAGGAGAATCACTTGAACCCAGGAGGCAGAGGTTGCAGTGAGCTGAGATTGCACCATTGCACTCCAGCCTGGGCAACAAGGGCAAAATTCCATCTCAAAAAAAAAATAAAAATAAAAATAAAATAATTTAGTATACATTATCTATAATAATTATTGTTATGTTAAATTCTTGTGTGCCACAGAGGTAACAAATTTCCTTGTCAATTTTGTCTTTGTCTGTGGCTACCCTAAAACTTTTTGTCATCTATATACAATTGGTGTCTTGTTTTAAACCTCTTTAAAAGGTGATTTTATAATCAGATCTAGGACTCTAACAAGTGCTCTTAAATGCAGGTTTCTGGTAACTTTGGAGATTGCGACATTAGAATAAAGGAAAAAACTTTCAGGACTCTCCTGGAGAGCTAAAATGTTCATGAATATCAAGCAGAATGAGTTAATTGCATGGACTAAACTAGTAGAAGACTGAAATAATCCTCATGACTTTTGGCTTAACACATTGCTAATCCTTTGTCAAAGTCAAGAAAACTTTTTTTTGAGCTATGTACAGCTTTTAACAACTGAGTAAAGCATATACCTGTGAATTAGTTTGCTTTCATTCTGCTATAAAGAACTACCTGAGACTGGGTAATTTATGAAAAAACAGAAGAGATTTAAATGATTCATAGTTCCACGGGCTCAACAGGAAACATGACTGGGAGGCCTCAGGAAACTTAAAATCATGGTGGAAGGTGAAGGGCAAGCAAAGACCTCCTTCACGTGGTGGCAGAAGAGAGAGCGAGCGAAGGGGGAAATGCCACACACTTTCCAACAACCAGATCTCATGAGAACTCACTAACATGAAAAGAGCAAGGTGAAGTCCACCCTCATGATTCAATCACCTCCTACCAGACCCCTCCCCCAACACTGGCAATTACAATTCCAGATGAGAGATTTGAGTGGGGACACAGAGCCATACCGTATCATTTTACCCCTGCCCCCTCTTAAATCTCATGTCCTTCTCACATTTCAAAACCAATCATGTGGCCAATATGGTGAAACCCCGTCTCTACTAAAAATACAAAAATTAGCCAGGCATGGAGTTGGGTACCTGTAATCCTAGCTACCTGGGTGGATGAGACAGAATTGCTCAAACCCAGGAGGCAGGGGTTGCAGTGAGCCGAGATTGCACCACTGCACTGCAGCTGGGTGACAGAACGAGACTCTGTCTAAAAAAAAAACAAAAAACAAACAATCATGCCTTCCCAACAGTTCCCCAAAGTCTTAACTTATTCCAGCATTAACTCAAAAGTCCAAGTCCAAAGTCTCATCTGAGACAAGGCAAGTCCCTTCCACCTATGAGCCTGTAAAATAAAAAATAAAAAACAAGTTAGTTACTTTCAAGATACAAAGGAGGTACAGGCATTGGGTAAATGCCCCCCTTCAAAAAGGGAGAAATTGGCCAAAATAAAAGGGCTACAGGCCCCTTGCAAGTCCAAAACCCAGCAGGACAGACATTAAATCTTAAAGCTCCAATATAATCTCCTTTGACTCCATGTCTCACATCCAGGGTATGCTGATGGAAGGGGTAGGCTCCCACGGTCTTGGGCAGCTCTACCCCTGAGGCTCTGCAGGGTACAGTCCCAGTGGCTGCTTCCAAAGGTTGGCATTGAGTGCCTGCAGCTTTTCCAGGTACATGGGGCAAGCTGTCAGTGGATCTACCATTCTGGGATCTGGAGGAGGGCGGCCCTCTTCTCACAGCTCCACAAGGCAGTGGCCCATGGGGACTCTGTGTGGGGGCTCAAACCCATTTCTTCTCCAACTGCCCTAGCAGAGGATCTGCATGAGGGCTCTGCTCCTGCAATAGAGTTCTGCCTGCACATCCAGGCATTTCCATATATCCTCTGAAATCTAGGTGGACGTTCCCAAACCTCAACTCTTGCCTTCTGTGCACCTGCAGGTCCAACACCACGTAAAAGCTGCCAAGGCTTGGGGCCTGCACTCTCTGAAGCAATGGCCTGAGCTGTACCTTGGCTGCTTTTAGCCACAGCTGGAGATGGAGCAGCTGGGATGCAGGGTGCCATGTCCTGAGACTGCACAGAGAAGCAGGGCCCTGGGCCTGGCCAACAAAACCTTTTTCCCCTCCTAGGCCTCCAGGCCTGTGATGGGAGGGGGTGCTGAGAAGGTCTCTGACATGCCCTTGAGATATTTTCCCCATTGTCTTTGCTATTAATATTTGGCTCCTCTTTACTTATGCAATGCAGCCAGCTTGAATTTCTCCCCAGAAAATGTTTTTTCTTTTCTACAACATGGTCAGGCTGTGAATTTTCCCAACTTTTATCCTCTGCTTCCCTTCTAAACATAAGTTCCAATTTCAAACCATCTCTTTGTGAATGCATATGACTCTATGCTGTTAGCAGCAGCCAGGCCAATCTTGAATCCTTTACTGTTTAGAAATTTCTTCCACCAGATACCCTAAATCATCTCTCTCAAGTTCAAAGTTCCACAGATTCCTAGTGCAGGATCACAATGCCACCAGTCTCTTTGCTAAAGCATAAGAAGAGTGACCTTTGCTCCAGTTCCCAGTAAGTTCCCATTGCCATCTGAGACCACCTCAACCTAGACTTCACTGTCCACATCACCATAAGCATTCTGATCACAACCATTCAACAAGTCTCTAGGGAGTTCCAAACTTTCCCTCACCTTCCTGTCTTCTTCTGAGCCCTCCGAACCCCTCCAACTTCTGCCTGTTACCTAGTTCCAAGGTGACTTCCACATTTTCAGGTATCTTTATAGCAATACAGCACTCCTGTTACCAATTTTCTGTATCTGTTTTCACATTGCTATAAAGAACTACCTGAGACTGGGTAATTTATGAAAAAAAGAGGTTTCATTGACTCACAGCTCCACAAGCTTAACAGGAAGCAAGACTGGAAGGCTTGGGAAACCATGGCAGAAGGCAAAGCGGAAGGAAGGACCTTCTTCACATGGTGGCAGGAGAGAGAGAGCATGAAGGGAGAAATGCCACACACTTAATAAACAACCAGATCTCATGAGAACTCACTATCACAAGAAAAACAAGAGGAAGTCCACCTCCATGATTCAATCACCTCCTACCAGCTCCTCCCCCAACACATAGGAATTACAATTCAAGATGAGATTTGGGTGGGAACACAGAGCCAAACCATATCAACCTGTAAACAATATTTGGAACATAGTTGTTTCTCTGCATCTGATTTCTTCAGAATTTGGAAACTATTTGTGAGTATTCTTAACTTATGGGAATATAGTCATTTGCTATATTATTGCTTATTTGCAATAAGAATCTGTTTTCTTTTGCAACAGGACACAATTGGAGGAACTGGTTATTTTACCAAGGCTTTGACTAGAATGGCATGCTGTCCTTTAAGAAATCACACTGGATTTATAGAGCCCATAAAAGCCCCATGGGAGAAACGGGCCCCATACCTTGTCTACACAGTCCCTGTTCAAGGTTCCTGACCTGTGGTAAGTAAAGAATGTCACTTTCTAACAGGCCCAGGAAAGCAATTTATCTTGGGACCTCAAGAGAAGAAAAATATACCCAGCTCATACAGGTATTTGATGGCACCAACGAATGGCTTGGCTTAAGGCTTTAAAAAGAGTGTTATCTGAGATTCCTTATGGAATAAAGTTCCATCAAAGCTAATTTTAAAAGGAGCCTATATGGCAAATAGTTACTCTTGCTGTGCTTTATACAAATACTCAGGTTAAGTATAATAAGACTAAAGCATATTTTGCAAATGAGTCAGTCCTATCATGATTTGTTTTTAATCAAATTGAGGACTACAGAGAGAAAAATTGTTTCAAGAACTATGGTATAGCTATTATTAGATTCTAGTTTCATCAGTTGTTTTTGTGTTTTTGTCTGCCTGCTTATTCCTGTGAACTAACCCTGCTTATTCCTGTGAACCAAGCATTCATCCTGCTGCAGCTCAGAAGAAGCAAGGAGGATGAGTAACATAAAAATCTGGATCAATATTCTGATTTTGGGCACATATTAGAATTGGGTGGCAACCACATGCATCCAAGTCTTAGAGTACGCATGACTAGAGCCACCAGCTACTTGAGCATTTCGACAGCTTCGAGAATTTTTGGACCCGTCCTCACTCCTTTATTTCATGTTAACATTCTTTTAAATCTAATAACTTGATTTGTCTCCTTGCTTTCAGGCCATCAAGCTATAGATGATCTTCAGTGAGGGATACCCTCCTCTCAATATTCAAGAGTCACCCTTCTACGGGTGACCCCTAGACTGCCCATCAGTGAGACATGACAGAGGTGAAATTCTGCCCCGTCTCCCTTGGGACCTGGCTGGATACCACTTTCACCAACCCACAGAGCCACCCTGCTGTGACAACTAGCAAGAGGCTAAGACCCACAGAACCACCACCACCCCTCTGTCAGCAGGAAGTAGTTACAGAAGACTGCCCTTCATCCATTTCCCCCAAAGAATTGGGGTCTTGAACTCCAGAGGGGGGAAATATTATAGCAGTTAGCTAGTCAGGCATGAGCAGAGCAGGAAAGGGCTCCCCGATAACAGGAATTTCAGGCGACTATCAGGTGATGGTCAGGCAGCTGTCACACTGTCTCTCTAAATTAATAACTGGTTGTAGCTGGTGCCAGAAAAAGGCAGTCTCCAAATAGACAGAACACCTGAAACGTGATCAGCAGCCTCCCTATAAGATCTCAGGAGTTGGGTGAGTGGGATCAAGCATGCACATTAAGAGGCAAAATGGCAGAGTTTAACTGGTACATGACCTTCCAGGGACATCCCACTGGCAAGGGAAGAATGCCTCAAGTGAGCATGTGTGCAACTCCAGTAAATACACTGCACATGTGAACAGCCCACCCTAAGGGAATAATCAGGGGAAGAGGAACACAAGATCCCAGAAGTCTGCCAACATATAAAACCCCAAGTCAAAAGGTCAAACTGCACACTTATCTTTCAAGTCGTCTGCTTGGCCCTTTTCCAAGTATACTTTCCTTCCTTTTGTTCCTGCTCTAAAGCTTCTTAATAAACTTTCACTCCTGCTCTAAAACTTGCCTCAGTGTCTCCTGCCTTCAGCACCTCAGCTGAATTCTTTCTTCTGAGGAGAACTGAGGTTGCTGCAGACCCATATGGATTCGCTACTGGTAACAATACTACCTGGGTATCGCTGCTGTTTATTCTTTCTACTTTTATATGTCTCAAAAGGTTTTTATTTGACCTTCCTTTGTGAAAGACATTCTCACTAGATATAGATTTCTATGTTGGCTGTATTTTACTTTCATTACTTTAAAGATATTGATTTACTCTTTTCTGATTTGCATTATTTGCAATAAAAAGTCTATATACTTAATGTGTCTTTTTTTCCTGCCTGCTTTTAAGATTTTTCTTTTTTATCACTAGTTTTAAGCAATTTGGTTAATGTCTTGGTATATTTAATCATGTTTTATGTTCTTCCGGCTCACTGAAGTATTTGGCTCTTGTGTGGGTATATAATTTTCATCAAATATAAACATTTTTGGTCATTATTTTTAAATAGTCCTTCTGCTTCCACCCTCCCACCTCATATTTCTCTCCTTCTGGGACTCTATTTACAAGTACATTATATCACTTTTTGTTGCCGTATAGCCATTAAACTCTGTTCATTTTAATTTCCAATCTTTCTTCTGTGTTTCATTTTGGATAGTTTTTATTGCTGTGTGTTCAAATCCACTAATATTTTTTTTCCTGTGGTTTCCAGTTTGCTGTTAATATCATCCAGTGTAGATTTCTGTATTTGTCATATTTAGAAGTTCAACATAGGTTATTATCTTCTGTGTATCTCTTTGTCATGGTTCTTTAATTGTTTTAATGTCTTTATTAACTTTATCATATGTGCCATTTCAAGGTTTATTTCTATTGACAGACTTTTCATCTACTTATTTTACTGTTTGCATTTTCCCCTCCATGAGCTACAGCCTAGACACTCTCTAGACAGTAAGCTGGGACAAAGATAGGGTTCATCTCATTTGTTTTCCTTCTCCTAGGAAATACTGTCCTGAGCTTCCTGTTGTCCAATGTCTGGAAACCGGTGTTTCATGTATTTTTATCCAGTTTCCTGGTTAAGGTAGGAAGGTAAATCCAATTCTTGTTGTTCCATCATGGCCGGAAGTAGAAACTACTTATGTTTTTTGATCCTACTGAATGACCTTCCATATAGTCTGATGTCTAGTAATAAGGTAAACCGGCCTATAATTAAAGTAATGCACTCAGTGGATTAGCCATTGTGTCAGTGGCATCTTGTTTTATGTGCTGACAAAGGATTTCTTCTCTCTTGAAGGTTTTTAATGGACCATTCTCTTCAATTGTGTTTTTCTCCCAAGTTTTTATTTTTAAAAATGTGAAGCTTAACTAAAATTTGAGAAAACTGAACAATGAACATACATAAGCCTTTCATCTAGATTAATCAATTGTTAATATTTTGCCATGGATGCTTTATTTCTCTTTTTATATTTTTCAACCAATTAAAAGTAAGTTCTGGCCGAGTGCGGTGGCTCACACCTGTAATCCCAGCACTTTGGGAGGCCGAGGTGGGCTGATCACCTGACGTCGGGAGTTGGAGACCAGCCTGAACCAACATGGCGAAACCTCGTCTCTAGTAACAATACAAAAAATTAGCTGGGCATGGTGGCATATGCCTGTAATCCAAGCTACTCGGGAGGCTGAGGCAGAAGAATCACTTGAACCCAGGAAGCAGAGGTTGTGGTGAGCCAAGATCGTGCCATTGCACTCCAGCCTGGGCAACAAGAGCAAAACTCTGTCTCAAAAAAAAAAGTAAGTTCCACACCTAAATATTCATCCTGCATCTCCCAAGAAGAGGGAATTCTCTTATATAACCACAACAGCATTGTTCTACCTAAGAAATGTAATTGACGTAATAATAGTAATATACAGCCCATATTCAAATTTCTCCAATTATCCTTAAAGCTTTTCTTTTTCTAGATTCACAATCCAATCAAGAATACGGTTGATAAGGCCGGGCTCGGTGGCTCATGCCTGTAATCCCAGCACTTTGGGAGGCCGAGGCGGGTGGATCACGAGGTCAGGAGATCGAGACCATCCTGGCTAACACGGTGAAACCCTGTCTCAACTAAAAAATACAAAAAAAAAAGTAGCCGGGCGTGGTGGCGGGCGCCTTTAGTCCCAGCTACTCGGGAAGCTGAGGCAGGAGAATGGCGTGGACCCGGGAGGCGGAGCTTGCAGTGAGCCAAGATCGCGCCACTCCATTCCAGCCTAGGCAAGAAAGCGAGACTCTGTCTCAAAAAAAAAAAAAAAAAAGAATATGGTTGATAATTATGTCTCATTAATATCTTTTTAACCACAACAATCCTTGTGATGGTCAAAATGTTTATCATCCCTCAAAATTCATATGTTGAAATCCTAAACCCCAAGGTGAACCCTCATATACCAAATTAGAGACCTTGTAATATATGCCCATGGGAGCTCATTGGCCCTTTCCACCATGTGAGGACCCAACTGAAGGCACCATCTATGAATCAGAAAGTGGGTTCTTAACAGACACTGAATCTGCTGGCACCTTCTTTAAAACATTTGTAATTTCATTTTCATTTTTAGAGACGGGGTATCGCTTTGTCTTGCTTTGTCACCCAGGCTGGAGTGAAGTAACGTGCTCATGGGTCACTGCAGCCTCAAACTCCTGGGCTTAAGCAATCTTTCTGCCTCAGCCTCCTAAGTAGCTAGGACTACAAGCATGGGCCACCAATTCCCTGCTATCTGCTGGGAACTTGATCTTGGACTTCTCAGACTCCAGTACTGTGATAAATAAATTTCTCTTGTTGGTAAGCCACCTAGTTTATGGTATTTTGTTATAAAAGCCTGAACAGACTGTGAAAATCCCCGCCTTTTTTTTTTTTTTTGAGACAGAGTCTTACTTGCTCTGTCACCCATGCTGGAATGCAGTGGCATAATCTTAGCTCACTGCAACCTCTGCCTCCTGGGTTCAAGCCATTCTCCTGCCTCAGCCTACCGAGTAGCTGGGATTACAGGCACGTGCCACCACACACAGCTAATTTTTGTATTTTTAGTAGAGACAGGGTTTCACCACGTGGGCCAGCCTGGTCTTGAACTCCTGACCTCAAGTGATCTGCCCGCCTTGGCCTCCCAAAGTGCTGGGATTACAGGCGCGAGCCACCGTCCCTGACCACACCCCCCCTGCCTTTTTTTGTCTTTTATAATATTGATAGTTTTGAGGAGCTCAGGCCTACTACCTCATTTTATTTAGATTTTTATTTTTCTTTAAAAATTAAAAAAAAATGTTTTGTAGAGACAGGATCTTGCTATGTTGCTCAGGCTGGTCTTGAACTCCTGGGCTCAAGCAATCTCCTCACCTTGGCCTCTAAAATTGTTGGCACTGCAGGCATGAGCCATTGTACCTGGCCTAATTTAGATGTTAAAGGATTGTAACAGTGTTAGTAAATTTTATGACAATTTGAGAAAGAGAAACTCCTAAGTCATTTTGGACTAATATTCATCCTGTCACTTTGAAGACTATGCTAAATTTTGAATGTGAATGAATCTCATTTTAAGAACTAATACCCTAAAATTGCTTAATGACTCAAGTGTGCTATTATATAATAGAACTTAAAAGTAGAAAACATCTAATACTGCATTTTTTCCTAGTGAAGGGATAAGCAGTTGAGACATTTTAGCTCTATTTTGTTTTGTCATTTTTGTTTTATGATCACAGGATTACTTAAAAAGGTGGACAGCTGGGCACGGTGGCTCACGCCTATAATCCCAGCATTTTGGGAGGACAAGGAGGGAGGATCACTTGAACCCAGAAGTTTGAGACCAGCCTGGACAATGTAGTGAGACCCCGTCTCTACAAAAATTTTAAAAAAATTAGCCAGTTGTGTTGGCGTGAGCCTGTAGTCTCAACTACTCAGGAGGCTGAGGTGGGATGATCACTCGAGCCTGGGAGATTGAGGCTGCAGTGAGCTGTGATCTTGCCACCGTACTCCAGCCTGGGTTGACAGAGTGAAAAGAAAAAAGAAATAAAAAGGGGACCTAACTTTTTTACAAGCACGATTTTTGTGTAGTGTATATAGAAAGTCAATTTTTTAATGTGTTCAGCAGCTGAAATCGTTGTATACTTCCCCATGTGCAATGGAACAGAAAAACGCTCGTTGTTTTAGAACACCAGAATATGCATGAGACATAAATGTGTTTTTCCCTGATGAAAACAACTTCATTTCACTTCCGGAATTTCAAAACTACCATCTGGTAGTCAACCCTGTTTTTCCACCAGATGGCAATAACCCATAATGGCTGAGCAGGATGAATGGAATGTACACAAAACAGTGCAGGGTGTGAGCATTAAAAGGGCTGTGAACGTGAAATGTGGTAATGTAGGAAAAACGATGAGTCCCAGGAGAAGAGGATAAATAATGGATTGCTAAATCTGGCACCCTTGGAGCTAACAACATCCATCATAAAAGGGGTCACATCATTTAAGAGCAAACTTTAAAAGCAGAAAGCGTTCCAGTATTTGTTATTTTTTTTTGGTTTGTTTTCAGAATCACATATTATAGAACAGCTGACAGAGTGGAAAAATTGTTGATATTTAAGTAGAATCTGTACCAAAAACATATTGTATGTTCCTAACAGAAGTGATAAATTCAGAGAGATTATTTTAGGAAAAAGGAGGGAACCGGAAGAACTGCTGATGAAATCTGCAGGCCACTTCTCTTCCCCTCCACCATGACTTCAAGAATCCTGCTGACACTTCACACTTCTCTTCCCAAGTCTGTTTAACTGGGTACACCTATTTGGTTTGGATTTTAGGTGGCATAATACAACCCAACCCAATGCTATTCAAACTCCTGTAAATAACTGACAGCAGGCTACAGTCCCAAATTACAACACGATTTTCTTTTTTGACAGGTTTTATGTAAAAAGACTTTCGCCCCCTATTAAATATCTGTCATTTTCTCTTGCTCTGGGTTCTTTTTCTGAGAACTAGACATACCTCTGATAAAGGTCATGCTATTCTTTTTGGAGACTAAATAATACCAATATTTATCATTATTTTTACCATTTTCCTTTCTTTCTTTTTGAAAAATAACAATATGGGCCTGGCGTGGTGGCTCATGCTTACAGTCCCAGCACTTTGGGAGGCTGAAGGGGATGGATCACCTGAGCTCAGGAGTTCGAGTTCGAGACCAGCCTGGGCAACATGGTGAAACCCCAGCTCTACAAAAATTACAAAATTATCCAGGCCCATGCCTGCATGCCTGCAAGGCTACATGCCTGTAGTCCCAGCTACTTGGAGGCCGAAGCAAGAGGATTGCTTGAGCCTGGGGGGCAGGGTTTGCAGTGAGCCAAGATCCTGCCATTTCACTCCAGCCTGGGCAACAGGGTGAGACCCTGGACCTTGTCTCAAAAAAAAAAAAAAAAAGTTAAGGAAAAAATAAAAACAACATGGAGAAACCCCATCTCTACTAAAAATACATAATTAGCTGGGCATGGTGGTGCATACCTGTAATCCCAGCTATTCAGGAGGCTGAGGCAGGAGAATCGCTTGAACCTGGAAGGTAGAGGTTGCAGTGAGCTGAGATCGCGCCATTGCACTCCAGCCTGGACAACGAGAGCGAAACTGTGTCTCAAAAAAAAAAAAAAAAAAAAAAAAGAAGTAAAGAAGTTCCAGCTTGTCAGATAAAGACCAGAATTTTAAATAGACTGGAAAGAACTAAAACAAAGGTGGTTATTAGGGCACATGCTTACACAATTTCATAGGAAGCAGGACCATTTCCTTTTGTTTTGGTAAGTACATCAATGATCTATCTAATATAGGCGAAGATGTACATAAAACAAACAAAAAAAAAGAGATGAGATCTAAGCAATTCAGGTTTCCTTAGAAAATATTTTTTTTAAGGGTGCTCTAATGAAAAATGTTAAGCTCTTCTCTCTCTCTAACATTTTTATGTTCACTGTAAATGTCCTAAGGAATCAATATAAAATTCTTGAAAATATGGAAAAGTAAAAAGACATCAGTCTAAAGACAACTAATATTAACATTTTTGGCTGGGTGCAGTGGCTCACGCCTGTAATCCCAACACTTTGGGAGGCTGAGGCAGGTGGATCACTTGAGGTCGGGAATTTGAGACCAGCCTGACAAACATGGAGAAACCCCGTCTGTACTAAAAATACAAAAAAAGTAGCGGGCCATGGTGGCACATGCCAGTAATCTCAGCTACTCCGGAGGCTGAGGCAGGAGAATCACTTGAACCCAGGAGGCGAAGGTTGTGGTGAGCCGAGATTGCGCCATTGCACTCCAGCCTGGGCAACAAGAGCAAAACTCCGTCTTAAAAAAAAAAAAAAAAATTAACATTTTTAGTGTATTTTCTTTCATAGTTACTTTTTAAAAAAATAATTGTTTTCTTCATCTTTAAAAAAACCTGTTTATTTTCATGGGTGTTTCATAGTGTTCATGACCTCATCTCTCATATTACATGATAACATAAGTCTTTTCCTAGGTGATTAGAAACACTTCATAAAACAATTTTAATTGCTTCACATGTTTCAGTATAGTGAGCCATACTTTAACATATCACACATTTATTTAGTTTTTCCTTTTGCTATTACAAATAGTAGCACTGTGATGCATGCTCTAGTGTATACAAAATATTTTTCATATTTAGGCTTATTTAGGATGGATCCCTAAGAGTGAAATTAGTAGTTCAAAAAGCATAAACATTTTTAATGCTTTGTCTTTTATTTGTATCATTGCCAATTTTTTTTTAACAGAGCTGAGTCCATTTACACTGCTCCTAGCAATGTGCAAGAAAGCAGCTTTCACACTGATGCCATTACTGTATTGTCATAAAAAAACAACCAACCAAACACTTTGGGTCTCTCAGTAGTGTTTTAATTTGCATATCTTTGATTACTAGTGAGATGGAACCTTTTCCCACTGTTTGTTAAACAACTGAATTTCCTCTTTTGTGAATTGTCTACTTTGTCCTTTGTCTGTTCATCTCTTGGGGTCTTTGTTATCCCTATTTACATAGAGAACTGACAAGCACTGCCCAGAGAAAGGCCTTCTGTATGCGACACCATGGAATTCTTCCTCTTTTAAGTTATTCCAGACGAAGCATTCAAACAGCAATGTGAAGGGGAAGCCAGGAAGAGCAAAAAGATCAGCAATATATTTTTCTGTGCTATTCAAATGAAAAAAGGTTCATCTTACTGCAGTAAAATGGCTCTGTTCCTTTACCTAATCCAGTACTTATTTTAATACTGTGTATTGGAAATTTTGATCACTTTTCAAAGAATTCATTGTATATTATATAACACCGGGAGTACATCTCACCATGACTCACTGCAAAGCTATGGTGGTTACACAAAGTGTTGCCATGCCAGGCTCATCTTTTAAAATGATTTAATCAGATGTGATTTTAATTTAATTTAACTTGATGGAGTGTCATACTTTATTCTGTAGCCACTTCCTGAAAGGTTGGCACTTCCACGTACAGCTTTTCTTCTGAATACAATTAGAGCAAGTACAAGGAGGGGATATAAATACAGACTCCTGGCTGGGTGCAGTGGCTCACACCTGTAATCCCAGCACTTTGGGAGGCTGAGGCAGGAGGATCCCTTGAGGTCAGGAGTTCAAGGCCAGCCTGGGTAACATAGTGAGACCCTGTATCTATTGAAAAAAGTAACAAATAAATAAATACAGGCTCCTGGCTTTGAAGTGAAGGTAGTTCAGCTGAACTGTTCTCACACTCTGTACTGCAGTGTCCCGTCCCAGGCTTCAGTGACATGCCTGCCAGTGGCAATGGCAGGGCTTCAAGCCAGTAAATAAGGCCAGGAGCAGTGGCTCATGCCTATAATCCCAGCACTTGGAGACGCTGAGGTGAGAGGACACTTGAGACCAAGAGTGTGAGACCAGCCCGGCCAATGCAGTGACAGTTAAAAAAAAAAAAAAAAAGATCAGTAAATTAGTCTAAGGCTGCCTTTGTTCCACTTGGTCAGTTATGGAACCTTCCTAAATTTCCTTATCTGAAAAGTGGGGATAGTAATAGTTCTTCTTCCTATCCAAGATACAGTTTAAACATTATAAGAGAAAAATATTTTCAGGATGAAAACAAGAATGTTAAGTATTACCATATTATAATGAATGTTATTTAAAATATAAGAACCAAAAATGACTTATTTTGTCAAATATCTTAAGGTCATAAAAAGAATCAAGGCCTATTACGACTGAATAGGATCTGAGAATCAGCCAAACCAATCCTCTCATTTGACAGAAGAGAAACTGAGGTCATAGCAGGTAATATCCAAGATAAGACTTGTCCAAGATGGCGCTGCTAACTAATGACAGAGCTAGAATGCTAATTGGGGAGTTCCATAAAGAAATCCCCTCAAGAAATCTTTCTACTGCTTCTTCTCCCTATCCAGTGGGTAGAATGTTATTACTAAGTGCAATCAAGTAAGGAATTCCATATTGTTCCCCTTATCATCTTTAATAGAAACTGTTTTTGGCTGATGCCTGTAATTCCAGCACTTTGGGAGGCCGAGGCGTGTGGATCACTTGAGGTCAGGAGTTTGAGACCAGCCTGGCCAACATGGTGAAACCTTTGTCTCTACTACAAAAATACAAAAAATTAGCCAGGCATGGTGGCAGATGCCTGTAATCCCAGCTACTCGGGAGGCTGAGGCAGAAGAATCACTTGAACCTGGGAGGTGGAGGTCGCAGTGAGCCAAGATCATGCCACTACACTCCAGCCTGAGCAACAAGAGCCAAACTTCATCTCAAAAAAAAAAAAAAACTGTTTTCAGAACTCCTCTTTTATTTTATACCTATCGTGAAAATAACTACCATTTTAAATAGGGTAAAATAAAGTTTTCTGACAACAGAATGTGAATTTGTGTAAACTAAAAACATCATATGTCTAAAAGTTTAAAAAGTAAATATCAAAGAGCAGATTTTAATCAAACTGAAGCCTCTTTTGAGTCATACTTGCAATGCAGTCCCATTCTGTATCAGCCAGTGGGGTACTGCAAACATACAGGAGAACGAAGGTCAGCGAGATGAAGTGGAACCAGTTTGACAGAGAATATGCAATCTTGTTTCAACAGACTGATTAATATGAGAATAAATAAATTTGTTAGCCACTAAGAAGGAGGGCTCCGGAAGCTTTGTGATTTAAGAGAAGCACATCACAAAGGGGAATCTACTCCTGTTTTCAATTAACCATTGAAGTGAAGGCATGGGAAACTTTACAGAAATAATGTGGATTTGCAACAAGGAAATTCAATATCAACACTTTGAAGAATCTTATTCATACAAGACTGGGAAAGCAGGCAGCAACTTGGTTTATTTGTGTGAAGCTATGGGAAACTATTTTTTATTTTTATTTGTGTAGAGATGGGGTCTCACTATGTTGCCCAGGCTGATCTTGAACTCCTGGCCTCAAGAGATCTCTCATTGCCTTGGCTTCCCAAAATGCTGGGATTACAGGCATGAGCTATTGTGCCTGGCTAGAAACTGTATTAGTAGATACTTTCCATTGGTTAAGAGCTGAAAAACATAATTAAAAGTAGTGTTAGAGAAGCCACATGCTCGGATGCAGAGCCAACACAATTTGTCTGTCAAACCCAAGGGAGATGGTTTTTGTTTTACCTTTTTCCCCCAATTTCTTTAACTATTATACAACTTTTGCTTTCTTTCATATATTTTCCCCCATATGAAATAGGATTTCATATATATTTAGTTAAATTCTCTCTTATTCTACACACACACACGCACACAAAATAGAAAGTTAATCAAACAGAAAAAAATGGTCAGAAAGTTCTACATGGCAAGGACTTTTCTGTTTTTTTTTTTTTGAGACAGGATCTTCCTTTTTTGCCTAGGGCAGAGTGCAGTGGCACAATGCTGGCTCACTGCAACCTCTGTCTCCTGGGTTCAAGTGATTCTCGTCCCTCAGCCTCCCTAGTAGCTGCGATTACAGGCAGGTGCCAACACACCTGGCAATTTTTTTTTTAGTAGAGATGGAGTTTCACCATGTTGGCTAGGCTGGTCTCGAACTCCTGTCCTCAAATGATTCACCTGCCTTGGCCTCTCAAAGTGCTAGGATTACAGGCATTAGCCACTGTGCCCGGCTATTCTAGGCTTTTTCTTTTCTTTTTTCTTTTATTCTTCTTTTATTTCTTTTTGAGACAGAGTTTTGCTCTTGTTGCCCAGGCTGGAGTGCAATGGCACGATCTCTGCTCACCTCAACCGTCACCTCCCAGGTTCAAGCGATTCTCCTGCCTCAGCCTCTCAAGTGGCTGGGATTACAGGCATGTGCTACCATGCCCAGCTAATTTTGTATTTTTTAGTAGAGGCGGGGTTTTTCCATATTGGTCAGGCTGGTCTCAAACTCGCAATCTCAGGTGATCTGCCCACCTCGGCCTCCCAAAGTGCACGGATTACAGGCGTGACCCTGGCTCTAGTGCTTTTTCTAAGTAGCCATGTTATTTGCCTGTTTCTCTTCCTTTTGTTAAAATAAATCTTTTGGACTTAGCACACCGTGGATAGTGAATAGATATTTCAGAGTCAGAGAACAGTTCACTTTGATTTCACAGATTTTATAGAATATGCAAAGCACAGAGGCTTTACTGCACATCTAGATTTAAACTTGGTAGTCCTGACAATTCTAGAATCTGTGATGTTATACCAGGAAATGAAAGCTAAAACTATCTCATTTTAGCCATTAATTTTAACCTTTTCTCTCACTAACCTTCAAACAAAACCAGTAAGGTGGTGAAAAAAACGTTCAAAGCTTTAAACCTTCCCACTGACCTTACACCCCAAAGATCAAAGTGAAGACTATGCTGTGATTTGCCTAAAAGACAAAAAGATGAGAGATCAAGGCTCTGCATTAGTCATGAAGTGAACATTTGTCTCAAAATCAATCAAAATAGACTTGGCAGGAATATTGAATGAAGCCAACATTTTGCTCTTGTGCAACTGTCACAGATCACATAGTGGCTGCATTTTATATCTCATAGAATGGTGCCTCCAGCAATGTGAGTGAGAGCACTGGTATTTTCCTGACTCATAAGGACAGGAGTGTGCCGCCCGCTGAATCACCCTCCTCATTTCCGGGGGTGCCTGGGTGTTCCAAGACACTCATGGAGGATTAAATTATGGTTGCCATGACAGCTCCCTAAATGCTGTCTTGATAATATCAACAGCTATAGTATCAGTGTTCCCTGAATGCTGACTTATTTTCTCTTCCAAAACCTCAATAATTTTCGTAATCAAAGTTCTTCAATAGCTATGCAAATCTAAGGAATTAGTAAAAATCCTTTTTTTCTTAGATAGGTTGCCATATTAAGATACAACTCATCTCTTTCCATAAGATATATTCTTTTGAGTGAATGGTAATTGACATATGATGTTGTTTGTTGTATTTTTAGAAGGTATGAATAATATCAAAGTTAGAATAAAAATGGAAAGTTCTCACAATTTTTTAAAGTTATGGAAGCTTGTATTTGAGGACACAAATCTGAATTTTTTAAGCATTAGCTGGCATCCTGTGATAGAGGGGGCTGGTTTTACATGTGCCAGTGATTATGCAAATTACCATATGTAAGAACCTGCCTAGGTAAGAGGATGTTCTGTCCCTCTCCCTCTTCCATTCTAATGATTTGAGATATCAGTGAGTAGAGGCAAGGGAAGAAGTTCCTGGCAAACCTGTATTTTTATTTTAAAAAATCTCACTGTTGGGAGGTTGCAATATCTTTTAGGAGCATTACCTTAGAGCATTGAGTACTGAAGGTCACTTGCAGATGTCATAACGAACACCACAAAATGTTCAATGACCTTGATGCTTATTGAAATGTCTTCACTGAATGTTTTGAAACTGGGCAACTCTTGAGCCTTCTTTGCTGCTTTCTGATACAGTGTTCTCCTCTTTTCATTTCACTTTCTCTTAGGATGTTTGCTATTACTTTTTTGCTGAGATGTTCCTGGAATCCTTCTAATTTTAGTTGAACAAACATTTATCAAAGACCTGTTGTGTTCCCAAACTGTTCCTGTTTAGGAAAGCAGTTAATCAAGTGTATTAGTCAGGGTCTTGTCAGAGAGAAGTCCACTCAAATGAATTAAGTGGGAACAGACTTAAAGATAGGCTATTCACAAAGGTGAGGGTAGGTTAAGGGAACTTGTAAGAGACGGTGAATCGGGGAGCATTACAGAGCCTGGAGGGAGCAGGAACCATCTTTATCGTTTATTGTTATGATATGCCATATGCCAGGTTTTGCTCCTGAAACTATTTTCCATGAAATCCCCTTGTAATCTCTTTCTAAAATGAGAACAAGGGCATATTGCAAAAGGGAAACTGTGCCTTGATAGGAATGTGCTGATATATATTATCTCCTTTTATCCTCCCACCCACCTCAATATACCAATCCTATGGATTTTAATACTATAATTTGTTTGGATGTTTTTATCTACTGTACCAGATTATACAAATTTACATAAAGTTTCCTCCACCGATGTACTTACTGTTTGATACTTGCTAGAATTTCCAGTGCAATGTTGACTAGGAGTGGCAAAAGCATGAATTTTTGCCTTGTTCCCGATATTAGGGAAGGACTTTTATTTTTGAATCAAGAAATATTATTTATATCTTAGCTGTGTTTCATATAGAAACATTGTGTGCCCAAATGTGACAAATAGTAAATGTTTTTCATGTAGTCTAAATGATCTCAAATAATAAATTATTTATTGCTGATTTTTATTAATTTTAGGGTCATTTCCTTAGTGCCTGAGTGAAACTAAAATGAGTGTATATTTAATTTAGAGGATAACAGCAGAACAAATTATCAATTAAAATATATCTGAATTATTGATTGGGTGATTACACATTTTAAATTTGAAGGCCAATTACTAAATTTTCTTCTATTAGGCAGCCAGGGCTACATAATTTTGGAAAAAAGCTCTAGGTGGCAATCTGTCTCTTAGCCCTTTACTATGTTGAAGTCAAAAGAAAATAGAGATGAATCTCTAGGCATTTTATTTGGGAATCACAGAATTGTAATTCAGAGCATACACAGATTACAGAGGTTTTCCAGAGGCCCAAAGGACAATCCCAAAGTCAATTTTAGGTTAAAAAAACTTTTAAATTAGAATTTGGTTTTGGGAAAGTGGCAAAGATGTTAAAGGCTTAAAATATTTAATTAAAGTAGAATTGCATGCCATTGAGAAATAATAGCCATTTATTTAATCAGAGTGATAAATGAAAGACTTCAAAAGCAAATACAAGAAGTAACATAGGCCAGGCATGGTGGGTCATGCCTGTAATCCCAGCACTTTGGGAGGCCGAGGTAGGCGGATCGCTTAAGCTCAGGAGTTTGAGACCAGCCTTTGCAACATGGCAAAACCTCATCTCTACAAAAAATACAAAACTCAGCTGAGAGTGGTGACATGTACCTGTAGTTCCCAGCTACTTGGGAGGCTGAGGTGGAGGATTGCTTGAGCCTGGGAAGTTGAGGCTGCTATGAACTGAGATCACCCTGCTGCACTTTAGCCTGGGCAACAGAAGACGACCCTGCCTCAAAAATAAATAAAACTGGCCAGGTGTGGTGACTCACGCCTGTAATCCCAGCACTTTGGGAGGCTGAGGTGGGTGGATCACCTGAAGTCAGGAGTTTGAGACCAGCCTGGCCAACATGGTGAAACCCTGTCTCTACTAAAAATACAAAAATTAGCTGGGTGGTACGTGCCTGTAATCTCTGCTACTTGGGAGGCTGAGGCAGGAGAATTGCTTGAACCCAGGAAGTGGAGGCTGCAGTGAGCCAAGATCGTGCCACTAAACTCCAGCCTGGGCGACAGAGCAAGACTCTGTCTCAAAAAAATAAAAAAATTGGCCAGGCATGGTGGCTCACACCTGTAATCCTAGCACTTTGGGAGGCCAAGGCGGGCGGATTGCGAGGTCAGGAGATCGAGACCATCCTGGCTAACATGGTGAGACCCCATCTCTACCAAAAATACAAAAAATTAGCCGGGCGTGGTGGCAGGTGCCTGTAGTCCCAGCTTGGGAGGCTGAGGCAGGAGAATGGCGAGAACCCGGGAGGTGGAGCTTGCAGTGAGCCGAGATCGTGCCATGCACTCCAGCCTGGGTGACAGAGCGAGAGTCTGTCTCAAAAAAAAAATAAAAATAAAAATAAATTAAAAAAAAAAAACCAACCAAAAAAATCCAAAATCAAAACTCCGTTGAGACAGAGAGAAAAAAAATAAACTTGGCTCTGTATTGAGATAACTTTTTCCAAGTAGTCAAAAACCTAATAAAAACAGGAAAAGCACAAGAAACTACCTTAAAATATAACTTATCTGTTTTTTTAGGCTGATTATTTAAGAGGTAAAGAGAAACCTCTTGTGGCTGGGTGTGGTGACTCTGGCCTGAAATCCTAGCACTTTGAGAGGCCAAGGCAGGCAGGTCACTTGAGGCCAGGAGTTTGAGACCAGCCTGGCCAACATAGTGAAACCCCGTCTCTACTAGCCGGGTGTGGTGGCTAGTGCCTGTAATCCCAGCTACTTGGGAGCCTGAAGCACGAGAATCGCTTGAACCCAGAAGGCGGAGGTTGCAGTGAGCCGAAATCGCACCAGTTCACTCCAACCTGAGCAACAGAACGCGACACTGTCTCAAAAACAGAACAAAACAAAACAAAACACTCTGTCTCAAAAAAAAACAAAAAAAAAGAAAGAAAAAAAAAGAAAAACCTCTTGTAGTACGACTGTTTCTCTTTCTAGGATGCCTGTTTGAATTACCTGGAAGTCAAACTTCATGAAAAGGTACTAGCATTTAATTAAACACTGGAAGAGTATGTGACTAAGGTTATGAATATACACCACGTTATAGAAGAGTAATGTAAACAAGAAACCTGTACCTTGCGCAGGAGGATGTATGACTGTAAATTTGCCTGGTTACACAGAACAACTTTGACACACCAAGAAAAGCCAGGAGTACAGAATCAAGTTATACCAGAGGAAGCATTGTTCTCTCAGGCCTTTAAGACAAACATGTACCAACACACAACAGCACAGTCAGAAATGAGAAAAAAAAAAAAAAAGCTACGGAAATTGGCAAAAACGTTGAGAAAGAAAGCCACTGAGATATTACACAGAGCTGGTCATTATCTTACTTTTTCTGTTAAAGAAAAACCCTTAAAAGTTAAATTGTTGTGCTTGGTATACAGGGAACAATGGACACTGCATTGTACTCTCATCTGTACATTTATTTTGCGGTGAAACTCATACTTTTATGATCTTAAAGCAGCTAGCAAGGACAAATATAATCTTGTCTGACCAGCAAATCAAGCCACTCCGTACCCCCAAATGTGTGCTAACAATTTTGAAGACATTTTTATTTTTATTTTATCAACAAATTTAAAATTAGCTTATTATCAAAGATTTACTTAAGTCCTGTGAACTAAAAAAATTTTAGTTATTATATTTTTTAACAAAATATTAGATTTGAGCACTTAATTTTTCCTTTTAAGTCAAATAATTAGGGTTCTTTAATATATTTTGGTAGAAAATAATCTTAAGTCAAATAATTAGAGCTCTTTTATATATTCTGGTAGAAAATGATCATATGCATATAGAAATAAAAAACCCATAAAAACATACAAACAAAAACAAAGACCATATAGTTTTTTGTTTGGGTTTGTTTTGTTTTTGAGACTGGGTCTTGCTCTATTGCCCAGGCTGCAGTGCAGTGGTACAAACATAGTTCACTCTAGCCTTGACATTCTGGGCTCAAATGATCCTCTTGCCTTAGTCTCCCATGTAGCTGGGACCACCACACCCAGCTATCTTTTTTTTTTTTTTTGTAGAGACGAGATCTCACTGTGTTGCCCAGGCTGGCACATAGTTTTTATTAAAAGTTTATTCTTGAGTAAAGCATAGTAACCTAAATTTGCTGGTTTATAAGAAGACAATTGGATTCAAACCATATTTCTGACAACATAAGGCTAAACTTTGAGTGTCTTTTTTTTTTTGAGACAGAATCTCACTCTGTCGCTCAGGCTGGAGTGCAGTAGCACGATCTCAGCTCACTGCAACCTCTGCCTGCTGGGCTCAAACTATCCTCCCGCCTCAGGACCCTAGGTAGCTGGGACTACAGGTACTTGCCACCAAGCCTGGCTAATTTTTTTTTTTTTTTTTTTTTTGTAGAGACAGGGCCATGTTGCCCCAGGCTGCTCTTGAACTTCTGACCTCAAGCAATCCACCTGCCTAGGCTTCCCAAAGTGCTAGGATTACAGGCACGAGCCACTGTGCCTGGCCTTTGTTTCTTTAATAAGTAATCTTAAAAAGGCTGGGAAACAAATTTTGGGTAAAGCAGTTTGAGTCATTACCAATATACTGGATTGGACAAAAAAGGGCTGTGAAAAATATGACAATTATGTGAGGAGCCCCAAAAGATAAGAGTTATTATTTTTATATTTATTTATTTTTGAGACAGGGTCTTGCAACAGAAAAAAATCTGTTGCCAGGGCTGGAGAGCAATGGTGTGATCACTGCTCACAGCAGCCTCGACCTTCTGGGCTCAAGCGATCCTCCTACCTCAGCAACTCAGCCTCTCAAGTAGCCAGGACTACAGGCCCGTGCTACCACGCCCAGCTTTTTTTTTTTTTTTTTTTTTTTTTGAGACGGAGTCTAGCTGTGTTGCCCAGGCTGGAGTGCAGTGGTGCGATCTCAGCTCACTGCAACCTCCACCTCCTGGGTTCAAGCAATTCTCTTGCCTCAGCCTCCCAAGTAGCTGGGATTTTTTGTTTTGTTTTGTTTTGTTTTTTAAGTAGTAGAGATAAAGTCTCACTATGTTGTCCAGGCTGGTTTCAAACTCCTGAGCTCCAGCGATCTTCCCGCCTCAGACTCCCAAAGTGCTGGGATTACAGGTGTGAGTCACCACACCCTGCAAGAGCTATTCTAACGAGCTTTATACAATATTTTCTTGGTTTCTATTACTTATTCTTGAGACTAAGAGTGCTGCCTTTCCTTCTAGTATAGGGAAGGTGTCTTTTACATGGAAATTTCATCTTTTGCCTTTAAGAAACAGCATTAAGGCCAGAATAACTATAGAAATACTATGAAAACTAAAGTTTTGGCTGGTTCAGTGGCTCATGCCTGTAATCTCAGCACTTTGAGTTTGAGGCAGGTGGATCATCTGAGGCCAGAAGTT
The DNA here is from genome assembly GCF_000001405.40 of Homo sapiens. Taxonomy (NCBI): domain Eukaryota; kingdom Metazoa; phylum Chordata; class Mammalia; order Primates; family Hominidae; genus Homo; species Homo sapiens. The sequence continues at coordinate 31,934,875 of NC_000010.11, read as the reverse complement.
CAAGACCAGCCTGGCCAACACAGAGAAACCCTGTGTCTACTAAAAATACAAAAATTAGCCAGGTGTGGTGGTGCACGCCTGTAATCCCGACTACTTGAGAGGCTGAGACACGAGAATTGCTTGAATCTGGGAGGTGGAGGTTGCGGTGAGCCGAATTGCACCACTGCATTTCAGCTTACACGATGGAGAGAGACTCCTCCATCTCAAAAAAAAACCCTACAGTTTTAATAGTAACTATTAAGAATATATTTTCTTTTTTAAATTTTTTTTTGAGATGGAGTCTCACACTGTTGCCCTGGCTGGTGTGCAGTGGCGTGATCTCGGCTCACTGCAACCTCCGCCTCCCGGGTTCAAGCGATTCTCCTGCCTCAGCCTCCCAAATAGCTAGGATTACAGGGGCCCACCATCACACCTGGCTAATTTTTTGTATCTTTAGTAGAGACAGGGTTTCACTATGCTGGCTAGGCTGTTCTCGAACTCCTGACTTCGTGATCTGCCTGCCTTGGCCTCCCAAAGTGCTGGCATTACAGGCGTGAGCCACTGTGCCCGGCCAAGAATAGATTCTTATTAATCAGTATGCCAGAATAGTTGAGGAGTTTTGGAAAAAGAGAGTTTAGCATAGAGAAGGATAAAGGGGAGGAGGAGGAAGGGGATGGAAAGGTTTTGGGGAAGAATGAGTCCCAGGTAGCTTTGTGACAGTACTTTGCAGTGAGGCAATCTTTGAGTCTTGAATGTGAGTCTTTGAGCCTCAAGATACCAATTGAGATATCTGTCCTATTTGGACTGTATGATTTCATAGATGTGGCCCTTTACTTTAGTTTTAAGAAAAACGGACTTTTTTAATGATCCCTATAATGTTTGAACACGTCAGCTGGAGTCTCAGAAGGGGGAATTATTTTGGCATGCCTTTGAACTTTGAGAGCCCATTTGTAAATAAATTTAGCTGACTTGGTTTAATGACAAATACACAAAAACTTATATATATATATATATATATATATATATATATATATGAGATGGGGTCTCACTATGCTGCCCAGCTGGTCTTGAACTCCTGGGCTCAAATGATCGGCCTGCCTCAGCCTCCTAAAGTGCTGGGATTACGGGCATGAGCCATGGCGCCTGGCCACAAAAACCAATTTAAAATCCAAGTGTGCAAATGAATCAGAAAATAAAGTATGTACTCCCCAAGAGGGATAATAAGCCTTCTTTAACAAAAGAGAGAAAAAAATCCCTTTTAAACAGGAGTCCTCATAACCAGGAAGAAAAACGTATTCATCTTAACCAAGTCTATAGCAAGGAGGGAGAAAGTTCCCCTAAACAGAAGATTTCATAGCTGGTAGCGGGGAAGGATGCCTCCCAACCAATTCCCAAATAAAACTGAACTAAACCAAAAGAAAAAATATGAGTTCAAGCCAACAGAGACTCACCATGGGGAAAAGAGGTGGCTCGTAGAAGTTTGGGGGCTCAAGAGGCCTGAATTTGGGTACTTCATGCCACATTCCAGGTGCTAATTCTCCAAGGTGAGCCTGCTTTGGATCCCACTTCTGACTTCAAGTATGTAGAAATCAAAATAAAATATAGAGATGAATCTCTAAACATCTTATTTGGGAATCACAGAATTGGAATTTGGGATATATATATATATATATATATATATATATATATGCACATACAGGTGGTCTTTGGTATGCTCAAAGAACAAAAAGAAGGTTGGTAGTTTATTAGAAGGAGAAATGTTATGTTTTGTTTTAAAAGAAAGCTCACTGCTACTGGAGAAGCTTTGGGGAGCTGGCAAACTCTGATTGCTGAAGACAGCAGTAGGTAACACTAGTCTATGAGTCACAGTAGGTCATTTCAGCAGCTACTAGGTAAAACTATTCTTATGGTTACAGCAGGCTGTTTTAGCAGCTGGGCTTGCAGAAAATTTAATTTTTGGAGCTGGTGCTATGTGCCCTGAGTGATTTTTCCCCCCACTCCTGGACTCTTTGAGTTAGTTGGGTATGACAAGAATGTCCTAATTTGTATAATCAACTATTACAAGTACTAATTATTATTATTATTTTTTGAAACAGGGTCTCCCTCTGTTACCCAGGCTGGAGTGCAATGGCACCATCTTGGCTCACTGCAACCTCTGCCTCTCGGGTTCAAGCAATCCTCCTGCCTCAGCCTCCTGAGTAGCTGGGACTACAGGCGTGCACCACTATGTCCAGCTAATTTTTTGTATTTTTAGTACAGATGGGGTTTCACCATGTTGGCCAGACTGGTCTTGAACTCCTGACCTCAGGTGACCCACTTGCCTAAGCCTCCCAAAGTGCTGGGATTGCAGGTGTGAGTCACCACACCTGACCACAAGTACTAATATTTGTCTTTAATAATAGTTAAAACTGATCATATGAATTTATATAGTGAAAGCAGTGAGATTTCACAAGAAAATATTAATAAATCTCCTAAAACCCTTAAAGATGTGTTATGCAAATCTGACTGCTATTGTACTCATTATTCTCTTTGAGATTTCTGGAAATTAAGCCCACAAATAAATATAATCAAATACTGAAACATATCAGACAAAATCATTTACAGGGCATCTGTGTAACCCATGGAAACAAGAAGCAGTTGATATTACAAAATGGGTGAGTGAACAGATACACGAGAAACATATGCCTTTAGCGTTTTTCCCAAAATATATTTTGTTGACCTTAATTAACAGACAAATGATCCATGAAATTCTAATTTTATTGTTTAAAATGGAGGATCCAATTTGTTAAAACTTGTTCAAGGAAGGCTCTACTAAACTTGAAGAAAAATAGAGTACTTCTGAAAATTTATATACATTTGATAAAATGTATACTAAGCCTCAAAATAAATGTACCTGGATTTTAAATTATTACGGTAAGAAACAGACATCATTCAATCTGAACAAAAACTCTGAGGTTTTCAAAAGTTTGCCTATGAGCACTAGCTTACCTGATTTTATTTATTTATTTATTTATTTATTTATTTGAGACATGGTCTCACTCTGTTACTCAGGCTGGAGTGCAGTGTCACAATCTTGACTAACTGCAACCTCCACCTCCTGGGTTGAAGTGATCCTCCTACTTCAGCCTCTGGAGTAGCTGAGACCACAGGCACACACCACCATGCCTGGCTATTTTTTTTTTTTTGTATTTTCATTAGAGATGGGGTCTTGCCATGTTGCCCAGGTTGGTCTTGAATTCCTGAGCTCAAGCAATCTGCCCGCCTCAGCCTCCCAAAGTGCTGGGATTATAGGCATGAGCCACTGCACCCAGCCTCCTTGATATGTTTATTTTACTCAGGTAAACTTTTATAAAACAGAAGAAGCCTGAATGTTTTAATAACAACAACAACAACAAAAAGATGCCAGAAAAATTTTAAACATTTTCACTATTTGAATAGATAAAACATTCTGAAATTTTGAATATCAAAAAGTTTAAATATGAATACAATGAAGTCTATTTCTTATGCTTTCCATCTACTGTGTTCTCATACCTCATGTTACTTTGTCCTAGTTTAATGCATATACAATTTAATACAATATTCTGTACCGTATTTCTGTGTTTTTCACTTAACAAAAAAATCTTGGAGATCTTAATGTTAAAACAAAGAACTTTCTGTTTTTTTGATTAACAGCTGCACAATGTTCAAACATATGGCTCTATCATAATTTAACTAGTATCCTGTTGATAGATACTTAGCTTGTTTCCAATCTTTTGCTATTCTCAACAATAAGAAACACCTTGTTATTTCTTATGTGTGGAAACATCTGTGGCATAAATCCCTGGAAATGAAATTCAAGGCTCCGAGTATATATGCATTTGTAATTTTAATACATACTGCCAAATTCCTGTTTCTTTATAGCCCAGCCAAAGTAGTGATGCCAGATATAATTTTGTTTTTTCATTTAAAAATATATAATGAAAAGTAGGTTACTTATTAAAGAACTAGGAAGAAAGTAGGACAAGTTTATGCAAAGTACAGACTACATTTTCACCTAAAAATACATTTAACAGGAATCTATTGTGCATCTACCGTATGCCAAGTGCTTTTAGGCACTTGGGATATACACACAAACAAATCAGACTCAAATCTCTGCCTGTGTGTGGAGCTTATATTTCAGTTCTACATTTTGGAACTCTCTGCTACTTCATAAGAAGCCAGTTAAATGTCAAAATCCTGAAAATGATCTGTTGAAATCCTGAGCACAGGCGCCAGACATATGCTACAAGTGTTATTTAAAAACTAACTAGAGGCAGTGTTACATATGATCATAGCTCTCCATCAGGTTCTTTTAAAACAACACACTAGCGAGAAAGCTCTTTTTATCCGCCTCCATCTGCTGTTGGTGGTGATCAGCATACTGTGGGCATTGTGGTATCATCCGAGATTAGGCTGTGAAATAGGAAGTGGGGTTACAGGCAGATCCGCAAGTGTATGCAAACTGTTGAGTTCTATCTCTTGCTAAAACCAAGGGTGCCCAATTCAGGTTTGGAGAGTAGGGAAAGTAAGGTTATCAGCGCATTCCTATCAGGGTCGTTTTCTTTTTTGCACTGCTCTTGTTCTGGTTTTATAAGGAGAACACAAGCAGAGTCTATGGAAAATAGTTGCCAAAGCATACAGGAAATACTCCTTATACTGAACAAATGCAAGAAAACAGAACGGGTTAGAAACCGAGGGAGACAAAAAGGCAGTGGGTGCCAAGGACTGTGAAAAGCAAATGCAACGATAGAGACAGCACAGTCTCAGGCTTATTTTTCAAAAATTCTCATTGTAAGCCTCTTTCCTTTCTAAATGGAGACTATCTTAACACTTTAGCTCGCATTAGACTTAATTTAATAAGAAGGTTGTAAACCACAGCTGTTAAAGTCTTGCCACTGCCCTACCGGATTCTTCGCATCCTGTAAGGCACAATTCGGAGTTCAGCTGGTTGATAAGGAAGCCAGGCATTGTGGCATCTTCAAGTACGAAGTGAAGCACAGGAAAGAGCCAACTCCGGAGAGTAGCTCTTCATTGCTTGAATCATACATATGCTTGTTTTTTCCCCCCTCTCCTTTCTGGTCTCTATTATTAACAAATATTTCATCCTGGCACAACAGGCACAATCAACAACTGGTTAAGGAATGAGTAGTTACTGAAGTCCCAACGCCTCTCAGTTATTTTTCTCACACTCACTGTATTCTAGACCTAGAAGCCAGCTCTCATTTGAAAGCTGAGGTTCAGAAGGGTGAAGTGCCAATAAATGGCAGAAGCCAGGTCTCTTTCCTGATTCCCATTCCAGCTGAGCTCCTCCTGCCACTGGATCACCATCAAAGACCTGCCAAAGCTGTTACTTCCGGGTTCGGTGCTGCCACAGTGCAAACGGGGATGACTTTGGACAATGACCCTGTGGCCCCCGCAGGGCTCGCACCCTCAGGCCCGTGGAAGGCTAAATGCTGACGGACTGGTTCTGCCCTGGAGCGGCTCTCCGCGTCCCAGGGGTCTCCTCAGTCCCGAGTGTGCACAGCGGGTCCTGCCACGTACCCTGGCGACCCCAGCAATGGACTCAGTGCCCCGGGTCCCTTTCCGTCTCCCTCAGGCGGCGTGCAGCACTTTTTCGGGTGTCCCAGTGGAATTTCCGGGCCCGTGAACGACTGACCCACGCCCGGCCGCAGCTCCAGGGGCCGACGAAGGGAGCGCTAGGGCCCACGGCAGGGCCGTCTTTGCCCGGGCTCCATTCCTGCCACCCTGGCGCTATGTCCGCCCTTCCCTGGTTTTCCCTACGAGCGTTTTTTTAACGCTTCCCACTCCTTGTTTACAAAGTGCTGAGCCCCCTTGACCGCAGGCTCCCGCGCCGGCCCGAGTTCCCACACCGTACGCTGGCTGCCCCCTATTCGGATCCCCGCCGGGCGCCGCACCCCCTAGCCACCCCAGACCGTCCCGGAGACCCGCGCCCGCCCAGCTCGCCCGGGCCATCACGTGAGCCTCCCGCCCCGCCCCCGCGCGTCACGTGAGCCCCGCCCCCGCGCCGGCGCGCTCCGACGTGCCCTGTAACTTACCCTCCCTCAGAGGCCAGCCTGCGGGGACGGGCCGGCCGCGGCCGTAGCCGTGTGAACGCTCTTCGGGCTCGCGTCGTCGACCCGCAGCCGCGGGGCGGACTAAGAAGGGAGCCGCCTGCTGCGAGGCCGCCGGGCTCCCGGTGAGGTGCAGGGCGCGGGTCCTGGCGGACGGAGGGCAGGTTGGCGAGGCGCTGCACAAAGGCGCGCCGGGGCCGGGCTGTGCCCGCCGAGGGCGGTGGAGTCGGGGGGAGGCGTGTGCGGGAGGCGCGGCGGCGGCGGCGGCGGCGCCGCGGAGGTGCGCGCAAAGGGAGGTCGGGCGCGCAGCGAGGGGCTCTGGGCGCGGGGGTTAGGCGCCGAGGGGGAGGGGGCCGGCGCAGCCTATTGGCTGACGTGGGCGAGAGGGTTTAAATGGCCCGAAGTTGTGGCTTCTCTGCCCCCTGGGTTTCCTGACTTCCTGTGTGAGGGCAGCGCCCGCCCGCCCCGCCCCCAGGGAGGAGAGTGTGAGGGTGCGCGGGTGTGTGTGTGAGTGCGGGAGAGTGCGCGCGTGTGTGCACAAGGCGGGTGTGTGCGTGTCTATGTGCAAAAGGCGGGTGTGTGCGCGCGCGTGTGTCTGCAAAAGGCGGGTGTGTGTGTGTGTGTGTGTGTGTGCGCAAAAGGCCGGCCCGGCCCCTCCCGCGCCCTGGGCCCACTCCCTAATCGCGGTGGGGCTTGCAGGCCTCCACCCACCCGGGGAGCCCACCCGGGGAATCCACCTGGGGCGTCCCTCGAGGACTGTTGACCTTAAACCGGACACTTTCTTCTTTGCGGTCTTTCCCGGTGCCCTGCCCCTGCTGGATGGACGTGCATTCGCTCCCCTCCAGCTTATCTGGGCGGAATCTCCTCAAAGTCCTTGAATTGAAAAATCCTCTTTACCAGCGTGCAGCCCGCCTCCCATCTCAGGGGAGCTGGTTGTCTTCTCAGAACGGCTGTCCTTTACGCGTTGCTATCTTAAGTGACTGCAGACCCTTTGAGAAGAAATGGCCACACGGTCTTCGTTAGAGAAAAAGGCACGCCCTTCAGCTTTCGAGGCGTGTGATGTTTTCCTTTTGACTGCAGCTGCAGTTTTGTAAATGTATTTTCAAAGGCTAAAGCACGACGTTGAAAGTACACCTTTATCGAAAGTTTTAATGTCATCCCAAGTGGAGTGTTTGTTGTGGATAGAGGCTTTTAGCACTCTAATAACACGATTGGTTGTGGCTGGCTTTTGGGTTAATCATGACATTGAGAAGTAGATTTTATCGACTATTTAGGCATGCGTTCCTAAAGGGAGGTGGTGGAGGAAGGAAGGCTCACTCGGGTTCTGATTCAGGTTCTGCCACCCGACTTCTAGAGGTTAGACCTTGGGAGACTCCGGGTGTTTCAATGGAAGTGTTAAAAATAAGTATCTAGCCCCTAGCCACGCCTCTTTCATACTTAAAAGTCGGGAACGATGGCCTAGATGTGTGTGTACTTGCCCATATCGCCTTTTCTTTATCTGTAGGAGGGTGTTTTACAGAATCGGTCATCTTCCTCTACCTCCTCTGGTCTGAATAGGCATTTTGGCTATTTTTATTTTGCCTTGGAAACGTTTCAGAGCTGGGTTTTGAGAGCCCAAAGCAGGCAGTGAAAGCGTGACCCCCACCCATGCCACCTGACGAGCCAGACCGTCTGCGCACATATGTGCGACCCCTGGTTGCATGCGGCTCCACTGTTCTAAAAGTGTTTCTCTGTGGGGGAAAAAGAAACCCCAGAAGTGTAATATAATGTGTGTATGTATATTTATGCGCCAATATTTGTTGATAGATTTCTGTTCGTACTTCATCAAGCTGGAGAAGACTGATGACTCATTGATTGTTAAGATAATGCCGTCTGTATAGTTAGTTATATATATATTAGTTGTTCATATATAATTATCAATACATTGCATCTCTTTCGGTTTTATATTTGCTAATACCAGTTGTTTCGAGGTGCAAATGAAAATAGATTAAGTGCTGTAGAAAAACAGCATGTTACTTGTAGTTAATCATTTGACTTTTCTTTAATTAGAAAGAATCTGCTCAGTGGTTTTTTAGTAGGCTGATAGAAAGTGAACTTTACAAATTTTTAAGTACTCTACGTAAGTGATATTACTGAAAATAATACGGGTGATTAAAATTTTTAAATGGAGTAAAAACTAAATAGTGGTGATCTGTTTAACCATTAAACAGTAGTACTAATATTTTACTTACCTGAGAAAATGGGCATCACAGTTTTACAATAAATCATGGGAGAGAAAAGTGAAATTAAACTTTTGTCCTGTATTTAACAATTTTGGCTAGAATTGCAAATATGCACTATTTTGTAGTATGAATCAGATGTGAAAGGTGTCGTAGTACGACATAGCATCACTGTACTTCAAATCGGGCTTTTCAGATTACCTCTTTTGAGGAACCTATTGGGCCACTATCCTTGTGGTTTTTTTTTTTTTTCTTCAGTTAGCTGGCCCCGGCTCATTGGTATATGGCTTTGCTGTGATTCAGCCATTTCCCTATTACTTTCATTGACTTCATGGACTTAATGAATATTCTGCAGTTTCGTTTTGTAATTGATTAGCTCTTTAATTGAACTGAACTGCCAAATGGTGTAGTCTCTAAGCCTCCTTCCCCTGTTGATAATCTAGTGCTTCTCAAATTTTAACGTGCATAGGAATCACCTGCACTTCTAATATCCACTTGGTCATATGGATGCTGTTCTGCCAGACCACAGACCACTGCTGTCCAATAGAAATGTAATGCCTATATAAATTACTTGTGCTTAAAGTTTCTAGTATTCACATTATAAAAAGTAAGCACGTGGAAAAAAAGTGAAATAAATGAATATATTTTACTTAGTATATTCACAATATCATTTTAACATGTAATAGGAAAATTATTAATGAGATATTTTATGTTCTTTACATTGGACCAGGTTTTTTGAAATATCAAGTGTGTTTTACACTTAGAGCATTTCTCAATTTGCATTAGGCACATTTGACTAGTGACTGCTGTATCGAACAACAGTTTTGGAGTCTAAAAGTGTAGACCAATGTTACTCTTAGTGTATTTTCAGATTGGCCTCATCAGCAATCCTTGAGAATGTAAATTTTAGGGCCCCACCTCATACCGGTTGTTGTTAGAATATCTAGGGCTAGAGCCTGTAATCTGTGGTTTGAAAACGCTCTGGGATATGGCTATACAATGTATATGTGGTATTCTGGATGGGACCCTGGAACAGAAAAAGGACATTAGGAGAATACTAAGGAAATCTGAATGAAGTGTGGAAATTGTTATGTGTCAGTGTTGGTTGATTGAATATGACAAATGTACCATACTAACATAAGTTGTTAATAGGGATAACTGGGTCCAGAGTACATGGGAACTCTGTGGACTATCTTTGCAGTAATTATGTAAATCTAAAACTCTTTTAAAATAAGAAGTTTATTTTTAGAAAAGTTCTTCAGATTATTCCATTGCTCACTAAAAGTTTGAGAATCCAGTGATCTAGATTATTAATCACTTGTACTGCTACAGCTTGTTTGGGCAGGATGGTGGCCAGTATTGGGTCTGGTAGGATGATGATAATAGTTTTTTTGTAGTAAGACCTAAAACTTTTAAAGCACTTGCCATGCTCCATGCACTATTTCAAGTGCCTTACACACATTTACTTAATTCTCCCAGTATGCAGTATGTACTACTAATAAGCTGCACTTTGCAGATGGAAAAAACTGAAGCCCAGAGAGGTTAAATGACTTGTCCAGAGTCACACAGCGAGAGACAGAGACAGGATGTTTTATAAATTATCAGTGCGTTTGTGACTATTTTTCTACTCTCACAACTTTTGCTTCCTTGAGTAAGCACTGATTAATGTAGATACTCTGTGACGTCTGAAAGTTACAAAGTTTTTTTTCTTTCTTCTCACAAACATCTTTTGAGGTTTGTATTGTTTGCTTTGTTTTACAGGCAAGTTAAGGTGCCTAGGGTCCTGAGAGCTGATAAATGGTAAAGCCTAGATTTAAAATTTAGACCTCTGACTCCAAGTTCTGTGCTCTTTTCCTTCCCCACAGCAGAATTCAGAATATGTTATGAGGTTAGAGTGACATCTTTTAAAGTTGGCTGAAAATTTCCTATATTTTGCTACATAATATATATTTTTAAATTTCAGTTTTATTAAAGTGTAATGTACATACATAAAATAAACTAACATTCAACAATAAAAAAGAATGATCTATGGAGACAACATGAGTGAATCTCAAAAGCATTAATCTAAGTGAAACATGTCAGACACAGAAGGCTACATACTATATGATTTGTATTTCTCTATTACAGCTTTTGCTTCCTTGAGTAAGCAGTGATTAATGTGATACCATCTATCATGCTTTATATCTAAGTGCTTTTTTTCGTGTTTTCTCTTTCCGTTCTTACAAGGATCTTTTGAGGTTTGTACTGTTTCCTATTTTAGAGATGGATTGTACCACAGTTTGTATTCACAAGTTCATAGGCCTTTGAGTTTTCAATTTCTGGCCATTATGAATGTTCATGTAAGGCCTTTGTGTGGACTTATGTTTTCATTTCTCTTGGGTAAATACCTAGAAGAGGGATTGCTGGATCATGTAGTAAGCGTATGTTTAACTTTATTAGAAATTACCAAATTATTTTCCGCAGTGGTTGTACCATTTTGCATTTCCACCAGCAATGAAGAGAATTCCAGTTGCTGGTATCTTTACCATACAAAACATTCTGTGTTTTTGAAAGCCATCCAGTAGGTGAGTAGTGATACCTGGTTGTTTTAATTTGCATCATTAGGGTTTTAACAGTTTTTTTAAAAAAATACAGTTTTGAGGTATAATTGCTGTATAACAAGCTGCACATATTTTTTAAGTGTACAATTTGAAGAGTTTTGACATATGTATATACCTGTGAAGCCACTACCATTTTCAAGATAATGAACATTTCTTTCACCCATCAAAAATTTCCTTGAGCTCCTATGTGATTCATTCCCCATGTCCCTTGGCAACTATTGCTCTGCTTTCTGTCACTATCAATTAGTTTGATTCTAGGAAATCAATTTTCTAGAATTTTATGCAGATGGACTCGTGTACTATGGATTCTGGTCTGGATTTTTCTTCACTCAAGAAAATTATTTTGAGATTCACCCAGTTTGCTGTGTGTATCAACAGTTCGTTCCTTTTTATTGCTGAGTGATATTCCATTGTGTGGATATACCACAATTAGTTTATTCAATTGTTGATTGACTTGCGAGTTTCTCTTTGTTACAGATGAAACTACTGTCTTTGTGTCTACATATGCTTTAATTTTTGTTGGTAAATACCTAAGAGGAAAATCCCTGAATCATGTGGTAGATGCATATTTAACATTTTAAGCATCTGCCAAACTTATTTCAAATGCTGGTTCAGTTTTACATCCTCACCAGCTTTGTGTGTGAGTTCCACTGGCCCTGCATTCTCAAAAACACTGGTATGACCTGACTTAGCCATTCTGTGAGATGTGTGGTGACATTTCTTTCTTTTTGGTTTTAATTTGCATTTTCCTGATGGCTAAAGATGTTGGGCATATTTTCATGAGCCTATTTACCATCTATAGATCTTTGGACAAGTCTGTTTAAATATTTTGCCTGTTTTTTTTTTTTTTTTTTTTCCTGTTAGGGTCTTGCTCTGTCACCCCAGGCTGCAGTACAGTGGCATGTTCACAGTTCACTGCAGTCGCGAACTCCCAGGCTCAAACAGGCTTCCCACTTTAGCCTCCCAAGTAGCCGTGACTACAGGTGTGTGGCACCATGCCCAGCTAATTTTGTAAACTTTTTTTGTAGAGACGGGTTCGTGCTATGTTGTCCAGGTTGGTTTTGAACTCCTGACCTCAAGTGATCCTCTTGTCTCGACTTCCTAAAACACTGGAATTACAGGTGTGAGCTACCTTGCCTAACCTATGATTTTTTTCTTTTTTATAATGTCTTTGGTTTTGGTGGAATGGAGTTGGGATGTTTTCTCTCTGCTTCAACTTTTTTTTGAGAGATTTATGTAGAATTGGTAGTAACTTCTTTACGTTTTTGGTAAAATTCACCAGTGAAGCCGCCTGGGCCAGTTTTCTTTGTGGGAAGCTTTTAAAGACAAATTCTGTTTATTTAATAGATATAGGAGTATTCAGGTTATCTGTTTATTCTTTAGCAAGCTTTGGTTATTTGTATCTTTCAAGAAATTTGTTAGAAGGGCATGGTAGCATGCACCTGTAGTCCCAGCTATTCAGGAGGCTGAGGCTAGGAGGATTGCTTGAGCCCAGGAATTAGAGGCTGCAGTGAGCTATGATTATGCTTCTGCACTCCAGCCTGGGCAACAGAGCAAGACCCTGTCTCTTAAAAAAAAAAAAAAAATTTGTCTACTTCATGTGGATTGTTGAGTTTGTTGGCATAAAGTTGTTCATAATATTTTCTATTTTCCTTTTGATGTCTTCAGGATCTGTAGTTATGTCTCTGGTTACCTTTTTGATAATTTGTTTCTTTTCTCTTTTGTTCCCATTAGTTTGGCTAGAGGATTGTCAGTTTTACTGATCTGTGCTTTTTTTTTTTTTTTTTTTTTTTTTTTTTTTTTTTTTTGAGGCAGGGTCTTGCTCTGTCTCCCAGGCTGGAGTGCAATGGCATGATCTCAGCTCGCTGCAGCCTTTGCCTCCTGGACACAAGCCTCAGCCTCCTGAGTAGCTGGGACCACAGGCACATGCCAACCACACCCGGCTAATTTTTTGTATTTTTGGTAGATATGGGGTTTCACCACGTTGCCCAGGGTGGCATTGAACTTCTAAGCTCAGATGATCTGCCTGCCTTGGCTTCCCAAAGTGCTGGGATTATAGGTGTGAGCCATTGCACCTGGACAGTTTTACTGCTCTTAAAGAACCAGGCTCTGGTTTCATTGATTTTTCTCTAACATTTTTCTGTTTTCTTTTTATTGCTTTCTGCTCTCATCTTTTTCATATCTTTTCTTCTACAAACTTTTTTTTTTTTTTTTTTTTTTTTTTTGAGATGGAGCCTTGCTCTGTCACCCAGGCTGGAATGCAGTGGCACAATCTCGGCTCACTGCAACCTCTGTCCCCAGGGTTCAAGCCATTCTCCTGCCTCAGCCTCCCCAGTAGCTGGGATTACAGGCATGCACCACCATGCCCAGCTCATTTTTGTATTTTTGGTAGAGACGGGGTTTCACCATGTTGGTCAGGCTGGTATCGAACTCCTGACCTCATTATCCGCCCGACTCTGCCTCCCAAAGTGCTGGGATTACAGGCATGAGCTACCGCGCCCGACCTCTACAAACTTTGGATTTAATTTGCTCCTCTTTACCTTCTTAGAGTGGAAGCTTATGTCATTGATGTGAGACTTTGTGTTTTTTCTGGCATTTAGTGCTGTAAGTTTTGTCTGAGCACTACTTCAGCTGTATCCCACAAATTTTGAAATTACATGTTTTCATTTTCATTCAGTACACATTTCCTGTTTGGTTTCTTTTTTCTTTTTTTGAGACGTTGTTTCACTCTCACCAAGGCTGAAGTGCAGTGTCACAAACTGCAGCCTTGACTTCCTGGGCTCCTGTAATCCTCTTACCTCAGCCTCCCTTAGTAGCTGGGACTACAGGTGCATATCACCATGCCCGGCTAGTTTTTTTAGTTTTTGTAGAGACGGGGTCTCACCAGGAGTTCAAAACTCACCAGGCTGGTCTTGAACTCTTGGCCTCAAGTGATCCTCCCACCTCCGACTCCCAAAGAGCTGGGATTACACGCGTGAGCCACCTTGTCCAGCCTGATTTTGTCTTTTGACTCCTGACTCATTTAGAAGTGTGTTGCTTAGATTCCAAAAACAATTTTGGGGTTTTTAAGATACTTTTTGAGAGTTTCTAATTTAATTTTATTGTGATTGGAGAACATACTTTGCATAATTTCAGTTCTTTTCAGTTTATTGAGGCTTGTTCCATGGCCGAGAATGTGGTATACAGGAACTTAGGTTTGTAAGAAACTACTAAACTGGCTGTGCTATTTAGCACTCTCACTAACACTATGTAAATACTCTAGTTTCTGGAATACTTGCCAGCACTGTTATTGTCTTTTTTAAAACAAAAACAAAAACAAAAACTTTATTGTAGTTGATGTGTAGTGATACCTAATTTGGGCTTTAGTTTACATTATTGATTTTTATTCTTGTTAAAATCAATTTGAATAAAACTTACAAATCGTGGATTTTTTTTTTCCAGTAGATGACAAAATGTGCTGAGGGATTGGTAATAGTTCATCATTTGTATGCTGCGTAAGTGCTACTTTTCAGTTTTCTTTTTTTTTTTTTTTTTTTTTTGAGACGGAGTCTCACTCTGTCGCCTAGGCTGGAGTGCAGTGGTGCAGTCTTGGCTCACTGCAACCTCTGCCTCCTGGGTTCAAGCGATTCTCCTGCCTCAGCCTCCCTAGTAGCTGGGATTACAGGCACCCACCACCACGCCTGGCTAATTTCTGTATTTTTAGTAGAGTGAGGTTTCACCATGTTGGTCAGGCTGGTCTGGAACTGCCGACCTTGTGATCCGCCCACCTCTGCCTCCCAGAGTGCTGGGATTACAGGTGTGAGCCACTGCGCCCGGCTAATTTTCAGTTTTCTAAGAGTTTGAATGTTTGTTTGCTTTTTAGTATTTACTTTTTTTTTTTTTTGAGACAGAGTCTTGCTCTGTCACCCAGGCTGGAGTGCAGTTGCGCGATCTCGGCTCACTGCAACCTCCGCCTCCCAGGTTCAAGCGATTCTCCTGCCTTGAGTAGCTGGGATTACAGGCATGCCACCATGGCCAGCTAATTTTTGTATTTTTAGTAGAGATGGGGTTTCACCATGTTGGTCAGGCTGTTCTTGAACTCCTACCTCGTGATCCACCCACCTCATCCTCCCAAAGTGCTGGGATGACTGGCGTGAGCCACCGTGCCTGGCCAATATTTACTTGTTTTTTGTTTTTTTTGGTTTTGTTTTTTTTTTTGAAATGGAGTCTTGCTGTGTTGCCCAGGCTGGAGGTGCAGTGGTGCGATCTCGGCTCACTGGAAGCTCCACCTCCCTGGTTCACACCATTCTCCTGCCTCAGCCTCCTGAGTAGCTGGGACTACAGGTACCCACCACCATGCCCAGCTAATTTTTTTGCATTTTTAGTAGAGACGGTTTCACCGTGGGAGCCAGGATGGTCTTGATCTCCTGACCTTGTGATCCGCCCACCTCAGCCTCCCAAAGTGCTGGGATTACAGGCGTGAGCCACCGCGCCTGGCCCTATATCTACTTTTAAAGAGGATTTGTAAGAGCTTCATGAGGATTTTAGTTACTTGTGGCTTTTGAGTAGATGGGTATAAGGTGATTTAAATTGTATACTACAGTGTCTTTAGTGAAATATATATAACATGAAATTTACTGTTTTAACCATTTTTGAGTGCACAGTTCTGTGGCATCAAATAAATTAACTTTGTTGTCCAGCCATCACCACCCTTCATCTCCAGAACTTTTTCATCTTTCTAAACTGAAACTCCATACCCATTAAGCAGTAACTTCCTGTTGCTGTCTTTCTCCATCCCTTGGTAACCACCATTCTGCTTTCTGTCTTTATGAATTTGACTACTCTAGGTACCTTATATACATGAAATCATATAATGTTTGCCCTTTGTGACTGGCGATTTCCCTAAGCATAAATAGTCTTCAGAGTTCATTCACATTGTACTGTCAGAATTTCCTTCCTTTTTAAGGCTGAATAATATTTTATGTATGTATCACATTTTGTTTATTCGTCCATTGATGGATATTTAGTTTGCTTCCACTTTTTGACTATTGTGATTAATGCTGCTGTGAACATGGATATACAAATATCTGTTTGACTTTCTGCTTTCAATTCTTGTGGGTGTATACCCAGAAGTGGAATTGCTGGATAATGTGGTAATTGTATTTTCAGTTTCCTTGAGGAACTACCATACCATTTTCCCTAGTGGCTGTACCACTTTACATTTCCACCAGCAGTGCACAAGAGTTTTAGTTTCTCCACATCCTCACAAACATTTGTTATTTATTTAGTTATATTTATTTATTTGAGACAGGGTCTCACTCTGTTGCTGAGGTTGGAATGCAGTGGCACAGTCACAGCCCACTGCAGCCTCAACTTCCAGGCTTGAGCGATTCTTTCACTTCAGCCTACTGCGTAGCTAGGGCTACAGGCATGTGCCACCAATCCTTGGCTATTTTTTAAATTTTTGTTTGTAGAGACGGGGCCTCGTTATGTTACTCAGGCTGGTCTTGAACTCCAGGGCTCAAGTGATCCTCCTGCCTCGGCCTCCCAAATTACTGGGATTACAGATATGAGCCACTGTACTTGGTCTATTTTTTAATTTAAAAAAAATGATAGCCGTCCTGTTGGGTGTGAAGTGGTATCTCATTGGTGTGTGTGTGTGTGTGTGTGTGTGTGTGTGTGTGTGTGTGTGTGATTTCCCTAATGATCAGTAATATTCAGCATCTTTGCAGGTTCTTACTGGCCGCTTATATACAGATGCTCCTTAATTTATGATGGTATTATGTTCTCATAAACTGATCATAAGTCAAAAATGTTGTGAGTCAAAAATGCATTTAAATTAGCCTGAGCAACATAGCAAGACCCTCATCTCTAAAAAGATTAAAAATTAGCTAGGTGTGGTGGTACGTACCTGTAGTCCTAGCTACTCAGGAGGCTGAGACAGGAAGATTTCTTGAACCCAGGAGTTTAAGGCTGCAGTGAGCTATGATGGTACCACTGCACTCCAGCCTAAGTGACAGAATGAGACCCCCATCTCTCAAAAGAAAAAAAAAAAAGGTATTTGATATTCCAATAAACCCACCATAAAGTCAGGAAATTGTAACTGGAACCATTGCAAGTTGGGAACCGTCTGTATCTTCTTTTGAAAAATGTCTGTCAGGTTCTTTGCCCACCATGACTCTTGATATCCCAATGTTTATTTGAAGTAAACTGGCATAATTTAAACATTATAGAGTGTTTTCTCCTTTTTTTGGGTGAGTTACTGATGTCTGACACTAGAACTTTGCAGTGGCCAGACTTAAATAATTGCTGCACTAACAGATGTATTTGCCTTTGTTTTGTGGATTATATCTTTTTAAAACATGGGGGATTGGTAAACACATGCAAGTAATTGAATGTAAGTGATATTTAGAAGATTTTCTTTAAGAGAGTAATGTGTATAGTTTCAGAATACCTGAATGGGTTGGGGAGGAGAAGATACCTGGGTAGCCAGTAGTGTTGTGAAGTGAATGTTTTTCTTCTAGAATAAGTTGTTAGGAGATCGAAAGTTTCATTGAACTTTTATAAAGACTAGGGTAATGATTTCTTTTCTTTTTTATTTTTTTGAGACTAAGTCTTGCTCTGTTGGAGTGCTGGAGTGCAGTGGTGCGATCTTGGCTCACTGCAACCTCTGCCTCCTGTTCAAGATATTCTCCTGCCTCAGTCTCCCGAGTAGCTGGGATTACAGGCACGTGCTACCACGCCTGGCTAATTTTTATATTTTTAGTAGAGACGAGGTTTCACCGTGTTAACCAGCATGGTCTCGATTTCCTGACCTCATGATCTGCCCGCCTCAGCCCCCCAAAGTGCTGGGATTAACAGGTGTGAGCCATCGCGCCCGGCCTGGGATTATTAATTTTAAACAAGTACTTTAAAAAATACTCGGAGGATTTGATGCGAAGTTCAGTGCTTAAACTGGAAAAGTTTCTTAATATTTTATATGTTTGAAGCTATATTAACATTTTATAGTTCACAATATTAGCATTGCTAAATAGGTTATACGTATCTGGATTGGACTTAAATTGTAAGCTCACTAATTAAGATACATTATGTTTCGGCTGGGCGTGGTGGCTCACACCTGTAATCCCAGCACTTTGGGAGGCCAAGGCGGGCGGATCACAAGGTCAGGAATTCCAGACCAGCCTGGCCAACATGGTGAAACCCCATCTGTACTAAAACTACAAAAATTAGCTAGATGTGGTGGCGGGCACCTGTAGTCCCAGCTGCTTGGGAGGCTGAGGCAGGAGAATCGCTTGAACCCGGGTGGCAGAGATTGCAGTGAGCCAAGATGGCGCCACTGCACTCCAGCCTGCGTGACAGAGGGAGACTCCATCTCCAAAAAAAAGATACATTATGTTTCTTTAACGTTTTGTTTACCTGTTTACTTTTTTTGATATACCTCTTAAACAGATTGGTTGGTTAAAACGGATGTCCTGGGGGAGAAAGACAACATTTGCTGAACTGTTTAAGTTTTGGTAGGCTTCTTGGTAGTTTAAATGGGAAGAAAATTTTAAAAATTGGCAGATAGAAAGGAGGAGGCTTTTAGATTAAAAAATAGCGTGATAGGAAATTTGAATCTGACTTGGGGGCAGAGAAGTAAAATATATAAGCAGGCGTGTGTGTCGGGGGTGGTGGTTGTTGAAACGTGGAAAAAGGGAGGAGGAAGAAGACTGGTAAGAGGCATGAAAAGCTTGTATGGGCGTTTTTGAGACTGCTAAGAGCAGCATCGGGGTGTAGCAGGCAGTAGGTATGCAGACCTTGTATATACTGGGAGTTGGGTACTTAGTAGTTGTAAGTGTTTGGGATGAATATGGATGGAGGCGTGTGGTGATGGGTATAGTATAGAATACATTTCAGTTCCAGGAGTATTGTGCTTGGACAGCGTTGTATTTGATTGAGCAAACTTTTAACCAAAATACTTTATAGAAACAGGATAAACAGCGTTCAACTTTCTCTTAAGAACAGAATCTACAGGTCTGGGGAACAGAGGAAGAAACAACCCAAAATTAAAACTGTAAACGTTTGTTTTAATACAGCTTATGTTTTTAAGTAAAAATAGCATTAATTATTCACACATTTGTAGATACTGTTACCTAGATCTAAAGTTTTAGTGCTACCCCATAATCATTTTAATTATTTTTTTCAGAGAATTTATCTGATTTTTGTCCTTTCTGTGAAGTTTGTTTCATTTTTTTAAACGTAAATTATTTCATGATTCCATTTCCACATTCTCAGCACATTTTTAAAAAATTGATAACACTGTATGTTTTTTATTATGTACAATATAGTTTTTGAAGTATATATACGTAGTGGAATGGCTAAATTTAGCTAATTTACAAATGCATTACCTCACATAGTTATCATTTTAGTGGTGAGAGCACACATCCACTCTCTTTACAGTTTTCAAGAATACAGTATATTGTCATTTACTGTAGTCACCTTGCTGTACAATAGATCTCTTGAAATTTATTCCTCCTATTTGACTATGATTGTATGTCCTTTGAGCAACATCTCAGTATTTCTCCCCTAGGCCCTTAGCCTCTCGTTACCACCATTTTACTCTCAACTTTTTTTTTTTTTTTTTGAGACAGAGTTTCACTGTTGTTGCCCAGGCTGGAGTGCAATGACGCTATCTTGGCCCACCACGACCTCCGCCTCCCGGGTTCAAGCAATTCTCCTGCCTCAGCCTCCCAAGTAGCTGAGATTACAGGCATGCGCTACCACGCCTGGCTAATTTTGTATTTTTAGTAGAGACGGAGTTTCTCCATGTTGGTCAGGCTGGTCTCGAACCCCCGACCTCAGGTGATCTGCACGCCCCGGTCTCCCAAAGTGCTGGGATTACAGGCATGAGCCACTGCGCCTGGCCTCAGCTTCTAAGAGATCAATATTTTTAGATTCCACATGTGAGTGAGACCATGTGGTGTTTGTCTTTCTGTGCCTAGCTTATTTCATTCAACGTAACGTCCACTGGGTTCATTCATGTTGTTGCGAATGGCAGGATTGCCTTCTTTTTTATGGCTAAGTAGTATCCTGTTGTGTGTATGTGTGTATGTATATACACTTTATCCTTTAATGGACAGTTAGATTAATTCTATATCTTGCCTATTTCGAATACTGCTGCAGTAAATGTGGGAGTGCAGATATCTCTTCACATACTGATTTCATTTCCTTAGAATATATGCCCAGTAGTGGAATTGGTGGATCATATAGTAGTTCCATTTTTAATGTTTTGAGGAACTTCCATATTGTTTTCCATTATGGCAATACTAATTTTCATTAACACCAACAGTATATAAAGGTTCCCCTTTCTCCACATTCTCGCCAGCTTATATTTTGCCTTTTTGATAATAGCCATTCTAACTGGGGTGAGGTGCTTTCTCATTGTGGGTTTGATTTGCATTTCCCTGATTAGTGATGTTGAGCATTTTTTTCTTACACTTATTGGCTTTTTGTGTGTCTTCTTTTGAAGAACATTTATTTGGGGCTTTTGCCCATTGTTAAATTGGATTATTTGTTTTTTTTTTGCTATTGAGTTATTTGATTCCTTATCCTTTTTGGATGTTAGCCCCTTGTCAGATGTATAGCGACATGCAGAGGAATGAAGCTAGATTCTCTCTCACCATATAAAACAGTCATTTTATATTTAATTAGAGAATTAAATATAAAACCTGAAACTATGAACCTACTATAGAAAGAAAACATAGGGGAAATGCTTCATGACATTAGTCTGGGCAAGGACTTTTGGATATGACCTCTAAAACACAGGCAACGAAAGCAAAAATAGCAAATGGCATTATTATTATTTTCTTAATAAAAAATTGTATTAGAAGCATTCAGAATTTTAACAAACAACTGCAGCTTTTGTTTTTGCAATTACAGAGTGGTATTTAGTTTAGTTAACAGAACAATTATTTCATGTAAGCTGCATAGAGACAACAACTGAAGATGAAGAAACTACCATCTCCATAAGTAACTGATTTGTGCTGTGCACCAAGTACCTTTAAATTTCCATGCCATTTTACAACCCCCGTGCTATACCAAGAAGGTTAGTGGCTATTGAAAATACCACCAGGACAGGGCTATCTAAAGACATGTTTGGTAGTGTATTAACTGTACAAAAAAAGACACTGTACAGTTTGAAAACAAATCTTATACAGCCTTACATTTCAATTCTTTCTTCAAAAAAAAAAAAAACCCTGCTAGAACCAACTGATTTGTCATCATCTTCATGTTTATCTTTATTTTCCTCTTCTTCCTCATTCTCTTCATTTTCCTCATCTTTCTTCTTTTTCTTGCTTTTTTTTTCAGCCTTGATGACTCGTGTTTTTTTTTTTTTGCAGCATCAGGCTTTCCTTTAGCTTGGTATGCAGCAATATCCTTTTTGTATTTTTCCTTCAGCTTCACAGCCATCTTTCCATAAGGTTGCTTGTCACCTGCAGCTCTCCCAGTTTCTTTACAGTATATCCAGTGGATAGGCCAGGATGTTTACCTTTGATTTTTGGCCCATACTCAGAACAGAACAAGAAAAAGGCCAAACAAAGGAGGCCCGTTGGGTGTATTGGGATCCTTGAACTTCTATTTTGTTTTCCCTTTAGGAGGGGTGTAGGCTTTCATTTCTCTTTCATAATGGGCCAGGGTTATCTTTGCCTGTCTTCACATTTTCCCTTCTCTTTAGCAAACGTGGTTTTCCACCTCTTTGAGCGCTTCTTAGAAAGACCCTTAGAAGCTGACTGAACCATCTGGGTGCTTCCTGTGCTCCTCCTGGCAAGTTTGCACAAATAATGTGTATAATGACATTTTTGCCTCTTGACTTCTTTGGATCTTTGCCCGTGTTCAGTTATTTTTCCTCATCAAGGCATAGAGTTGCTCAGTGCCTTTCTGGCTCACACTTGCCCTGGCGTTGTTTCTGTGGAGCTCAGTGTACGGCCGACACATGGCATTATATCAAACTGAGACGCTTCTGCGTGGCAAGGGAAACAGTCAACAGAATGAAGAGATGACCTATATAATGGGAGAAAATATTTGTAAACTATATGTCTAACAAGGGGTTAATATTTTCATTGTTTCTGAATGAATAATTTATAATAAGTTTTTTTCTTTCATTTTTATGTGGCTCTTCCTAGACCTTGGATTGTAACATGTAGTTCCTGCTATGTGGCTTTCTGCATGTTTATAATTTTAATAGTTTCTCTTGGAGCTTCCCAACCTGTTTCCCCACCCTTCACCCCGGTATTGACTAGAAATCTATCTCAGCTCTTACTTTCTATCCCATTGTCTCCACTCTTGCTCATTTTACCTGCCTTGGTATCTAACCACCTTTTCTATAGAGATACCTTTTGACCACTTATCCATCTCCTTTGCCCTCCTACTTCTCATTGCCTTTAACTAAAACTCTAGATTGGATGTCTCATGTTGAACATAGTAAAACCGACTTGCTTTATCTTTCTCCCTAACTCCTCCTTCATACTTATCTTTGTAGTCACTGTGGGGAAGGTGTAGTCCTAAAGCCTGGCAGTGAAAGAGATTGAATGTGGACTGGCCTTTAACTCATTGTTGTCCCCAGCCCCACAATTCCTCTCCCACTAGTGTGAAACCGTACAGCTCACTTGTTATTCTTCATCCTTCTTTTCTCCATTCTTAGGGATAAATGTCTAACTAACTATAGTATGTCTGAGCTGCTGTAACCTTTTGAAAAGTAGCTGCATATTCCCTCGCTCATCTCTGTATCTTCAAAGATATTTCTTAAGTTATTTTATTACTTTCCTGGAAAAAAAATCACCTAAGGATAAGCATTTCAGGGTAAAATTTTGAAAAGTTGTGAAAAATTTGTATAGGTAAATGATCAAAGCACATAGTGACTAGCGTTCTGGTAATGCATGAAAGTAACGACTGAGCGTCTGAAAGGTCAGAATTCCTGTTTACTGTGATGGAAGAGACCATGGGGTGAGCATATTTGGCAGAGCTCGGGTAGGGTAGAGATGGGAATACATTTTGGTTATGATAAGTTTGAGGTATTTATTGGACCACCAAGTAGATTTGGTTATTATGTATTAATAGTCTTTTTTAGTCTAGAAGAATCCCCCTCCCTTGACAGTACTTTTTTGAAGAGTTCAGGTCTGTTGTCTAATAGAATGTCTCACATTCTGGATTTGTTTGATTGTTTTCTAATAATTGCTTAAGGTGAAACATGCTTTTGACAAGAATATAACGTAGGTGACATTGTGTATGTTTTATTGCATCACATAGGAGGCATATCTTGTCAGGTCGCATTAGTGCTCTTAAGTTTGATCATTTGGTTAAGCTTATGCCACCACATCTTTCCATTGTTAAGGTATTTTATCCTATTTAAGATTAGTAAGTAGGCTGGGTGTGGTCGCGCCTGCAGCCCCAGCACTTTGAGAGGCAGAGGTGGGTGGATCACATGAGCCCAGGAGTTTAAGACCAACCTGGGCAACATGGTGGAACCTCATCTCTAAAAAAATACAAAAATTAGCAGAGTGTGGTGGTGTGCAACTGCAGTTCCCGCTACTCGGGAGGCTGAAGTGGGAAAATTGCTTGAGCCCAGGAGGTGGAGGTTGCAGTGACCCAAATTGTACAGCTGCACTCCAGCCTCCGTGACAGAGTGAGACTGTGTCTCGAAAGTAAATAGCCAGGTGCGGTGGCTCATGCCTATAATCCCCTCACTTTGGGAGGCTGAGGCAGGCGGATCACCTGAGGTCAGGAGTTCGAGACCAGCCTGGCCAACATGGCAAAACCCCATCTCTAATAAAAATGCAAAAATTAGCTGGGCATGGTGGCTCATGCCTGTAATCCCAGCTACTTGGAAGGCTGAGGCAGGAGAATTGCTTCAACCTGGGAGGCAGAGCCTGCAGTGAGCCAAGATCGTGCCACTGTACTCCAGCCTGGGCAACAGAGACTCTGTCTCAAAAAATAAATAAATAAGATAAAAAAATAAATAAAATAATTAGGAAGTAATCAGGGGACAAATGTGTTAGGACACCTAATAACTTTTAACATACGTTTTTATTCTCTTTACCCATTCAATACATAAACTTGAAAAACAGTTATTTCATCCTCACAGTTTTATAATAGAAGAGATGTTTGTTGTATAATCAGAAGTTTAGAAAGATGCTTGTCAGAATTAAAAATAAGGGACAAAATGAAGTTTGAGACAGTGTGGAAGTACAGTGGGAGAGGGCAGTGGTAAAGCCAGCCTCAGTGGCTGTTGGTGGTTGTGTTTGCATGTATTTGGAGGGCGGTGCTGACCACAATCTTGATGTATAAAACTTTCCTGATTCCTTATAGCTATTATAAAAAAAGTTTTGCTTTTAAAAATGTAAGCAACATTATATTCTTAGTCTTCAGCGATCTTGGTTTGAGTTAATGAACTTATTTATTTTTTTACAGGTTTAAATGTGATACTGGTGTAGATCTCCTTGTTCTAAGGTAATTTTTTATTTTTTGAAAATGTGTTGTATTAAATTTGTTAGTCAAGTAGTTTGTCTAGAAAGTAAATTTCAGTTAACAAAATTGTATCAGTGACTAATTGACTTACCACCTGGCCTTATAGGCGTTATCTGTCATAGAGAAGATTGTTATCCTCAGGAGAATGATGGTTACTACACCTGTAGTGTAGAATAATATGCTCAGTACTTGTTTGCTATAGAAAATTAGTAGGTTGTTATGGAACCTTGGGTTTGCACATTTTTGGTAAATCTCAGTTTGCCTTAGGATCCTTGAGCATTGGGTTGAATGTATTAGTTTCCTAGGGCTGCTGTGACAAATACTACAAACTGGAGTGCTTAAACAGCAGACAGTTATTTTTATTCTCTCACTGGTCTGGAGGCTAGAAGTCCAAAATCAGTTTTGGCAGGGCCGTGCTCCCTCGGAAGGCTCCAGGGGAGAACCCTTCCTTCCTCACCCCTGCCTGACTTCTGGTGGTTGCCAGCAGTCCTTGGTGTTCCTTGGCTTTTAGCTGCTTCACTCCACTCCAGTTTCTGCCTCTCTCTTCAGATGGTCTTCTCCCTCTGTAGCTTTCCTCTCTGTAAATCTCCTCCTTTTTTTCTTTTTATTTTGAGACAAAGTCTCACTCTGTCACCCAGGTTGGAGTGCAGTGGTGTGATCTTGGTCCACCACAACTTCAGCCTCCTGGGCTCAAGAGATCCTTCCACCTCAGCTTCCCAAGTAGCTGGGACTACAGGTGCATGCCACCACACCCAGCTAATTTTTGTAATTCTTGTAGAGGCAGGGTTTTGCCATGTTGGTCAGGCTGCTCTCAAATTCCTGGGCTCAAGCAATCCACCTGCCTCAGCCTCCCAAAGTGTTGGGAATATAGGTGTAAGCCACTGTGCCCTTAATCTCCCTCTACTTATAAAGGCACCAGTCATTGGATTTTGGGGCCCACCCTAATCAAATATGACCTTGTCTTAACTTGATTACATCTGCAAAGACCCTCTTTACAAATAAAGTCACATTCACAGATCCTGGGGTTAGGACTTGAACTGTCTTTTGGGGGAACACAATTCATCCCCAAACAGGTGGGAACTGGCTCATGCTGTAGTGATGTGAGGATGCAGTGATCATTTAAACCCGTAATGCCGTGTTCTAGGAGGTGATCATTTAAACCCGTAATGCCGTGTTCTAGGAGGTACTAAAATATTTTGGAATTGTTATAGAAATGAAAGTAAATGCATATTAGTTATTAGTGAGCCTTTCTAAGAAGGTGAAGGAGGTTTGAGGGAGTAATGAAAGGAAGGAAAGTTCTTCTCAACTCTTGTGTCTACCTGGTTAGTGTATATTTACTGTTCCAGTTATCGGCTTTTGTTTTGGTCATAAGTGACTGAAAAATGTAGATTACAATTAGAATGAAAGTGTTTTTAATGTGGCAGTGCATATGATAGTAGACACATGTTTGCTTTTTGGGGTTTGAGATTTGAAGTAATGTTCTTTAAATGGCCTATACTATATGATGCTTGTGAGTAAATACGAAATCCAGATTGCATTAACTTTTTTCTTCATTCTCTTTCTCCATTTAAATAAAACAGCTATATTCATCCAACAAGCCATAAAGCCATAATGTGGTATAACATCCTTTTTGAGAGGTGAATATTATTGAATGAAAATGGCTGACAGAAGTGGGAAGATTATTCCAGGACAAGTGTATATTGAGGTGGAATATGATTATGAATATGAAGCAAAGGACAGAAAGATTGTGATAAAACAAGGGGAGAGGTACATCTTGGTGAAAAAGACCAATGATGACTGGTGGCAAGTCAAGCCAGATGAAAACTCCAAAGCGTTTTATGTGCCAGCCCAGTATGTGAAGGAGGTCACGCGCAAAGCTCTCATGCCACCTGTTAAGCAGGTAGCTGGTCTGCCAAATAACTCCACGAAAATAATGCAGAGTTTGCATCTTCAGAGATCAACAGAAAATGTGAACAAATTGCCTGAGCTTTCAAGTTTCGGAAAGCCATCGTCATCTGTTCAAGGAACAGGTCTTATTCGTGATGCCAATCAGAATTTTGGACCCAGTTATAATCAAGGTCAGACTGTCAACCTAAGCCTGGACCTGACCCATAATAACGGAAAGTTTAACAATGACTCACATTCTCCTAAAGTTTCCAGCCAGAATAGGACACGCTCATTTGGTCATTTTCCCGGTCCAGAGTTCTTGGATGTAGAGAAAACTAGCTTCTCCCAGGAACAATCTTGTGATTCCGCAGGAGAAGGCTCTGAAAGAATACATCAAGATTCTGAATCTGGTGATGAACTTAGCAGCAGCTCCACTGAACAGATAAGGGTAAGATTAAAAATAGAATGAGGAAACACTGTACCACCCTAGTGAAAATATTAGTTATAGTTTTAATTGAAATATTTGTAAGAGTTAAGACTTGTTTTGCTTTGTATTTTCAGAGTACATGGGTTCTATCCTGATTTAGAGATCTAGAAAATATGTGAAATAACTTGTGGAGTTCATAAAGGGTCACTTTGGTTTTCATAATTATTCTTATACCATGACAGGACTAGATCTACTTTAAGTGAGGAAACTTTTTTTCCCTTTTCTCTATTGATTATGTATAAGGCAGAGGGGATTTACTTAATTTACTCAGTGATGATATTTCTTCTAATAGAAAAAATTTTTACTCTTTTTTACCTGTACCCATTTTGACTTGGTTCCAAGAAGTCTTCAGGTAATAATGGTTATTTGAGGAAAGATGTCCTTGGAATATTAACTGCTAACTTTTGTCTTAAGTGTCTAAGTATCCACACTTGATTTCACTGAGTATTAGTCTGGAAAAATTTTTCTGTGTTCCTGGTTCTTTTTTTTTTTTTTTTTTAAGACAAGGTCTTGCTCTGTTGCCTAGGCTATAATACAGTGGAACAGTCATGGCTCACTGCAGCCTTCACCTCCTGGGCTCAAGTGATCTTCTCACCTCAGCTTCCCCAGTAGCTGGTACTACAGGTGTGTGCCACCACAGCCAGCTAATTAAAAAAAAATTTTTTTTTTTTTTAGAGACAGGATCTCACTGTGTTGCCCAGGCTGGTCACTTCCTGGGCTCAAGTGATCCTTCTGCCTTGGCCTCCCAGAGAGCTGGGATTACAGGTGTGTGCCACTGTACCTGGCTTTTTTTTTTCTTTTTAAACCTTTCTTTTGAGATTAGATCTATGCCATTTTATTTCTC
The DNA here is from genome assembly GCF_000001405.40 of Homo sapiens. NCBI lineage: Eukaryota > Metazoa > Chordata > Mammalia > Primates > Hominidae > Homo > Homo sapiens. Next base: position 31,907,288 of record NC_000010.11, on the reverse strand, counting down.
AAGTGAAGTGAAGACATTTTAAAAGTACATACGTGAAATTGAAACTTGAATATATTTTGAAAAGTCTAACTTTAAGTGAATTTAAAAATTAATGAGTTTTTGGCTTGAAGTTCTGTTGTAAGATTATTCATCAAGTCTGGGAATAATTGCGAGGGGTGCCCTTAGGTGTGGTCTGATTGTCATGGAAGTATATTCTTTCTGTAGGTTGTAATTTTTCTTGTGACATTTTGGAATGGAAATAGGAAAAAGGGAAGACTTTAGAAAAACTTCTAGTGTTTGAGATCAAGGAAGCTATGTGAAGTACCTCTGTCAGTTTATCATTGTGTGTCTTAGTGAGTTTTTGTTCAGTCTTTATGTGATACTCTGACATAGAATATATAGTCTTTCCTGGAATTTTTCTATATTTAGCTCCTCAGGGAACTAATGGGCCTTAGGAAAGACACAGGATTCCATCCAGCCATCACCACAATTTCACACTTCAAATTACATTTTATATTTATGTACGCACGCAATCCTATGTTTTTTTCATTACAGTCATCTTAAGTTCACTGCCCTGGAGTTCCATGGCTCCTAACTTCTCCTGGGGCCTTAACACTGTTTGGAAATCCTATTAGATTTCTCCAGCCAGCCCTCTTCCTAACTCTCCATGGCAGCTGTTTCAGACCTTCTTCATTTTACTCAGTTCTCTGTTTCACTTATTTTCCCCTGCTCTCATGAGAAGATAACCTTGCCTTCCTTCCACTTTACAGCAAATATGAAAGCCATGGGATGGAAACGACTTCAGCTTTGGGGAGCACATGGTTAATAGTACTGGCTTTAGATTGGAATCTGGTTCTGTATCACTTGCCATCTGTGTGATAATTGGGGAAAATCACTGAACCTCTGTGTGTTTTAGTTTCTTCATTTAAAAATTGGGGTCACGGTTCTTGAGGCACATAATAAATGCATTATGTATCTATTGATGTTTAATAAACTACCCCCAATTCGAGTGGCTTAAAATAGTAAACATTACCACTTGGTTCCTGTGAGTCACTGAATCAGAAGCAGCTTAGTTGGGTGATTCCGAAGGCTAGGGATGTCTCCTGAGGTTGCAGTCCTAATGAAGGCTGGGGCTGGAGGGGCTGCTTCTGAAGATGGTTCACTCACGTGGGGCTAGTTGGGCCTCTTCATGGCTGCTTGTGTGTTGTTTCTAGTTTTCTTCAGATGGAGCAGAGAGAACGTGGTAGACACTGCATTGTCCTTTAGTCCTCATCTTTGAAATTGCCCACTGTCATATCCTATTGATTGTGCAGTTCAGCCCTGTTCTGTGTGGGAGGAGACTACACAGGGGTGTGCATATCAGGATTTGAGGATCATTGAGGAGCCTCCTTGGGGACTGGCTATAACAATAAGTATGCCATAAAATATAGCTGCCATTGTTATTATTGTTGTTATTTCTGTTATTATTTCCACCATCAGATCTATAAATACACCTGTATCAACAGTCCTCTTTTCCCCCAGTACAATGCAAGTGTTTCCTGTGCAATCAAAGAACATTCTCCTCATATTCACTCTTCCCACATTTCACATACCTTATGCCAAAGATTATAGTATTGTGCTCATATGGCTTTAGACTTGTTGTTTGTCAAGTGTTTTCAGCATTTACATTTGCTCATGTTTTTCTCATCTTAGTAAAGCTCTTCTTCAGCTCCTCCTTCCCGTCTGAGCATCTTTTATCTTCCTTTACCTTTATCGGCGACCCCTGGAAAAACTGATATGTATTTGCTTTTCTGCACTTGCTCATTTCCCACTCACATGATAACCTCTCCAGTGTGGTTTCTGGCTCCACCACACCACCCAAACTGTTTCTGCTAAAGATACTCATGGTTTCATTGTTGATAATTTACAAGGCAGTTAAAAGAATTTTAGTGTGCGCTTGTAGTCCCAGCTATGCAGGAGGCTGCGGTGGGAGGATCACTTGAGGCCAGGAGTTTGAGACCAGCCTGAGTGACATAGTGAGACCTCGTCTCTAAAAACAAGAACCAAAAAACCCCGCAAAATTTTATACATAATTTATACAATTATCACAGCCAACAAGATTAATAATCAGTTGCCAAATTTAAATAATTTTTTTTTCAAGCATAGCAAGGGTGTAAATATTACTAATTTTCAGTGTATGGCTTGATGAATTTTTACTTATGTATATATTCTGTAACCAGTCTCGAGCCCCTTCCTTGTCGATATCACACCCTCAGCTCCTATGTCTGTCTTAGGAGGTTTTCATTTTCCTGACTTACATCACTACTGATCAGTCTTCTTTAATTAAACTTTTCATTTTGAGAGAATTGTAGATTCATAAGCAGTTGCAAGAAATAATTTGGAGGCCGGGTGTGGTGGCACATGCTTGTAATCCCAGCACTTTTGAGAGGCCGAGGTGGGAGGATCACCTGGGCCCAGGAGTTCAAGACTAAATTGAGAAACATGGCGAAACTCCATCTCCACAAAAAATACAAAAATTAGATGGGTGTAGTGGCATGTGCCTGTAGTCCCAGCTACTTGGGAGGCTGAGGTGGGAGGATCATTTGAGCCCAGGAGGCAGAGGTTGCAGTGACCCGAGATTGCACCATTGCACTCCAGCTTGGGCAACAGAGTGAGACCCTGTCTCAAAATAATAATAATAATTTGGACAGGTCTCTTGTACCCTCTATCCAGTTACCTTTAGTGGTAGCATCTTGCAACACTATACTGTAATATCACGATCAGGGGTTTCAGATTGGTACAGTTAATATGCTGAGCATTTCCATCACCACGGGAATCCTGTATGTTGCCCTTTTACAGCCATAACCAATTCCCTCCCATCTTAACCCTCCTTAACCCCAATCACCACTCATCTGTTTTCCATTGCTATACTTTTGTCATTTGAAGAATTTTATATAAATGGAATCATACCTTTGGGGATTGGCCTTTCATTCAGTGTAACTCTGTAGATTGATCCAGGCTGCTGTGTGTTATCAATAGTTTGTTCTTTTTGTTGCTGAGTGGTATTCTATGGTATGGATGTACCATAGTTTATTTAACCATTTATCCATAAAAGAATATCTAGGTTGTTTCCAGTTTTTGGCTGTTGCAAACAAAGCTGCTGTAAACATTTCTGTACAGGTTTTTATGTGAATATAACTTTTCATTTCTTTGGGATAAACGCCTACAAGTATAATTGCTGTTCATAAAGTAGTTGCATGGTTAGTTTTTAGAAAATAGTCCCAAGTGTTTTTACAGAGTGACAGTATCATTTTAAATTCCCACCAGCAACGTATGAGTAATCCAGTTCCTCCGCGTGCTCACCAGCATTTGGTGTTGTCACTATTTTTTTATTTTAGCCATTCTGATAGGTGGGTAATCTCATTTTGATTTTGATGTGCATTTCTCTAATGGGTACTGATGTTGAATATGTTTTCATATGTTTATTTGCCATTGATATATCCTCTTCATTGAAATGTTTCTGCATGTCTTTTGCCCATTTTCGAATTGGATTGTTTGGTTTTTTTTACTGTTGAATTTTGAGAGTTTTTTTTTTTACATAGTTTAGATACTAGCCATTTGCCAAATACATGGTTTGCAGATATTTTCTCCCAGCATGTAGCTTGCCTTTTCATCCTCTTGATAGTGTCTTTGCAGAGCACAAGTTTTTAACTTTGGTGAAGTCTTGTTTACTGCTTTTTCCTTATGTGGAATCATGGTTTTGTGTTAAGTCCAAGAACTAGTTTTAACTTTGTTGAGGTCCAGTTTATCCGTTTTCCCTTTTATAGATCATGCCTTTATATCAAGTATAAGAACTCTAGCTATATTAGGCTTTTCCAGAGAAATAGAACTGATAAGGTTGTGTATGTGTGTGTGTATACAGTCATGCACCGCATAATGACATTTCAGTCAATGATGGACTGCATGAATGATGACGGTACCAGAAGATAATAATACTGTATTCTTACTGTTCATTTCTATGTTTAGATGCACAAATACTTACCATTTTGTTCCAGTTGCCTACAGTATTCAGTACAATAATATGTTGTACAATTTTGTAACCTAGGAGCAATAGGCTATACCATCTAACTTAGGTGTGTAGTAGGCTATACCATCTCGTTTTGTGTAAGAACGCTCTGTGAAAGTCAAAGATGAAATTGACTGTTACATTTCTCAGAAAATATCCCCGTTGTTAAGTGATGCATGAAGTCCAGAATTTGCAGGGTGGACTGGCAGGCTAGAGACTCAGGGAAGAGCTGATGTTGCACTTCAAATTGATAGGCTGTCTGGTGGCAGAATATCTTTTTGCTTGAGGTAGGTCAGTCTGTTGTTCTATTCAGGCCTTCATTTGATTGGATGAGGCCCACTCACATTCTGGAGGGCAATCTGCTTTACTCTCAGTCCACATTTAAAAGTGTTAATTTCATCCAAAAAAAAGCACTGTCACAGAAACTTTCAGAATAATGGAAATATCTGAGTACTGTGGCCCAGCCCATTTGACACATACAGTTAACCATCACAGAAGCCTTAGATCCTGAATGCTTTATTTTTTTTTAAGTTTATAGTTTCACATTTTATGTTTGAATTTGTGATCCATTTTGAGTAATTTTTTTTTTTTTTTGAGATGGGGTCTTTGTCTGTCACCTAGGCTGGAGTGCAGTGGCACGATTGTAGCTCATTAGAACCTTGAACCACTCAGCTTAAGTGATCTTCTCAGCCTCGTGAGTAGTTGTGACTACAGGCATGTGCCACCATGCCCAGCTAGTTTATAATTTTTTTGTAGAGATAGAGTTTCACTGTGTTGCCCAGGCTAGTCTTGAACCCCTGGCCTCAAGTGATACTCTTGCCTCAGCCTCCCAGTGTATTGGGATTATAGGCATGAGTCACTGTGCCTGGCCATGAGTTTAATATTATTTTATATAAGGTGTGAGCCTTAGATCAAGATTCTTTTTTTTTTTTTTTGCCTATGGATATCTAATTGTTATAGTACCATTTGTTGAAAAGGCTGTCTTTCCTCCAATAAATTGTCTTCTACCTTGGTTAAAAATAATTTGGGCTCCTTTGTGTGGGTCTATTTCTGGGTCCTCTATTCTGTTTCATTCATATATGTCCTTTCTTTAATACCATGCAGCCTTATTTACCATAGCTATACAATAAGTATCGAAATCAGATAAACTGATTTCTCTCACTTTATTCTTCTTTTTCAGAATTGTTTTAGCTATTGTGGTAGGCTGAATAATACTTACCAAAGATAATAGGTCCTAATCCCTGGAACCTGTGAATGTTACCTTATTTGGGAAAGAGGTTTTTGCAGTTGTGATTAAGTTAAGGATCTTGACGAGATTATCCTAAACCCTCCATTTAATCACAAATGTCTTTATAAGAGAGAGGTAGAGGGCACTGCACACACAGAAGGCTATGTGAAGAAGAAACAGATTTGAAGATGCTGGCCTTCAAGATAGGAGTGATGTGACCACAAGCCAAAGAATGCCAGCAGCCACAAGAAGGTGGAAGAAAGAAAGAGGGAATTCTTCCCTAGAGCCTCTGGTATGCACATACAAGAGCATCAGAATTGTTAACTTTTACCTCTGTGGACTATGACTTCATTAACTAGAATAAAGTATTTATAGTACTGGAATATAGTAACTTTAGTTTTACAGATTCTACACATTTTCAGAGGTTTTGAGATTAGCACCTTTTCCTTCATCCTGGTTTAAGAAGGTAGTTTCAAACTTTTTTTTTTTTTTTTTTTTTTTTGAGACCAGGTTTTTGCTCTGTCACCCAAGCCTGGAGTACAGTGATGTGATCTTGCCTCACTGCAACCTTCCACTTTCCAGGCTCACGTGATCCTCCTGTCTCAGCTTCCCGAGTAGCTGGGACCAGGCATCCACCACCATTCCCAGCTAATTTTTTTGTATTTTTAGTAGAGATGGGGTTTCACCATGTTGGCCAGGCTGGTGTCAAATTCCTGACCTCAAGTGATCCTCCCGCCTCTGTCTCCCGAAGTGCTGGGATTACAGGCATGAACCACTGAGTCCAACCAGTTTCTTTTTCTTTTCTTCTCTTTTTTTTTTTTTTGAGACGGATTCTTGCTGTCACCCAGAGTGGAGTGCAGTGGCGCAATCTTGGCTCACTGTAGTCTCTGCCTCCCAGGTTCAAGCGATTATCCCGCCTTAGCCTCCTCAGTAGCTGGGATTACAGGTGCACCACCGTGCCCAGCTAATTTTTTGTATTTTTAGTAGAGACGGGGTTTTGCCATGTTGGCCAAGGCCAGTGTCAATCTCCTGACCTCAAGTGATCAGCCCGCCTCAGCCTCTCAAAGTGCTGGGATTACAGGCTTGAGCTGCTGAGACCGGCCCAGTTTCATACATTTTTAATAAAGTTAGGTTGTTTTGTCATAGTCTGCATTCTGTCCTGGAATTCCCGACCCACCTCAAATGCCTACATTAAAAAAAAAATTTGCATACATTGGGGTTCATTCTTTGTGTGGTAAACTTAAATGGGTTTTAACAAATGCGCAATATTGGGTATCCACAATTACAGCACCATACAGGATGTAATTACTACCTTAACATCCTCTGTGTTTCACCTTCCTTCCCTCACACTTCTGGCAACCAGTCATCTATTGACTCTCATTGTAGTTTTGTCTATTCTAGAATGTCTTTTAATTGGAATTACACAGTAGGTAGCCTTTTCAGATTGGCTTCTTTCACTTAGGAGTGTGTATTTAAGATTCATCCATGCCTTCTCATGGCCTGACAGCTCATTTCTTTTTATTGCTGTATAATCTAATCGTATGGATCTTTCACAGTTTATCCATTTATCTATTGAATGATGTCTTGGTTGCTTCCAGTTTTTGTTGGTTATTAATAAAACTGCAATGAACATTCATGAGCAGATTCAAATCAGATGGGTAAATCCTTAAGAACATGATGTATGGTATGTTTAACTCTGTTTAGTATGGTATGACTCTGTTTAGCTTTGTAAGAAACTGTCAAACTGTCTTTCTAAGTGGTTTTTCTATTTTGTATTCCCATCAGCAATGGATGAGAGTTGTACCACATATTCACGAGCATTTGGTATTACTAGTTTTTTGGATTTCACCCATTCTAATACATGTAAAGTATCTCATTGTTTTAGTTTGTATTTCCTAATTGCAAATAATGTTGAGCATCTTTTCATATGCTTATTATTTGCCATCTTTATATATTCTTTGGTGAAGTGCCTATTCAGGTCTTTTGTCAGTTTTTAATTGGGTTGTTTTCTTATTGATGAGTTTTAAGAGTTCCTTGTATATCTTGAATGTAAATTCTTTAATCAGATGTATGTTTTACAAATACTTCCAGTCTGTAGCTTGTCTTTTCATTCTCTTAACAGTGACTTTTGTAGAGCAAAAGTTTTCAATTTTAATAAAGTACAAAACTAAACAATTATTTCTCTCATGGATCATATTTTTACTGTTGTATCTAAAAACTCATTGCCAAACCAAAAGTCACCTAGATTTTTCTGTTTCACTTCTAGAATTTTTATAGTTTCTCACCTTAAATATAGGCCTGTGATCCATTTTTAGTTAATTTTTTGTGAAAGGTGTAAGGTCTTTAGGTTCATTTTCTTTGCATATATCCATCTAATTGTTTCACCACCATTTGTTGAAAAAGACTTTTCTTTCTCCATGGAATTGACTTCGTTCCTTTGTCAAAGATCAATTTTTGTGGGTATGTTTCTGAACTTTTTATTCTGTTCCATTGATCTCTGTGTCATTCCTTTGCTAATACCATGCTGTCTGGATTAATGTAGCTTTATAGTAAGTGTTGAAAGTAACTAATATGTGTCTTCCTACTTGGTTGTACTTCAGTATTGTGTTGGCTGTTCTAAGTCTTTTGCTTTTCCATGTAAGGTTTAAATTTCACTTTGTCCATATCTACAAAATAGTTTGTTGGGATTTTGATTGGAATTGGATTGAATCTACAGATCAAACTGGAAAGAATTGACATCTTAACACTATAGTCTTGTAATTCATGGACAAGGACTATGTCTTCATTTATTTAGACTGTTTTCGATAACGTTCATTAGAGTTTTGTAGTTTTCTATAACCTTTAGCTATCACCCCACTGTCGTCTGTGGTCCTCAGCACCAAGCAACCATTAATCTATTCTCTATCTCCATAGATTTTCCGATTCTGGACCTTTTATTTTAGTGGAATCATATTTATGTGGTCTTTTGTGACTGCTTTCTTGCACTTGACTAAATGTTTTCAATGTTCAGCCATGTTGTGTGTAGCATGTATCAGTACTGCATTCCTTTTTGTGGTGGAATAATATTCTATTGTTTATCCATCTGCCACTTTTGGAGCATTTTGATTGTTGCCACCTTTTTTGGCTAGTATGAATAATTCTGCTATAAACATCTGTGGACGTGTTTTTTTTTGTTTGTTGTTGTTACACTATTTTATTGTTGTGGGAACATCACAGAGTGTACTTACACAAACCTAGATGGTCTATCCTCCTCCACACCCAGGCTAGATGGTGTAGCCCGTTGCTCCTAGGCTACAAACCTGTACAGCATGTGACTGTCCTGAATACTGTAGGCAGTTATAACACAGTGCTAAGTATTTGTGTATCTAAACATAGAAAAGGTACAGCAAAAATACAGTATTATAATCTTATGGGACCACGTTTGTGTATGTGGTCCACCATTACTGAAACGTTATTCAGCATATGACTGCATATAAAAATGCAGTTGGGCCAGGTGCGGTGCTCACGCCTGTAATTCCAGCACTTTGGGAGGCCGAGGTGGGCAGATCACGAGGTCAAGAGATCAGGACCATCCCACCAGCAATGCATTAGGGTTCCAATTTTTCCACATCCTTGTCAATACTTTTTATTATCTGGCTTTTTGCTTATGGTTATTCTAGTGAGTAGGAAGTGTCTGATTGTGGTTTTAATTTGCATTTGCCTCATGATTAATGACGTTGAGCATCTTTTCATATGTTCATTTGCTATTTATATATTTTCCTTGGAGACATATTTATTCAAATTCTTGGCACATTTTTAAGTTGCGTTGCCTTATTATTGAGTTGTAAGAATTCGTTATATAGTTTAGGTAGAGGTCACTTACCAAATGTATGATTTGCAAATATTTTCTCCCCTCTCCCATTCTGTAGTTGTTGAGACAAGGTTTTGCTCTCTTGCCCAGGATGGAGTGCAGTGGTGCGATCATGGCTCACTGCAGCCTTGACCTCCTGGGTTCAAGCGATTTTCCCACCTCAGCCTCCCAAGTAGCTGGGACAGCAGGCTCAAAAACAAGCCTGGCTAGTTTTTGTATTTTTTGTAGAGATGGGATTTTACCTTGTTGCCCACGCTGGCCTCAAACTCCTGGGCGCAAGCGATCTGCCTGCCTTGACCTCCCAAAGTGCTGGGATTACAGGAGTGAGCCATTGAACCCAGCCTAATAGTAGATATTTTCAGTTTCCCGTCTAATAGTTCCATCTGTGCCACAGCTGAGTTTGATTCTGTTGCTTGCTTTGTTTCTTCATACTGTTTTTTTCTTGCCTTTTGGCATGCCTTGCAATTTTTGGTTGAAAGCCAGACACCATATATCAGGTGATAGGAACTGAAGTGGGGTATTGGGTTATCTGAGTAGAAACTGGATTGCTTTTAATGTTCGCTGTAGTTGTAGGTACCAGAGGCTTTAAATTCTTCAGACATCAGTGTTTGTCTCTAAGAGATTTTCCTTAGTATCTACTTAGATACTAAGTATCTAAGATTTTCCTTAGATACTACTTAAGGTAGGCGCCCCCACCCCACACCCAACTCCCACCCTGTGCCCCTCAGTTCACTGTTGATGTACTGGAGGCCTGTTGGAGTGGTGGTAAAGTATGGGGAAGGGGATAGTGTTCTGTTAGGATTAAATCTTAGCCTTTTAGTGTGTGTGCGTCATGAGCTGTGAATTTTACAAGTGTCTCTTAGTTTACCCTTTCCCTTAGGCAAGACCAGGGATGTGGAGTCTGGGAAGTGCCCTTTCCTCAGGTCAGATAAGGCTCTGGTAAACCCTTTTAAGTCTTTGTAAGTCTAGGAAGTAAGTCTTTGTTATGATGAATGACTTGGGCTTATTTCATACTAGTTATTTTTTCCCTCCCCTTGTCAGAGCTATGGGAGTATCTTCTTGGCTCTTTACTGTAGGAAGCTGATGTTGTTTTTGGAAGTAAACCCCACAAAAGTATAAGGTCTTTCTTTCAAGACTGCCACTCCTAGAAGTTAGTCATTCTCATCCTAGTCCACACTTAGCCTCCAGCAGTTCATTGAAATGACCTTTAAATGTTCCTTCCAGTTTATAGCTCCAGGGTTTCTGTTCCAGGGAAATAGATCTGTGTGACTCTGAATTTGCCTTGCTCTCCAAATTTTGGGGTAGTGGTTTGACACGTGACTTTGGTTCTGTAATGGGTCCTAGAAATAAATTATTTTCAGTTTGTTCAGCTTTTATCTTGGTGTTAGGATGAGAATGATGACTTCCAAGCTTGTTACATGTCTGAGCTAAAATAGGAAGTTCTACAGTTGATTTTCATGTTCATCTTGTATCTTGCCACCTTGCCTAACTCACTCACTGATTTTATGAGATGTTTTTGTATGGTTTATTAAGAACCATATACTTTGCTGAAGCCCTTTTTTTCCCCCTCATAATCACATTGATGTTCGTTTAATATGTGTGTCTTATCAATCTTGAGTATCAAGTTTCCCAGGTCCCTATCATTAGAAAGTATGATCTGAAACTGGGGAGTAGAAATGATAGGACTTTTCTCTATGAGGCTGACACGATGCCAGAAGAAAAAGTGATAACTGACAACCTGACATTTAGGAAGAAGGCCAGAAATCTATAAAGCTTAGAATCATATTATTTTAAAAATGCAATAATGAGTTTTTATGATGATGACCATAAATCTAGAAATGTTTACATTTGTTACATACTAGCTTTTTTTTTTTTTTTCAAAGTAAAAAAAGTTTAATGATGTCCTGGATCACATCCATTATTTTATTTTATTTATATATATATTTTTATTATACTTTAAGTTCTTGGGTACATCTGCACAATGTGCAGGTTTGTTACATATGTATACATGGGCCATGTTGGTGTGCTGCACCCATTAACTCGTCATTTACGTTAGGTATATCTCCTAATGCTATCCCTCCCCGCTCCCCCCACCCCACAACAGGCCCCGGTGTGTGATGTTCCCCTTCCTGTGTCCAAGTGTTCTCATTGTTCATTTCCCACCTGTGAGTGAGAACATGCGGTGTTTGGTTTTTTGTGCTTGCGATAGTTTGCTGAGAATGATGGTTTCCAGCTTCATCCATGTCCCTACAAAGGACATGAACTCATCCTTTTTTATGGCTGCATAGTATTCCATGGTATATATGTGCCACATTTTCTTAATGCAGTCTATCATTGTTGGACATTTGGGTTGGTTCCAAGACTTTGCTATTGTGAATAATGCCGCAATAAACATACGTGTGCATGTGTCTTTATAGCAGCATGATTTATAATTCTTGGGGTATATACCCAGTAATGGGTTGGCTGGGTCAAATGGTATTTCTAGTTCTAGATCCTTGAGGAATCGCCACACTGCCTTCCACAATGGTTGAACTAGTTTACAGTCCCACCAATGTAAAAGTGTTCCTATTTCTCTACATCCTCTCCAGCACCTGTTGTTTCCTGACTTTTTAATGATCGCCATTCTAACTGGTGTGAGATGGTATCGCATTATGGTTTTGATTTGCATTTCTCTGATGGCCAGTGATGGTGAGCATTTTTTCATGTGTCTGTTGGCTGCATAAATGTCTTCTTTTGAGAAGTGTCTGTTTATATCCTTTGCCCACTTGTTGATGGGGTTTTTTCTTGTAAATTTGTTTAAGTTCTTTGTAGATTCTGGATATTAGCCGTTTGTCAGATAAGTAGATTGCACAAATTTTCTCCCATTCTGTAGGTTGCCTGTTCACTCTGATGGTAGTTTCTTTTGCTGTGCAGAAGCTCTTTAGTTTAATTCGATCCCATTTGTCAATTTTGGCTTCTGTTGCCATTGCTTTTGGTGTTTTAGACATGAAGTCCTTGCCCATGCCTATGTCCTGAATGGTATTGCCTAAGTTTTCTTCTAGGGTTTTTATGGTTTTAGGTCTAACATTTAAGTCTTTAATCCATCTTGAATTAATTTTTGTGTAAGGTATAAGGAAGGGATCCAGTTTCAGCTTTCTACATATGGCAAACCAGTTTTCCCAGCACCATTTATTAAATAGGGAATCCTTTCCCCTTTTCTTGTTTTTGTCAGGTTTGTCAAAGATTAGATAGTTGTAGATGTGTGGTATTATTTCTGAGGCCTCTGTTCTGTTCCATTGGTCTGTATCTCTGTTTTGGTACCAGTACCATGCTGTTTTGGTTACTGTAGCCTTGTAGTATAGTTTGAAGTCAGGTAGCGTGATGCCTCCAGCTTTGTACTTTTGGCTTAGGATTGACTTGGTGATGCGGGCTCTTTTTTGGTTCCATATGAACTTTAAAGTAGTTTTTTCCAATTCTGTGAAGAAAGTCACTGGTAGCTTGTTGGGGATGGCAATGAATCTATAATCTACCTTGGGCAGTATGGCCATTTTCACGATATTGATTCTTCCTATCCATGAGCATGGAATGTTCTTCCATTTGTTTGTATCCTCTTTTATTTCACTGAGCAGTGGTTTGTAGTTCTCCTTGAAGAGGTCCTTCACATCCCTTGTAAGTTGGATTCCTAGGTATTTTATTTTCTTTGAAGCAATTGTGAATGGGAGTTCACTCATGATTTGGCTCTCTGTTTGTCTGTTATTGGTGTATAAGAATGCTTGTGATTTTTGCACATTGATTTTGTATCCTGAGACTTTGCTGAAGTTGCTTATCAGCTTAAGGAGATTTTGGGCTGAGACGATGGGGTTTTCTAGATATACAATCATGTCATCTGCAAACAGGGACAATTTGACTTCCTCTTTTCCTAATTGAATACCCTTTATTTCTTTCTCCTGCCTGATTGCCCTGGCTAGAACTTCCAACACTATGTTGAATAGGAGTGATGAGAGAGGGCATGCCTGTCTTGTGCCAGTTTTCAAAGGGAATGCTTCCAGTTTTTGCCCATTCACTATGATATTGGCTGTGGGTTTGTCATAGATAGCTCTTATTATTTTGAGATACATCCCATCAATACCTAGTTTATTGAGAGTTTTTAGCATGAAGGGCTGTTGAATTTTGTCAAAGGCCTTTTCTGCATCTGTTGAGATAATCATGTGGTTTTTGTCTTTGATTCTGTTTATATGCTGGATTACGTTTACTGATTTGTGTATGTTGAACCAACCTTGCATCCCAGGGATGAAGCCCACTTGATCGTAGTGGATAAGCTTTTTGATGTGCTGCTGGATTCGGTTTGCCAGTATTTTATTGAGGATTTTTCCATTGATGTTCGTCAGGGATATTGGTCTACAATTCTCTTTTTTTTGTTGTGTCTCTGCCAGGCTTTGGTATCAGGATGATGTTGGCCTCATAAAGTGAGTTAGGGAGGATTCCCTCTTTTTCTGTTGTTTGGAATAGTTTCAGAAGAAATGGTACCAGCTCCTCCTTGTACCTCTGGCAGAATTTGGCTGTGAATCCATCTGGTCCTGGACTTTTTTTGGTTTGTAAGCTGTTAATTATTGCCTCTATTTCAGAGCCTGTTATTGGTCTATTCAGAGATTCAACTTCTTCCTGGTTTAGTCTTGGGAGGGTGTATGAGTCGAGGAATTTATCCGTTTCTTCTAGATTTTCTAGTTTATTTGCATAGAGGTGTTTATAGTATTCTCTGATGGTAGTTTGTATTTCTGTGGGATCGGTGGTGATATCCCCTTTATCATTTTTTATTGCGTCTATTTGATTCTTCTCTCTTTTGTTCTTCATTAGTCTTGCTAGCAGTCTATCAATTTTGTTGATTTTTTCAAAAAACCAGCTCCTGGATTGATTTTTGAAGGGTTTTTTGTGTCTCTGTCTCCTTCAGTTCTGCTCTGATCTTAGTCATTTCTTGCCTTCTGCAAGCTTTTGAATGTGTTTGCTCTTGCTTCTCTAGTTCTTTTAATTGTGATGTTAGGGTGTCAATTTTAGATCTTTCCTGCTTTCTCTTGTGGGCATTTAGTGCTATAAATTTCCCTTTACACACTGCTTTAAATGTGTCCCAGAGATTCTGGTATGTTGTGTCTTTGTTCTTGTTGGTTTCAAAGAACATCTTTATTTCTGCCTTCATTTTGTTATGTACCCAGTAGTCATTCAGGAGCAGGTTGTTCAGTTTCCATGTAGTTGAGCGGTTTTCAGTGAGTTTCTTAATCCTGAGTTCTAGTTTGATTGCACTGTGGTCTGAGAGACAGTTTGTTATAATTTCTGTTATTTTACATTTGCTGAGGAGTGCTTTACTTCCAACTATGTGGTCAATTTTGGAATAAGTACGATGTGCTGAGAAGAATGTATATTCTGTTGATTTGGGGTGGAGAATTCTGTAGATGTCTATTAGATCTGCTTGGTGCAGAGCTGAGTTCAATTCCTGGATATGCTTGTTAAGTTTCTGTCTCATGGATCTGTCTAACGTTGACAGTGGGATGTTAAAGTCTCCCATTATTATTGTGTGGGAGTCTCAGTCTCTTTGTAGGTCTCTAAGGACTTGCTTTATGAATCTGGGTGCTCCTGTATTGGATGCGTATATGTTTAGGATAGTTAGCTCTTCTTGTTGAATTGATCCCTTTACCATTATGTAATTGCCTTCTTTGTCTCTTTTGATCTTTGTTGGTTTAAAGTCTGTTTTATCAGAGACTAGGACTGCCTTTTTTTTGTTTTCTGTTTGCTTGGTAGATCTTCCTCCATCCCTTTATTTTGAGCCTATGTGTGTCTCTGCACGTGAGTTGGGTCTCCTGAATACAGCACACTGATGGGTCTTAACTCTTTATCCAGTTTGCCAGTCTGTGTCTTTTAATTGGAGCATTTAGCCCATTTACATTTAAGGTTAATATTGTTATGTGTGAATTTGATCCTGTCATTATGATGTTAGCTGGTTATTTTGCTCGTTAGTTGATGCAGTTTCTTCCTAGCCTCGATGGTCTTTATAATTTGGCATGTTTTTGCAGTGTCTGGTACCAGTTGTTCCTTTCCATGTTTAGTGCTTCCTTCAGGAGCTCTTTTAGGGCAGGCCTGGTGATGACAAAATCTCTCCGACGATCAAAATTCTCTGAGCTAAAGGAAGAAGTTCGAACCCATTGCAAAGAGATTAAAAACCTTGAAAAAAGATTAGACGAATGGCTAACTAGAATAACCAATGTGGAGAAGGCCTTAAATGACCTGATAGAGCTGAAAACCATGGCACGAGAACTATGTGACGAATGCACAAGCTTTAGTATCCAATTCGATCAGCTGGAAGAAGAGGTATCAGTGATGGAGGATCAAATGAATGAAATGAAGTGAGAAGAGAAGTTTAGAGAAAAAAGAATAAAAAGAAACGAACAAAGCCTCCAAGAAATATGGGACTATGTGAAAAGACCAAATCTACATCTGATTGGTGTACGTGAAAGTGACGGGGAGAATGGAACGAAGTTGGAAAACACTCTGCAGAATATTATCCGGGAGAACGTCCCCAATCTAGCAGGGCAGGCCAACATTCAAATTCAGGAAATACAGAGAACGCCACAGAGATACTCCTCGAGAAGAGCAACTCCAAGATACATAATTATCAGATTCACTAAAGTTGAAATGAAGGAAAAAATGTTAAGGGCAGCCAGAGAGAAAGGTCGGGTTACCCACAAAGGGAAGCCCATCAGACTAACAGTGGATCTCTTAGCAGAAACTCTGCAAGCCAGAAGAGAGTGGGAGCCAATATTCAACATTCTTAAAGAAAATAATTTTCAACCCAGAATTTAATATCCAGCCTAACTAAGCTTCATAAGTGAAGGAGAAATAAAATCCTCCACAAACAAATGCTGAGAGATATACTAGCTTTTTATGTTGGCATATATATTCATAGAAAGAGTTTATTCATTGATGATGATAAACTAACACATTTCTGGCATTTGAAGCCTAATCTTACATTGATTTGGAAAATTTTTATATAGAACAACACATCAACCAACATTTCAAGGTGCTATTATCATAGTATAATGGGTTCACAAAACCAGTTCCCGAATTTGTTATAGATTTCAGCTTCAGTTCTAATTGAAAACCATTTAAATATTTCCTTTTAGTCTTTTTTTCTAAATTGTGTCAGCTGCTAATAGAGGTGTTTATTGTGTTTAAAAACTACAAGTGTTAAATATATATACATATATTTACAAAGTAGGAATCATGCTGTATGTGCAGTTTCACTATAGGGAATATTTTACAAAGTATTATACAAATGGAATTTCAGTTAAGAAGAGTGCTTGAGGAATGGGATTTTCTTTTTTTTAGGCTAATTGGATTTTCTGGTTAATTCAGGATTAGGTATAAAGTCCTTTTTGTTTTAATGTTTGTTAGAGATTTTACTAAATCTGTTTCTACATAGATGGTACTGAATCTAAAAACAAGTGTAAACTGGCTTTGAATAGCCAGTTAATAGTGTCCCCTTTCATCCAAATCCTAGCTTGCTGCTGATAAATCTTTTTGATAAGTCCTCTCTTGCCACACTCCTGGAACCATGGAGTCGTTACTTAGCTTTCTTAAAATTTTCTGAAATGCTGCTTTGTCACCAGCCCAGTCTTACCGTAGACTTCCTACTTAATTATTGCTTAGAGCATGTCTAAAGTTAGGAATCTTAGGCGATTTAGGGGCTCAGTCTTCTTTTAGTACTTATGATTTCTGCTATATAATGGCTTAAATAAGTTTTGGTGAATTAGAAAACCTAATCCTCAGTATTTATAACGTAATATTTTTTGGTAAAATATGCTTGAAGTTCCAATCATCTTAGAAAGCAACCTATTTGTAGGTTGGAATTATTTGTCTCTTTGAGCACTAGTATAATTGTTGCTTATTTTACTTTTTTAAAATTTAGGACAATGTGGGGACTGAACTTGGGTTGAAACTGATTTAGATTTTCAGATTTTGGATCTGCCTCTGCTTTGCTGATCCTTGGGTGAACCATTTAATCTCTGAGCCTCAGTTTTCTCCCCTCTAGAAATGGAGCTCAGAATTGTCATTAGGTTTAAATGAAATTCTGTTGTGAAATGACTTATGTACCCAGACACAAAAAGAGGTACTTGGTACAATATTAGTTCTATTCACTGCACAGTAATGTATATACAGGCAGTGTTGGAGATTAGAATGACTAAGTACAAGTATGTATGAGAATTTCATGGCCCTCCAAGATCCCATGGTTTTTTCTGCTTGTTTTAGTTTATATATATTAAAATATACAAAAATCTGGCCAGGCATGGTGGCTCATGCCTGTAATCCCACCACTTTGGGAGGCTGAGGTGGGCAGATCACTTGAGGCCAGGAGTTCAAGACCAGTCTGGTCAGTGTGGTGAAGGGCATGCCTGTAGTCCCAGCTACTCGTGAGGCTGAGGTGGGAGAATTGCTTGAACCCAGGAGGCAAAGGTTGCAGTGAGTTGAGATCATGCCACTGCACTCCAGCATGCATGACAGAGCGAGATCCTGTCTCAAAAAAAAAAAAAAAAAAAAAAAAACGAGAAAAATTAAGAAAAGAAAATCAAAATCCTTAGATTCATTAATCACAGAAGATAAAATTTTTAAGTGGTTACTGGATTTTTACACTTTCAAAGTTATTAAAAACATTTTTAGAAAGTAGAAAGTAATACCTTCATTTATTTGAGTGCAAAGGTGAACTTTGTATTATTCTTTATAGCAATTATTGGTAAAATTTGTTTTGTGTTGTACTTTTTTGCACAGAAACTGAAGTAAGGTCACTTAGATGATTATGTGACTGGCAGAGCATTATTTAATCAAAGCAATTGACAGATGATATTCAGTGGCTTTGCCTTAGAAGGCTAGCTAGCTAATACTGCCAGGTTCTGGGTTTTCTAAATCCCTTTGCCTAGAATGTATAACCTAGTATTAATAGTATTTGATTCTTAAGCCAGGTGTGGTGGCTCACGTCTGTAATCGCTGCACTTTGGGAGGCCAAGGTGGGCGGATCACTTGAGGTCAGGAGTTCGAGACCAGCCTGGCCAAAATGGCGAAACCCTGTCTCTACTAAAGATACAAAATAATTAGCCAGGCATGGTGGTGGGCACCTGTAATCCCAGCTACTAGGGAGGCTGAGGCAGGAGAATCATTTGAACCTGGGAGGCAGAGGTTGCAGTGAGCCAAGATTGCACCATTGCACTCCAGCCTGGGCAACAGAGCGAGACTCTGTCTCCAAAAAAAAAAAGTCCTCTTATGTTCACCTCCCATCCATCTTTTCTCCAAATCAGCCCCAGAATTTCTGTTTTGACCCTTTTCTTTTCTAAAGTAAATTAATCTCTCTTTTTCTTAACCTTTTTTTCCTAAACTCTGTGTGCTTTTACCTCATGATTCCTAGATGCAGTTTATCTTATGTTTTATATTTACTCTTTTTTTCTGCTTTCATCCTTGTGTATTAGAACTCTTAATTGTAAGTGCTGGAAACCCAGCTATGACTAGCTTAGACAAAGGGGAATGTTTAGGCCCATGAGACCAAAGTCCAGGAGGGGATTATTCATTTGGGCATTAGGAATGATTGGAACTCTAGGGCCTTGTTCACTGTCAGGATTCTTTTTACCTCTTCAATCTCTCATCTCTGATTTTCTCTCCATGGTTCTGTTATTCTTCCAAAGATATTTCATCCACGTGGCTGTAGACAAGTTTTGGCACCTGCCAGGATCACATTCTTAGTTTTTAAAATTAGAGTATCTATTTTTTCTTTCCTTAGTTCTAATTGAGAAAATCTCAGAGAAAGAGTCTGTCTTGGCTTGCCTTGGGACATGTTTAGACTTATGGCCAGGAGCATGATTGGACCCCACCCAAACTGCCTAGGTAGAATTTGAGGAGAAGCAGTTCCCCCAGAGAAGTAGTAGTTTGTCCCCAAATAAGGGAGACATGTTGTTGTTCCCAGAATAAGGGAGAGGTGCCAGGCAGACAAAATAGCAGTTGTCTGTCATATCCTCTTTTTCTGACTGTGGGTCTCTAGGTCTTCCCACGTATATGTATTCTGTACCAGGCCAGTCATTGACACCAGCTGCTGTGAAGACCAGGGAGGGAGCTGGCAAGGAATAGAGCATCCAAACTTATTATAGTTCACCACTGAAAGTTTTGAAGATCCAGACTTTGTGAGTAGAGAGGAATTCTATGTACTATAAAATAGGAAGGGCAGGCCGGGCGCGGTGACTCACGCCTGTAATCCTAGCACTTTGGGAGGCTGAGGCGGGCGGATCATGAGGTCAGAAGATTGAGACCATCCTGGCTAACATGGTGAAACCCCGTCGCTACTAAAAATACAAAAAATTAGCCAGGTGTGGTAGTGGGCACCTGTAGTCCCAGCTACTTGGGAGGCTGAGGCAGGAGAATGGGGTGAACCCAGGAGGTGGAGCTTGCAGTGAGGCGAGATCACGCCACTGCACTCCAGCCTGGGCGACAAAGCGAGACTCCATCTCAAAAAAAAAAAAAACAAAAAAAAAACAGGAAGGGCAAAATGATACTCCCTTTGAATGAGAGTTTGTGCATGTCTTTGTCTCTCCAGACTGTAAAGTCCTTAATGCCAAAGATTGTGTCCTATTGATCTTTGCCAAACAACCCTTTGACAACAGATAATGTAGTAAATAACCTATTGTATAGTGAAGGGAATACCGATTTCGTATGTCTGCAGTTTGGCAAGGGGTGAACTTGTGATGGTTCTTTTTATGTGTCAACTTGGCTGAGCCACAATGCCCAGATATTTGGTCAAACATTATTCTGGGTGTTTTTATGAAGGTGCTTTTTATATGAGATTAACTTGTAATTTAGTGGGCTTTGAGTAAAGCAGATTACCCTCTGTAATGTGGGTGGGCCTCATCCAATTTGGTGAATACCTTGGTAGAACAAAGACAGTCCTTCCCTGAGCAAGAAGAAATTGAGCCAGCAGACCACCTTTGGACTCAAACTGCAACACTTCCCTGGATCTTCATCCTGCCCCTCTACCCTGCAGATTGTAGATTTGCCAAGCCTCCACAAGTACATGAGGTAATGCCTTAAAATAAATACATCTTAAAATAAATCTCTTTCTGCCTCTGTCTCCCTGTATGTATACACACACATCCTGTGGATCCTGCTGGATCTGTTTCACTGGAGAACTCTTGACTAATACACAGGGTATAGCTACGGATTGCTCTGCATTTTTATTATCACAATTAGATACTGTAAGAGAAAGGCCTGAAGATCATGTGTAAAATTCTTTGCAAAAACTTCTCAGCCTAGCTTAGTTCTTGTGTTCGTGTCTGGGCCAGTTATTCTGGTAGCTAGGTTAAGCACTCTGATTTATCAGAACTGCATTTTGTGTCAGTCCTTTTGTGAGATGTGCAGGGTAGTATGATTGACAGTTTCATCAGAATCACATTATTTGAGGGGGAGAGCAGATAACCAAAGAAGGCAATGGTGGTGGTGCTAGTACCCCAAAAAAGGACTGTCGAAACCAATAAATGTTCATATAGCACAGTTATTTACTGTACATTGGAGTATATCTATCTTTTGGAATATGATGTCAGTATACTTTTTATATTTCAGAATTCTTGGCTACTGTATAAAGTCAGTTTCATGTAGATTTCCATCACATCTGTACTTGGATTCTGATACTGGAATATTCATGTGCTTAAATCTATGATTAAAAAAAAATCTTAGGTGTTATATTTAAAGGCCAAAGTCACAGTGTCATTTGGCTTGGGTATCAGAAGTTGCTTTCTCTGTGTACATATGTATATATACACACAAACACATAGATAATTGTAGTATAATTGTAGGAGAGTAGCTGTGGAAAATATGGTTGAGAAGCTGGCATAATCCTGATAGAGTCATTAAAAAAATGTGTACATTAAAAATGTTCTGTGTTTTCACCCTGTTTTCTTTCTAGAGAAGAATTTGCTAATCTAGGTGACATATCAACAAAAACAACAGATGTGGAAAATTTTTTGCATTTTTGTTGAGAAAAATCTCATCTCTGTGCATAGAATATCTTTAGCAGTTGCTTCAGTAAATGCCAAGCAGATGGTTTAAACTCAGAATGACTACTCAAATAATTTTATCACAACAATTAGTTTGAAGTCTGTTATAACAGTCAAGATCAGAATTTTAGAAAACCATGAATGTAGGTTGGTGTACATTAAAGAGGTATAGGAATAGGCTTCGAAATCAGAAAAATTGGTGTCACAGAATCTACAAAAGATTCTTGACTTTTGAGGCCCTCTTTTTTTTAAGCTATGGTTGAATAACTGTGTATTTGTTTGTTTGTGTTTTTTTAATTAAACTTTTTTTTTTTTTTTGAGTTGGTGTCTCGCTCTGTCACCCAGGTTGGAGTGCAGGAGCGGGATCTTGGCTCACTGCAACCTCTGCCTCCCAGGTTCAAGCGATTCTCGTGCCTCAGCCTCCTGAGTAGCTGGGCTTATAGGCATGCACCACCATGCCCAGCTGATTTTTGTATTTTTAGTAGAGATGGGATTTTGCCATGTTGGCCAGGCTGGTCTTGAACTCCAGGCCTCAAGTGATCCACCCGCCTCAGCCTCCCAAAGTGCTGGAATTACAGGTGTGAGCCACCATGCCTGGCCATTTGTCTGTTTTTATATAGCATAACAGTGGAATTCAGTAACTTAAAAGTTGTTGGAAAGTAGGCAAAGCAGGAAGGAACTCTTGGTTTTTAATGAGGTGATAGAAAAATAAAAAGCCAGAGGCTATTCTGACTGATGGAGGGAGGAGGATATCTTCAGTGTGTCAAGCACTGGATAGATACTTAACGTGTGTTTTCTTCACAGCTGCTTTCTAAGGTAAAGAGATACTTTATTTTTACATTGAAAAAATAGTTTCCTGTTCCCAGGTTAAGAAGTCAAGGAAGTAGTTATACCTTTTAAAAACTACTAAAAATGATTACATTAAAATTTTGTTGCTCTTGTTTGATTGGTAAATTTTACTTGAAAGAATGACAAACTGATTATTCATACTAGGACATTAGACATTTTCTCAAAAATGAACAGAAGTAAGCCTATCACTTTAAAGAAAATTGTCAATTTTTGCTTGAGGGAATGGACACCCTGCTCTCCAGGATGTGCTTATTTTACATTGTACACCTGTATCAAAACATCTCATGTACTCTATAAATATACACACCTACCATGTACCCCCAAAATTAAAAAAAAATAAGAAAATAATTGATTTTTATTGCATATGATAAAATTCAAGCTTTTTAAAAATTTATGAAGAAATGACATGGTGAGTTTTTTGAGCTCAACTGGAGATTAGAATTTTGAAAACTTAGATTTGTTGTCATGAGCTTACAGCTTCTCAATCTCAAGACTCTTCATGAAAGCAGTGGTGATATTAAAGTTTTTGTTTTGTTGTTTGTTCTTAATGTTGTGTAATGAAATGTTTCAACATTTGGAAGATAAGCGTAACTCAGTGAATGAATGTTCCTCAAGTGACCAGTGTACAGTGGGTAAGAGAGCCATTCACAGTGCAAGGTAGACAAGTGGGTTTTAATGTGAGAAAGTACAAAGAGTTAATTGTTATGATTTTTAGATTCCACATTGCAACTCATCTTTAAGAAACTGCCACTTGTCAAGTTTTGGTGGAGTGTCTGAGAAGAATGTTCACAATAATATGAAAAGGCTGTAAAGTATTTCTTCCTTGTCCGACATATCTATAAGGCCATTGTTTATGTACTTCAACCAAAAAAAAATTGCAAAATATTGAATGTAGAAGCAGATGTGAGAATCCAGGCAATAAAGAGATTTGTAAAAATGTAAAACTGTGCCGTTTTTTTTTTTGGAGGGGAGATTAATCACTTTTTCATAAAAACATATGTTAATATGTAACAGGCTTATTTTTAAATGAACTAATACATAATTTAAGAATTTTTTAGTTTTGTTTTCTAATACTAAATATCAATAGATATGAACTCACACAGATGAATTCTTTGTGAAAATTTATGTCAGTTTGGAAAGAAGTGGTCTTTTAACCATACGTAGAATTAAATTCTTTTTTTTTTTTTTTTTTTAGGTGTAAACATATAATGCCATGTTATAAACTATGCTAATATTCACTTATTGGAACTTTTTTTGGCTTACAAAAAGTTTAGGCCAGGCGTAGTGGCTCATGCCTGTAGCCCCAGCACTTTGGGAAGCTGACGTGGGTGGATTACTTGAGCTCAGGAGTTCAACACCAACCTGGGCAACATGGCAAAACCCTTTCTCTATAAAAAATACAAAAAAAATTAGCTGGGCATTGGGGCTTGTGCCTGTAGTTCCATCTACCTGGGAAGCTGAGCTGGGAGGATCACTTGAGCCCAGGATGCAGAGGTTGCAGTGAGCTGAGATCACGCCACTGAACTCCAGCCTGGGTGACAGAGCAATACGTTGTCTCAAAAAAAAAAAAAAAAGTATTTTACATGAGGTCACATTCCTGAAAGGAAAGCACAGTATGAAAATACTCAGTTTCAAGTTGTGAAAACCTTGAATGTGCAAAAATGGGAATGACAAGAAGTGAGACTTATGTCTCCGGTAAGGATGGAAAGAGGAAGGAAAGATTTCCTGTAGTTTCTGGTCAGACTGTTTTAAATATTTTTGTGCTGAAGTTGGAAAATGGAAAGCTTAAAAATACCTCTACTATGTTAGTTCTTCAAGCATGTTATGCAGTGTGAGAGATAACCTAGTGAGAACTGTTTTCAATACTTTAAGATGAATTGACACCATTTCTCACCTTTTATCTATTTAGTTAGTTGAACTAAAATTTGAAGCAAATTTAGGCAAGGGGATAATTAATGTAAGTCTTAAAAGAGTAGGTATTTCTTTTTTTTTGAAATGGAGTTTTGCTCTTGTTGCCCAGGCTGGAGTGCAATGGCGCAATCTCAACTCACCACAACCTCCGCCTCCCAGGTTCAAGTGATTCTCCTGCCTCAGCCTCCGGAGTAGCTGGGATTACAGGCATGTGCCACCACGCCTGGCTAGTTTTGTATTTTTAGTAGAGATGGGGTTTCTCCATGTTGATCAGGCTGGTCTCAAACTCCCGACCTCAGATAATCCACCTGCCTCGGCCTCCCAAAGTGCTGGGATTACAGGTGTGAGCCACTGTGCCCGGCCCAAGAGTAGATATTTCTTAATGCAGAGAAACCTTAATCAGTTTTCTTGAGGGACAGAATTTTTTGCCCCATTGAATTTTCCTTAGTAAGAGGGATATCTAGTATCTGTTTTACATTTGCCACTTACTAGAAGCTTTCAGTGTGCTAGATAAAATGCAAAGTCTTGCCTAGTTTCTGTTTTTTTTTTTTTTTTTCTTTTTAAGAGACAGAGTCTTGCTCTGTTTCCCAGGCTGGAGTGCAGTGGTGTGATCTCAGCTCACTGCAGCTTCCACCTCCCAAGTTCACACAATTCTCCTGCCTCAGCCTCCCAAGTAGCTGGGATTACAGGCACGTGCCACCACGCCCACGTAGTTTTTGTATTTTTAGTAGGGACAGGGTTTCACCATGTTGGCTAGGCTGGTCTCAAACTCCTGACCTCATGATTTGCCTGCCTCAGCCTCCCAAAGTGCTGGGATTACAGGTGTGAGCCTCTGCACCCAGCCTAGTTTCTACTCTTAAAGAGCTCATAGTTTTGTGCATTTTGTTCCACTCTCCAGCATTAGCAAAGTAACATAAAAGTTTATTGGCCCTTTCTTTGAAAAATTTGACTTTTTCAGTCATGATTTTTTACTTAGTTCTCCTTATTATATTAGTGTGGAATGTCTCCAGGTCATCAACATTACTTTTGGGGACAAAAAGTAATTACACCATTAGATATCAGTTGCTAAACTCCACTAAAATGGAAATATTGGAAAATCCCAGGTAGCAATTTGGTTAGGTAGGCTCTGGCTACTAAAATATTTTAAACATAGATGTTTATTCTTAGTTTATTTTCATCTGATATAAAAACATCTAGCACTTTGGGAGGCCGAGGCGGGCGGATCACGAGGTCAGGAGATCGAGACCATCCCGGCTAAAACGGTGAAACCCCGTCTCTACTAAAAATACAAAAAATTAGCCGGGCGTAGTGGCGGGCGCCTGTAGTCCCAGCTACTTGGGAGGCTGAGGCAGGAGAATGGCGTGAACCCGGGAGGCGGAGCTTGCAGTGAGCCGAGATCCAGCCACTGCACTCCAGCCTGGGCGACAGAGCGAGACTCCGTCTCAAAAAAAAAAAAAAAAACATCTAAACAAAAATTTTGTTTTTCCTGTTTTTTTAAATTTGAAACACTTATTTCTCCTATTCTGTGAACACTTACAGTATTCTTAATATGCTAGTTATGAATATATTTTACACTGTGGTAACAAAAGTATTTTTTAAACACAGCTCTAAGAAATGATTACTAATACTTGTAGTATTTGGTAGGGACAATATGGATAGTGAGTAATAGTCTGGACTTTGGAATTAAATAGACCTTCCTGGTTTTGAATCTTAGTTAACAACTTCCTCATGGAGAGGAATAGTTAAACTCTAGGGTATTGAGATGATTGGCAAGATAAGTCAGTCAAGTGCTTAGAGTAAATGCTTAATAAATCTTAACAGTTTATTGTTTCTGTTGTTGCTAAAGGAAATTTCATTGCAATAAAATGTTCAAAACTTTGTGGACTTCTATTCGAGACCCCTCAAAAGATATTTTCAGACTTTTAAGGCAGTAAGCAAAAAGTCTTAAAATAAATGTATACTTTGCATATTGCTTTAGAATTGATATTTTATGTTTTTTTTGTGTGTGTTCCGTGTTGGCCTCTTATGTGTCTGTGGGCCCAGGACATTTATTCCTGTTTTTCAGCCTGTGAGTATAATGTTACTGCTTTAGGCAAGTTTTTGTTTTTTTTTAACATGATACTGCCCATTACATGTATATTATATTTGATGGTTAGTCCTTTGTCACTTTTAATATTCTGATGGAAAACTGATGTGGTAAGTTTTTTTTCTTTTTTTCTTTTTTTTTTAAGGAACTCATACAGCATGGGCATATCCTTGTTGTAGTCTCAGACACTCAGGAGGCTGAGGTAGGAGAATCACCTGAGCCTGAGGGGGATAGAGATGGAGGAGGGGAAGGTGGGGGGAATTGAGGTCACTGCAACTTGGTTCACTGCAGCCTTGCCCTCTTGAGCTCAAGTAATCCTTCCACCTCAGCCTCCTGAGTAGCTGGGACCACAGGTGTGTGCCACCACACCTGGCTAATTTTTTTTTTTTTTTTGGTAGAGTCAAAGCTTTGCCACGTTGCCCAGGCTGGCCTTGAACTCCCAGAGCTCAAGCTGTCTCAGCCTCCCAAAGTGCTGGGACTACAGGCATGAGCCACCACTCCCGGCCAGAACTTGTTTTAATATTTAAGAAGTATAATTTACTTAAGTGAATATATGAATATAAAATTTATAGAAATACAATTGTTGACCTGATTGAAGTATTAAAGGTGGAACTTATTAATAATTGCTGGGGATAGTTTGATACAGATAACTTATGTACATTTAGTTATATTACATGAAGTGATATTATTAGGCTGTGTTTCCTAGGTAAACATTTTTCTGAGACCATAACAAGACAGGGCATTCAAAAGTAGAATCTTATTCTTTTTGTTTCAGAAATGTTTGAACCCATTAAATTAAACAAAAGTGTTTTTTTTTGTTATTGTTGTTGTTTGTTTGTTTTTCTATAGAGATGGGGTTTCACTGTGTTGTCTAGCCTGGTCTCAAACTCCTGGGCTCAAGCAGTCCTCCTGTCCTGGCCTCCGAAAGTGTTGGGATTACAGGCATGAGACATTGCACCTGGGCAAAATGAAAGATTTTTGAATACCCAACTTGAACTAGGGACTTTAAGAGCACCATTACATTTTTTCATTCATGTTTTGTTAAACATTTTAATCATTTTTTTATTTGCAAAGGAAGAGAAACCACTGATCGAAAAGAACAAAATAAAGAAGGCAAAAACTGTGACATCTAATTTACTTGAATAATGAATTATTCATGTACTCATTTAATATTTATTGAGCACCAGCTATGTACCTTGTATCGTGCACAGTTCGAAGAATATGATGATGAGCAGAGAGCATATCTTTGAACAGAACCATGCTTATGAATAAATACCTGACATCTAGGTAGAATAGTATATTATTTCTGTTGCTTCCCTATTATTTCCCATAAGAAAAAAATTTGATTTAACTGGATGTTCCCTGACCTCTGGGCATAGTTAAAGGTACCTGCAGAGAATGGCCAGAAACCCTGTAGAAGCATGTAGGCACCATCACTATAACCATTAAGAACTTGGAATGCATGGGATATCCCAATAGGATTCTACTAGTGTAGCACTGATGGTATTAGTTATGGAATTTATCTGATTTAAAAATTGCCAGCTTAGTGTCAGCCTGATAGACTATATAGTATTGTCTTTTTTTTAAAATACTAGAGCCAAGTGTGAGCCATATTAGGTGATTTGTAGGTAATGCAGGTAATTAGTAGGATGAGGCAATGAATAGGATACGATCTGAGGTCAGAGGAGAAATATTTGGGGAAGATTAAGTTAAATAAGTTAAACAATTTTGAGAGGTAGAAATTCTGTATTTTGTCTCTTTGACTTGAGCCAACTACTAATAAAATTATATTTTCAAAATAAATTTTTTCATTTTTAAAGAAGACCACTCAAGTTTTTTGTGATAATCATATCCATAGTTAAACAAGAGAAATATTCTTAACTTTTTGTTATTGTTGTTACTGTTTTGAGAGAGGGTCTCACTCTGTTGCCCAGGCTGGAGACCTCTGCCTTCCAGGCACAAGCAATCCTCCAGCCTCAGCTTCCCAAGTAGCTGGGAACACAGGGGTGTGCCACCACGCCTAGCTAATTTTTGTATTTTTTTGTTAAGATGGGGTTTCATCATGTTGCCCAGGCTGGTCTTGAACTCCTGAGCTCAAGCAATCTGCCTGCCTAGGCCTCCCCAACTGCTGGGATTACAGGTATGAGCCACTGCACTTGGCCTTATTCTTGTCTTTTTAAATAGATATTAAACCTTACATGTAAATTAACACTGTTGAAATACACTGTTAATGATAAAGTGACACTTTGACCTATGTTCTATTTTTGCATAGCTGAAATAGTTGAAGATTTCATTTTCTGTTCTTTCTGATGTTATAGAAGGGGACTCTTAATGTTAAAGGGATGGCAATTTGTAATGATTTGAAGGAATTACTTTGGAAGAATGAAGAACAATACATATTCATCTGATTTTTGTGTACATGGTTTTAACAAAATCTAGCTTAAAAATTGGGAGGGTATTTTCACAGGGCTTGGCAAACATTTTCTGTAAAGAGCCCAGTAACAAACATTTTAGGTTTTGTGAGCCATGTGGTCTCTGTTGCAAGTGTTCAACTCTGCCATTGTAGCATGAGAACCTAAGTGCATAGCCAATATGGAAACAGAGGAGCATGGCTTTGTTTCAACAAAACTTTATTTACAAAAGAAGGCAGCAGGCTGGATTTGGACCATAGTTTGCTTATCCCTATACTATAAAGGAATATAGGGAACTGCTGCATTTTTTAAATTTTTTACACTTTTTGCCTCATTTTAATAAATGTAAAATACAATAAGACATTCAAATACAAAATTGCACAAGCACTGCTATACAGATAATACCTGAGGCTTCTGAAACAGAAGTGTCTATTATGTGATTTCTCAAAAAGCTGATCAGTTAGTGTAAGGAAGTTCTGATTTTATTTATTGAAGTAGGTTTAGGAGTTTTAGTGTGAAATTATGGAAGTCCAAGATGTTTGAAAGTTGAAAATCTGTGTAAACGGTCATGGCCTGTCCCTATTATGATTGTATTATGATTACAACCTCATTCAGGATATCAACAAAAGTTAAAATTGGGTGGTGAATTTCTGCTTTCTTTTTCAACTTATTCTGTTTTCCAACTTCTTTTTAAAAGAAGGGTACTTTTACCTTTTGTATCTGTGTTTCATAATTTAAAGAAGATTATGTATAACATTTTGTGCAGCTTAATCATCACTTTTCTAGTCAGGAAAATGTTTTATTTTTTATTTTTGTGAGACAGGGTCTCCTGTGTCACCCAGGCTGGAGCTTACTGCAGCCTCAACTTCCCAGGCTCAGGTGATCTGCCCACCTCAGCCTCCCAAGTAGTTGGAAATACAGGCATGTGTCACCACACCCAGTTAATTTTTTGTAGAGACAGGGTTTCTCCACGTTCCCCAGGCTGGTCTCAAACTGCTGGGCTCAAGCTATGTGCCCGCCTTGACTTCCCAAAGTACTGGAATTATAGGCAGGCGCCACCTCACCCAACTGGTTTTAAAATTTCATTAATTATCTGCTAAATATCTTCCTTGAGTGTGTCAGATTTTCTTTCATTATTTTATGCTTATTTTGAAAAACCTCATTAAGCACCCATGTCATGTGGATGGTATTGCTAAAACACTCAAGTAGTTGTAACGCACACAATGGGATCAAACCTTGTTTTGTAGAAAACGATTTCACTTTTTAGTTAAAGTAGTTTTTTCTTCATTGGCAGTTTTGTTAATGTAATTTAAATGTGTTTTGTGGAGAAAAATAATCTGTTTATCAGGTACAATAGCTTACTAGCCAGCTGTTCTTTATACACAATCAAGTGAGAAGGAGTGTGATCTTTTTGACTTTCCAACTTCAGATTTAATGACTTAAAATGGGAATTGATAAATGTCAGTCTTCCTCTAGAAACTATAGGTAATTAGAAAAATGTTATGGATACTTTATAATAGTATAGTTATTCTGATATATTTTTATTGATACATAGGTAGTTTTTATGTTAGTGTATTTACTAAAACAGAGTATGAAGACTGAAAGCTGGGATAACCAGACTTGTTTCTTCCTCTGGTAGCACTTTGTTCTGTTAAAAGGAACCAGGCGTCTTTATGCTACTTTCAGTATATCTCATTCTAATGCGCAACAGCGTCCCAAAAGGAAATGCTGAGCAAGAAATTAGTAAATCTTAACTGACTTTAGATCTGCCACAGATTTTTCTCATTTGCCTGTTTGATTTCTCCTTGGGATATTGAGATGCCTGATGAAAAAGAACAAGCATTTGGGACCAAAAGGAGCTGACACATGTCTCAAGTGATCTTGGAACAGGATATTGAGTCTTCAGATGAGGATTAGGAGTTAATTTGACTTACGGAGAAACTGGAAAAACTTGTCTTTTGTATTTTAGAACCTTTTCTAAAAATTCTGAACTGAGAGCTAGTTTGGGAGTAGGGGTTGTAACTGCCCTTAAAGGATACTCAAGACCTTGAAAAACAAACTGCGGTTTTAACTAGCACTAACTGTTCGTAGCACTGGAATATACCTACTAGGTGAATTTTTGTTTCCTGCACTTTGAAATATGAGAAGAATGTTTTATATTTCTCTTCCTGGGGATGGGGTTATATGAACTTAAGGAAGGTCAACTAAATTGCTTTAAATTTAGCTGCTGACTGATTTTTTTCCTCCGCTTTTGGATTAATGGTCTTCAGTGCATATGTAAGATGTTGTGGAGTAGAAAACGTGTAAAGTATTAGTGGGTTTTTTTTTTTTTTGGTGGTTTTTTGTTTTTGTTTTTGTTTTTGTTTTTTTTGAGATGGAGTCTTGCTCTGTTGTCAGCCTGGAGTGCAGTGGTGCCGTTTTGGCTCACTGGAACATCTGCCTCCCAGGTTCAAGCAATTCTCCAGCCTCAATAGCTGGGATTACAGGTGTGTGCCACCACACCCAGCTAATTTTTAAATATTTTAGTAGAGATGGGGTTTTGCCATGTTGGCCAGGCTGGTCTCTACCGCCTGACCTCAGGTGATTCACCTGCTTTGGCCTCCCAGAGTGCTGGGATTACAGGCGTGAGCCACTGTGCCCGGCCTGATGTTATTTTTTTTATGATGACCTTTAGAGCAATAGGTAAGTTTTATTTGAGGAGTTTCAAAAGAGAAGGGCTCTGGGTACCTACCCCAAAGAACTGTAAGCCAGGGATTCAAAAAGGTGTTTGTACACCATGTTCATAGCAGAATTGTTCACTATAGCCAAAAGGTGGAAGCAACTGTGTCTATTGATGGATGAATACATTAATAATAAATACACAGACACACACAATGGAATATTATTCAGCCTTGAAAAGAAAGGAAATTCTGACACATGCTAAGTGAAATAAGTCACAAAAGGACAAATACTGTATAATTCCACTTATATGAGGTGCTTGAATTCATAGAGACAGAAAGTAGAATGGTGGTTGCCAGGGACTGGGGAGAGGGAGGATGGGGAGTTAATGTTTAGTGAGTATGGAGTTTCAGTTTTGCAAGATGAAAGAAGTTCTGGAGATGGATGGTGGTGATGGTTGCACCGTAGTGGGAAAGTACTTAGTGTGACCGACCTGTACACATGAGAATGGTTAAAGTGGTACATTTTATGTTATGTATATTTTATCACAGTTATTTAATGAAAAGAGAAAAGTGCTGGGAATGAATAGTGTCTAGACAGGCCTCAGTTTTGTGGAACTTTAGGATGAATTGTTCATTTAAAGAGGTGGTTAACTTTTGATCACTGTGATTACAGAACAATCCTATTCCCCCTTACCCATCCTTCCCTACCCTACCCAATCCTTTGTCTTTTTTATTAGCAATTTGGAGAACTTGCTTGTGGGAACTGTATTCTCATTGTGACTTTTTATGAGAATTATAATTCTAAGCTTAGTGACTTCATTTCTGCTTAGACTGAACCCAAAATATCTGTGATCTTGAATGAACCCTTCCTCCTTACCTACTCTACTTTTTCTGGGTAAACTTTAAGTTTTGAGTATTGACCTCCATGGGTATCATAAGTGTTCTGTGCTTCTAGAGCTTAGCTAGAGAATTTCTTAAAGATCATTCCAGAATTGTTACATGACTTTAAAATTAATGGCCCTTTTTCTCCCGTAAGCATTTTTTTCTTTTTAATCTCATTTCAAAAATAGATGAACTCCTTCTAGAATAAATTAGAAAGTACAGATAAGCAGACAAACAAACCCAGCAGTAATTCCATGACTCAGAAATAAGTGACAGAAACTTACATATGGTCTTCTGTAAGTTTTCTGGCAGATACATGAGTATGTGTGTGAAAATTTTTTTTTTTTTTTTTTTTTTTTTTTTTGAGACAGAGTCTTGCGTTGTCACCCAGTCTGGAGTGCTGTGGCGCCATCTTGGCTCACTGCAACCTCTGCCTCCCGGGTTCAAGAGATTCTCTTGCCTCAGCCTCCCGAGTAGCTGAGATTACAGGTGCTGGCCACCACGCCTGGCTAATTTCTGTATTTTTAGTAGAGATGAGGGTTCACCATGTTGGCCAGGCTGGTCTCGAACTTTTGACCTCAGGTGATCCGCACGCCTCGGCCGCCCAAAGTGCTAGGATTACAGGCATGAGCCACTGCACCTGGACTGAATGTATTTTTTTTCTACTTATAGAGTCCATTATGTGTGTCTAACTACCTATTTTAAATATCTCTTGTTTAACAAATTCAGGGCTTAGGTATTTCTTGCCTTGGTATAAAATGACCATTAAAGTGATGGAAAATCATCTACTTTTAATTTTCTTTCTGTTTTCAAGACAGCTTTAAGGAAATAATGCTTTAAAACTTGTAATTACACACTCAGTTTGGACTTAATAAAATAGATTACCCAAGTAGCTGTGCTATGACTTTCTCATGCATACTTGTTAATGAATTGGTACAGATAGTAAGTTAGAAACCCATTTATGTAGTTGTGTTCATTTGAAGTGAACACAACCTTTTCCACTACCTTTTCCTTAGGTAGTGTTTTTCAAAATTTTTTGTCTTCTGAAATTAAACAAAAAAAGAATATTCAGTTATCAGAAGATGAGAGACAGAAAAGATGGTATGTTGGGCATTTAAATGTATATCTTAAAACTATGGATCAATTTTTTATCTTTTTGAAATTCATACTTTGTTTTGCTGCCACCAGAAGCCTCACCTTCTAAGTTTAGATTTATTCATGTAATGTATGCTTTCAACAAGTGATCACAGATAGTTTTTTCATTTGCAGTTGTACCATTAACTTTTTAATCTCTAGAAATTTCAGTGACAGAGTATTCTTTAGTCATTCTCTGAATGCTGATGATAGAGTTACCATTCAAGTCCCCAGGGAGGGAGATTTATAATAATGGCAGTGTACCAGGTCATCGCATGTTGCCTTATCAGCATAAAATAGTAACTAAGTCTTACTATCTCAGCATAATGTCCCATTGAATTTTCTTTGCTTTACTGACCAACAAGGACAAACATATCTGGATGAATACTTTTAACACAAATTAATAATGAGGTTTCATCAATAAGTTTCTAGCAGCTATCACATTTAGCTTTCTATTTCTTGAAATATTCTATGGATTGGGAAAGCAGTTACTGAGAACAGGAGAATCATCAGAGTCTGTGTTAGGGCTTGAGAAAGGGGTCTTTGGTTTATTCATTTGTTTCTAGACTTTGAGAATGTGTAATGATAAGACATGGTCATGTTCTTAACTCCTAAGGGGCTTACAACTTAGTGGGAGAGACAGAAAAATGACAAATTAATGCTGCAGATTGGTGCCGGCCGATAGTAGCCACTGGCCATGGGTGGTTATTGAGCACTTGAATGTGGCTAGTGAGACTGAATAACTCAAGTTTTAATTTTAATTATTTATTATAAGTTAAATATGAAAACTGATGCTGGATTCATTTATTGGGAAACTTTGGAGAATGTTTGGAATAATTTGGATATATAAATCTACTTTTTCAACTGTACATTTTAAGAAATCGAAATATAGATAAAGTATTTCTGATGAAAATTTAGGACCTGAATTGAGATGTACTGTAAAATACACACTGGATTTTGAAGATAGTCCAAAAATATAAACTATCTCAGTAATTTGCGTGCTGATTATATGGTGGTGTGATAATATTTTGGATACATTGTGTTAAATATATTATTGTAATTCATTTTATCTCTCTTTTTATAACCCTTTTAATGTAGCTAGTAGAAAAAATTACATACCTGGCTCATGTTATATTTCTGTTAGATACTGATGCTCTAGATGCACAGGAAGCCCATGAATTCTGCCTTTGGGGAACAGGGGAACATTTCAAAGAGTTTGAATCAGTTCTTTATGGTTTTGAGTGTGGTTTGGTGATTGGGAACGGGTTATCTCAGAAGGATAAAGTAAAGATTTGAAGGTCTGGGAGGAAAATGGTATGCATTAATAATAGAATTATGAGTAGTATGGGAATTTTGGAACAAATAATATAGGGAGAATGGTAATAAATGAGGCAGAAAAGATTGGGACTGGAGTACTTAAGAGCCACAGTTCTCTTTCAAGGTCCTTGGAGTTATCTTATAGTTAATGAAATTTTCATTGATGTTTTTAAGCAGATGAGTAACGATATCAGATATGTGCTTTTAGAGAAACTAGTGGTATCATGGAGGATCAACTGGATGAGGCAAAGAAATGGGGGCAGTAGACCCCATGGGTGATTTTAGTTATTCAGCAAAAGATGGACTAAGGCAGTTTATCTTGGGATAAGAGAGGAAGAAATTCAAGATATATTAGGATAGAGAATTAGTAGTACTTTGTTGGGGTAAAGAGAGGAGATACAGATGACTTTGAGAGATAGCTGCTTGAGGAGTTTATGATAGTATTATTTGAATTAGTGACTCCTATAGGGTAGTATGTTATGGAAGAAGGTTGAGGCAGAGGATGTAGTGAGTTTGAGGTATATGTGGAATATCCATGCTGGTAGGTCTTTCAGAATACATGTCGGTAGCTCGGGGAGAGGAGGGTGTTTGAGGGAGAGATTTTGGTTTTATTGAAGCAATAGAGTTTAGGTAATCGATTTCCCAGGAGACTATAAAAACAGAAGTAGGGAGTTAGTGTGTGGATTTCATGATAGATTATTTAGTTATATAAAAATAATTTTCACTCAGGAACTTATTGAGTGCCAATTTGTGCAAGTGCTATACTAGGCTCTGAAGATGAAGAGACAAACAAGACAAATGTTTCTGCCTTAAAGAGAATGAAGTTCTAGAAGGAAAGGCAGACAAGTAAATCTGGGATTAGAGTTTAGTGTCGTAAGTACTATGATGAGCTGTAGAGAAGTAAGGCTGAGGAAAGGATGAGCGTGAGGGCATGAAAGAAAAGGAGACTGGAGAGATGTGGGCTCTATCTTGAAGGGGAAATTTGTCATTTGTTCCCTTTTTGGCAAATCTTTTGCCTGTAATAAACTTCCTAATTGTGCACTCCCATGACTCTCTATGTGCTGGTTCCTATTAGTTCCTTCATTCCTTTTCACTGTGGTGTCTGTCACCTCTTCTCTGTCAACCGTCTAGATACAGATAGATAGTCTTTACCAGTGGTTGTAGTTTATAGCATGGCACGATTGCTGCAATAATCTGCTTGCAGCTGTTATTGAGGGTTAGTAGCAGAGAGATGACTTCATCAGTATGTTTGTGTATGGCTTTTTAGAAACAAGCATTTGTCAGACATTACAGCTTTTCTACCTGGTACCTGCTTTATTATTGTCTTTGTCAGGGGAGGCGGGAGAAATGGTGACAGATCTGTGACAGGGTGAAGAGACTGTTCAGGCTGTTGGCCAAGGTGATAAAAGGAGAGGGGGAGGACAGAAGCAAGCCGTAAGGTGACAGCTAAGTCTTAGCATATGAATACAAGGTAAGGTAACCAACCCTGTAGTAATAGAGCACCTCTGAGTTTCAATAACTAGAAAATCACCTGAAAAAAAATCAGTAAGGCAAATTATGTGTTTACCATGAAAACTGATGTCTATTAAAGATACCATGATAACGAATTCACTTAGTTATCAGTAGTGTTTCCTTATTCAAAGGTTGTTTTCCTTATTTGTGTGTTATATCCGAAGAACAATAAAGTGTTGCTTGTGCTTGAAGTGCCCTTCACTACTCTCTTGACTTGCGCCTATTTTCCTTTAAAGATCATGTTAAACATCTGTTGTGAAACTTTTTCTGCATGCTGTGTCTCACCTCCTATCCCTGTTTAGTGCTGAGTTTTTCTGTGCTTCTAGAGCATCCTGTACACTTCTCTCTGCAGCAGTTAGCTGTGTCATTAGAGTAGTTTTGTCCTCTTTCCTAGGCTATTGGCTCCTCAAGGACAGGGACTGTCCTATTTTCATCTACTGCCTAGCTCATAATTAGTACTTAAATGTTAGTTAAGTAAGTAAACCATGAAAATATCAGTGTACTCTATAGAGCTTGAAATCTCAATGCAGTCACGCTTTAGACAGGAACATTAGAATTTGTAAGTTTTTGTTTTCAAAATTGTTAAACAAAGGGTGGTATATGTTTTTCCCCCTAAAATTTGGCTTTAAATGACTTTCTTTTAGGAAGTTATATTTTTCAGGTAATATTGATCATGTAATTTTTAGTTGTGAAACTAAACAAAATTCGTTTGTGAACTAAAACCAGTTTTAGTCCTGTTTTAGCTGAGCATTGTCC
Source organism: Homo sapiens (assembly GCF_000001405.40). Classification (NCBI taxonomy): domain Eukaryota; kingdom Metazoa; phylum Chordata; class Mammalia; order Primates; family Hominidae; genus Homo; species Homo sapiens. The sequence goes on along the minus strand of NC_000010.11, from coordinate 31,870,618 downwards.
CATTGACAAATTTTTGCTTTTTGTACTCTGTTAACTGGCCCAATGTTATAATTTATATAACTACACAATTTATTATTATATAAAAATTATGGCTGGGTCCGGTGGCTCAGCCTGGAATCCCAGCACTTTGGGAGGCTGAGGCGGGTGGATCATCTGAGGTTGGGAGCTCGAGACCAGCCTGGCCAACATGGAGAAACCCAGTCTCTACTAAAAATACAAAATTAGCTGGGTGGGGTGGCGCATGCCTGTAATCCCAGCTACTCAGGAGGCTGAGGCAGGAGAATTTGCTTGAACGCAGGAGGCGGAGGTTGCAGTGAGCTGAGATGGCACCATTGCACTCCAGCCTGGGCAATGAGAGCGAGATTCCATCTCAAAAAAAAAAAAAAAAGACAGAAATTATGGTAAAGGAGACTTTGTTTAAGCAGCTAAATTACAAAAATACATAAATGTCTTTTTCTGTATATGATTTAAAATAGGATTTAAAAAAATAAGTTCAGCTTTAGAGCCTGATACTGTCAGGCTACCAAACATTTGTGGTAAATGTTTTTTTCCATAAGTCTAAATCAAAGGTATGATTATAGGCTGTAGGGATTTATACTATTCAGCAATATAAATATAATTCTGTACTTTTAGTAAGGTAGATACCCAGGTATTAATACTAAGTAGCATGTGCTGATTAAGAAGCAAGAGGTGTAGCTCCTTAGTATGGATTCTGCCATTCTCAGAAGTTTATTATAGAAGCAATTCTGAACTAATGTCAAAAGTAAAAAGAGGACAAATCTCAGTATTTTTTGGTATTAAAAAAAGTAACGATGCAGAAGGAATCTAAGTTTAAAGTTACCTTCTTATATATATGGTTCCCCAATTTTTCTTTTCAGTGGATAATGGGAGGATTATTTTAGTCTATCTATAGATAAAGTAGAACAGGCCAAGTCTTTTTTAAATATGAAATTAGGTCATGTGCAGAGGTACTGGTCCCAATTCAATTGTTAATTAATGACAGATATAACCCATAAAATTAACTTTGTTTTTTTTAGGGGGGAGGGGGTGGTGTTTTGTTGTTTGTTTGTTTGTTTGTTTTTGAGACAGAGTCTCGCTCTGTTACCCAGGCTGGAGTGCAGTGGTGTAGTCTTGGCTCACTGCAACCTCCACCTCCCAGGTTCACGCAATTCTCCTGCCTCAGCCTCCCAAGTAACTGGGATTACAGGCGCCCACCACCACACCTGGCTAATATTTGCATTTTTAGTGGAGACAGGGTTTCAGCATGTTGGCCAGGCTACTCTTGAATTTCTGACCTCAGGTGATCCTCCTGCTTCAGCTTCCTGAAGTGTTGGCATTACAGGCATGAGCCACGGTGCCTGGCCTGTTTTATTTTTTTTAAAGTATGAAAATTCCATTTGTTTTTGTTGGTGACAATTCATGAACAAGGTTCTTATAAATGTTAGAAAGCTGATTTTTATTTGACTCATATATTGGAAGTACTTATATCTTACTGCTTATTCATTTTAACTCTGATTTATCTGCAGAGTAACAGCAAATGGTGGTATGGACTTAAGAATTGTCTTTCAGTATTTATGTTTTTGTAATACAAATGTATTGGGCTGAAGAGGCTAGTTTGCCCTAAGCGCACTCAGGTACACTGACTTTTGAATAATAATGAACATAAATATCACATAGAGTACTTAAAAATATGTATTTATTGAGACAGGGTCTTACTCTGAAACCCAGGCTAGAGTGCAGTGGCTCACTGCAGCCTTGACCTCCTGGGCTCAAGTCATCCTCTCACCTCAGCCTTCCAAGTAGCAGGGACCACAGGCATGTGCCACCCTGCCTGGCTAATTATTTTTTATAGAGACAGGGTCTCGGTGTTGCCCAGGCTGGTCTTGAACTACTGGGCTCAAGTGATCTTCCCGCCTCAACCTCCCAAGGTGCTGGGATTAGAGGTGTAAGTCACCACACCTGGCCCTAAAATATAAATTCTTGACTAACCCCCAGCCACTATCACCACTTGCCACCCCCAGTAACTCTGGAATGTGGCCCAAGAATTTTAATAAGCAACCTCAGATGATTCTGATGACCCATTGACTTCCTGTGAAAAAACACTAGTTTCTATAGGGTCAATACTATTGTCACTTTTGTAAGTCTGGTGGACTAGACAAGGGCCTATCCTGCCCCACATCCTTGTCCCCTCAAACTCTAAAGGTGATCATTCTCATTATAATAAAATTGGGAAATCACATAGAAAAAAACATATATAATACTAATATCCAGAGAAAACTGATAATGTTTTAGTTTTTCTTTATGCTTTAAAATTTAATTGGAATTTCATTGTATTGTTTTATTTTCTGCTTTTCTTAGTTGCCCTTATACTTTTTTTTTTCCTGGACCTGCTGATGGCAGATCATGCAGATTTTTTTTTTTTAGATGGAGTCTTGCTCTGTCACCCAGGCTGGAGTGCACTGGCGCCATCTTGGCTTATTGCATCCTCCGCCCCCAGGGTTCAAGTGATTCTCCTGTCTCAGCCTCCCAAGTAGCTGGGATTACGTGTGCACCACCACGCCCAGCTAATTTTTGTATTTTTAGTAGAGATGGGGTTTCGCCATGTTGGCCAGGCTGGTCTTGAACTCCTGACCTCAGATGATCTGCCCTCGGCCTCCTACTAAAGTGCTGGGATTACAGGTGTAAGCCACTGTGCCTGGCCAGATTTTTTTTTTTTTAAATCAGAAATCATTCATAGCATTTTCACTGCTAGTATTAGTATTGCCTCATCTGTTGAGTCATGATTTGCTTAACCATTTTTCTGTTGTTAAATGTTTAGGTTGTTTCTGATTTATTTCTTATAAATAACACTGGAATGAACATCTTTGTTAGGGATTTTTGTGTCTTTAGGAATTTTCTTCCGTTTGTTCAAGGGTCTAAAAATATTTTTTTAAAACTCTTGAAACATACTGCCAAACTTTTCCAAAAAGGTTCTGCTGATTAAAGTTACCAGCAGTAAACTAGAGTTGTTACATCCCACCTTCACCAGCATTGAGTGTATTTGTTAAAAAAACATATTTTTGGTTCGCTAGAAAAGACAGTGCATTATTACTTAACCATCCCTTGTTGTAATTAAATATATATTTTGTGCATATGTAAAAATTAGTTTGGTATTTTATGCTAAGTATTTTTTATGCCAAGAACCTATATTTTCAAGCTTGAGGAAAATTGTTGGTAATCAATCAGTGTTAATTCCCTTGAATTTTTCAGTGGTTTAGGCAATAATAAACATGTGCACTTTCTTTTTGCCAGAGATCAGAGTATTTCACAAATACGGAGTCCTCGTCTATTCTTTTCTCATACACTTTGAAAATTGAGGATTTAAGCTGATTTTAAGTATGGAACTAATTCATTAAGAAAACAAGGTTCTTCAGGAGGTGGAGGCTGCAGTGAGCTGAAATCACACCATTGCACTCCAACCTGGGTGACAGGGCAAGACTCCGTCTCAAAAAAAAAAAAAACAAAAAAAAGAAAACAAGGTTCTTATTTCTACTAGAAACTAACTTTTTACCTTTCATTGTCAATAAACCTAATTATCTGTGCTTCTACTTAGAATTACTGTTAAGTCTCTAGATTTCAAACATAATTCCACCTGTTTCTTGGTTTATCGGTTTTGAAGAATGCCATCCAACTTTAGATTCCCTGATTTTTAAAAATTAGGGACTGGGCACGGTGGCTCACGCCTGTTAATCCCAGCATTTTGGGAGGCCGAGGCGGGTGGATCACCTGAGGTCAGGAGTTTGAGACCAGCCTGACCCAACATGGAGAAATCCTGTCTCTACTAAAAAAATATAAAATTAGCCGGGCATGGTGGCTCACGCCTATAATCCCAGCTACTCAGGAGGCTGAGGCAGGAGAATCGCTTGAAACAGGGAGGCAGAGGTTGTGGTGATCCGAGATTGTGCCATTACACTCCAGCCTGGGCAACAAGAGCGAAACTCTTGAGACCAAAAAAAAAAGGGAGCATTTCCTTCAACTTTTTCTCTTCTCATTGTATGGTGTTTATAATTATTTCCATTTCTTGTATTATTCCCAGTGTTTGTCCTGTTCACTCACCGAGATTGCTAGACTCTGGATTTCCCCTTGCTGGGCTGATTCCTGCAAACCACTTCCGGCACAAAGCTTGGGAGTGGTAGGATTCACCTTGTTTGTTTCTCTCAAAGATTACAGTCTGCAGCTGATTGTTGTACAATGCCTCACAATACTTGTTTTCTGTATTTTACTCGCTTTTCTAGTTTATGGCAGGAAAGTAGTTTCAGATCCTCATGGCTGGTAGCTGAAGTCTTTAAAAACTTCTTAATTGCTGAATTGAGTGATTCTTTCAGAGTCCCTGTATTGAAGTCTTTGAATTTGATACTGTCTAGTTTCCCTTCTTTTGAAATTTTCCTTCTTGACTTTCAAATGCTATTCTTTCCTGGTAGACCTTCTACTTCTAACTTTCCTTTCTGCCTCCATCACTTAGTCTGGTTCTTTAGTTATGTTAATTGCAATAATAATTATTATGCTAACAATAGAAATCACTATGCAAGATCATATGCTGACTTTAAACTTATGTTCTCATTTTAATTCATAAAGCAACAGCTTAGTATTTTCCAGGGTTCTCATTTCATCTTGCACTTACTCTGTATGCTTTCATATGTTATTGACCCCACGTGTATATTAATGACTTCTATATTTTTAGCCCTGATTTTTTTTTTTTTTTGAGACGGAGTCTTGCTCAGTCGCCCAGGCTGGAGTGCAGCGTCGCGGTCTTGGCTCACTGCAAGCTCTGCCTCCTGGGTTCACGCCATTCTCCTGCCTCAGCCTCCCGAGTAGCTGGGACTACAGGCGCCCGCCACCACGCCGGGCTAATTTTTTTTTGTATTTTTAGTAGAGATGGGGTTTCGGCATGTTAGCCAGGATGATCTCGATTTCCTGACCTCGTGATCCACCGGCTTCAGCCTCCCAAAGTGCTGGGATTACAGGCGTGAGTCGCCGCGCCTGGCCAGCCCTGATTTTTGTAAATTGGGAACTGAGTTCCCAATTTATATAACCAACAATCTATTACCATTTCCACTTGGGTTTTGAAAAGACTTATCAACCTAATGCAATCTAAATGTAACTCCTGTTTGCCCTTCTCTTTCCATTCTTTTCTTCATCTTGACATTAACTGTAGTAAAACTACACACACGGTAAAACAAACTGTACTTCACATAAGCAAACATACAACCTGTATGTTAATTTAACCTTCTGATTGTTTCTTGAATCTGTCCCTGCTTCTGCATTCCTACTGTCTTGTCCTATTGCAGCTCTCTTCATCTTCTGTCTGTACTACTGTACCAACCTCCTAGTTGCGTCTCTCTAAAATCTGTAATATTTTAAAAATTTAAATCAGAATGCACTTCCTGGCTTAATCTTCAGTAGTTTCCTAAATGCTTCTGGATGTTTGCTTTGCAACATGACCTTCAAACTCTCTGTGCTGTTACTTGCTTTTCCTTAGGCCTTTCACTTGCTGCTCCTTTTACATACTCAGTATGTCAGCATCATTCCCTGAAAGTACCATGCTGTTTTTCCTAGCTTTTGTTCTTCCTCCCTGCTGTTTCCCCAACTTTTACCGGGCTAACTCCTGTTTATTTATTTCTAAGGCTTAGTCACTTGTTTCCGGGTCTCTTCCTTTTTGCTCCCACAGTGTCCCATGTGTAGCTCTAGCATTGTGTCTATTATTATCATGTTTCACTTTCCTTTACCATGTTACGAGGTTCTGGAAGGCAAGGAGATTTTAAATTCATAATTTGTAGCCTAATCACCTAGCTTGAGTACATGATGCTCAATTCATTTGTCAATAGTTTCTATCTTAAAAAGGGACACAACTGTCCATCATTTTTTCAAAACTAGAAGCGTGGATGTTTTCTTAGTTTCCTCTCTTTATCACATCTAACTGGTTCCAAATCCCTAATTTTCCTTTTTTGGAGGAGATACATGTTTGCATACTTTTGTTCGTGTTTGTCATTAGTTTGTTTATTCATTCAACAAATTACATTAAGTGCTCCTGTGTACTGGGCAGTGTACTGAATATTGTATGCCAAATATTGCATTGTATTTATGGAATCTATAGGTTAATTTTTGGAGAATTAGCATGTTTATGAAGTTGGTTTTATTTTCCATTTAGGAACAAGGGTTTATCTATTGAAGTTTAATTTTAGGTACCTGAGGAAGGTTTTACAAATATTCTTACTTGATTTTATACATTTCTTTTAAGGCTTATTTGTGTTAGTTTTTTTCCTATTATGAATGAGATTTTTTGGTTGTTATATTTTCTAATTTGTCATTGCTTATGTATGGGAAACTGACTAGATAATCAAAAATCTGGCCAATTCATGAAACTCTTTTAGTAGTTTTTGTGGATTTGGGTTTTTAACTGTTGGTTATTTCAATGACAAATGACAGTTTCTTTTTTCTTTTACGTATTTTATGAGTTTAATTCATTTTTTGTATCTTAGCACAAATCCAGTACAGTGTTGAGTAGAGCAATTATACTTGGCAGTTAGTTATAAGTGAGATATGTTTACAGTGTTCTTCTATTTAATTCTTCCCTGCTCTTGTTTCAAAATTATGTTAACCTTATAGACCATAATATACTTCAATTTTAATCTTGACTTTAATGGAAGAACTTATCTGTCTTGTTGATTGTGATGTTTAAATACTAATAATTTTTAAAAGTCAAATTAAGGAAGTGTCACCTGTTCCTATCTTGCTAAGAGTTATATCCTGAATCTGTGTTGAATTTTATCAAATGCTTTCTTGGTGTCTGTAGAGATGATCGTGTTTATCTATGAATCTAAAGAATTACAATATGAGATTTCCTAAAGACAGACTTTCTTAATATCTGTGCTTGTTTCATTTAATGTAGTGCTAGATTTCTAATGTTTTATTTAGGATATTTTCTTCCATATTTATAAGTGAGATATGTTACAGTGTTCTTTTATTTAATTCTTCTCTGCTCTTGTTTCAGAATTATGCTAGCCTTATAGATTGTGCTGAAGGCCACTTCAGGTTTTTCTAGCTGGAAAAACTTTAAAAATTTAAACTGTTTAAACAACAGGAATTGTTTCTTGAAGATTTAGTAGAGTTTGTTCATAAACATCATTTAGAAAATGGCTGTTTCTTAGCATCTTTATTTCCCCAAGTTCTAGTCAAATATCAGGAGCAAAGTAAGAACTTCTTTAATATTGGTTGAATAAATATTCTCTAGATATTCTAGGTTCTGAGACATGATTTGCCATATAGAATTTTTATATTAACAGAATTTATTTTCATCAGAGAAAACACATTCACTAGGATATGGAATTAATCTGAAGGAGAAATGATATCTGTCTCCATGGATAGATTTTCTTCATAGAAAGATGTTGTTTAGTGATAAATTTGAAGCTAACGTTTTAAGGAAAATAGTCGAATTTGCATCATTGAATATAGTACATGTATAACTACCATGTGTAAGAAGACCAACAGTGACCATTTCACAAACATGTATTTGTGTTTGGGTTATTTTTACTGTTTTCACAGAGCTTATTCTGTGATTTAAACTCACAAACATTATAGACAAATATTTTTAGAAGTTAAAGCACTTTAATTTCAATAAAACTGATTCAGTGTTTCCATTCAGTATTCTTTTCAAATTCAGTATTTTAAAGCATTCATGAAACTCTAGTTACATTTCAGAAGTAATTGAACATCTGAATATAATTCTAGGATTTATAGGGAAAAGCAGTGGTTCCTCAACTAGGGCCAGTTTTGCCCCCAAGGGACATTCATCAGTGTCTGGAGGCTTTTCAGTTGTCACGTCGGAGGCGTGTGTGTGTGTGTGTGTGTGTGTGTGTGTGTGTGTGTGTGTGTGTCTGTGTGTGCATGCGCCACTGTCATCTGGTGGTTAGAGGTCAGGGAAGCTGATAAACATCCCACAGTGCAGAGGATAGCCCTTACAACAAATAACTTTGTGTCTCAAAATGTCAGTGGTGCTAGGGTTAAGAAATCTTGCTGTAAAAGGAAAATATATACAGAAATACAAATACATAACATAAGCAGGTGTTCTCAGACGTGTGTTTTTTTTCTTCAGCAACTGAAGTTCTGTGTAACCTAATACAATTTACAGTGCCCTTATACAAAGGGTATGAAGTAGCTTGCTCTTGACTGACATCTAGTGAGATATTTAAAAATAAAAAATAAAGCTGTAGCTAAACATTAAACATGTAAATCAGAGTTACTACTAATTCTTACTTTTCTACTGTTAGGAAATTCACAAATAAGGAAGCTAGGAAGAGATTAAATGATTTGTTTATAGCCTCTGAGAAATTATACCTGAGAAGGAATAGAATGTAGTAAATTCTTAGCTTAAGTATTATTCCTCTTTTATGTTTCACTTATGTTCCTGATTTAATGTTAGAGCTTAGAATATGAAATCTTTCTTTTGATAATTTTCATAATAAAAGCTGTGCTACTCATATGTAAAACTTTTTATATTTTAAAGTATTGCCTAAAATCATAGAATTTGAGAGCCAAAAAAGACCTTGGTGGTTTAGTCCAATTCCCTCATTTCTTGAGATAAAAAATTTCACTTTCAAAGAAGTAAAGTGATGTTACCCAATATCATACAACTTGTTAGTGCCAGATCTTGAATTAGAACCCACAGCTCTTGGCTGTCCATCACACTGTTTCAGGTAAAGGAAAGTATTATGCATACTTTGGATTTGGTTTGAAGCTTTTATTTATTTTTCAATGAAACTATGAATATTAAAACTGTTAAATTATTATTTCCTCAGAATATATTCACCTGTATATATGTTTTAAAATGAGTTAGTATTGTTTATAAATCTCCTGTTTCATTTAATTTTGACTTAAATGTTATACCAGTTTAAACATGAAATTTAAAAATGTTTATTTCACAGGCAACCACACCTCCAAATCAAGGAAGGCCAGATTCTCCTGTCTATGCTAACCTTCAAGAACTGAAAATATCCCAGTCTGCTCTTCCCCCACTTCCTGGGAGCCCGGCAATTCAGATTAATGGAGAATGGGAAACTCATAAAGACAGCTCAGGGCGTTGCTATTACTATAACAGAGGGACACAGGAAAGAACTTGGAAACCTCCTCGTTGGACTCGGGATGCAAGCATCAGCAAAGGAGATTTCCAAAATCCAGGGGATCAAGAGGTATGAGTAATTAAGGAATCAACTGCAAGTTACCAGATTTTCTCTTTTCATTATTCAGAAACCAAAGAAGTAAATAGTTTTGTTTCTTACTGTCAGCATGTTAAAACACGTGATCTCTAAGATCATTAAAAATTCTTTCCAAGCTTTACTAAAATATTAATGCTAGCTACTTCCTAATCTCTGACTAATGGACAGCTGCTAACCTGTGTGCGTACTAGTTCCAGAACTGGGTTTAAGTTGTCTAGTGCCAGTGCACCCCCTTATGTCTTAGAACATACTATTTCAGTTGTTACTGCACAAGCCGATGATATTTTAAGTTAAATTTAATTCAGTTTTTTAAGAGATGGAGTCTAGCTCTGTTGCCCAGGCTGGAGAGCCCTGGTGCAATGATATCTCACTGTAGCCTCAAACTCTTGGGCTTAAGCGATCCTCCCACCTTAGCCTCACTAGTAGCTGGGACTACAGGCACATGTCACTGGCTGATTTTTAAAAATTTTATTTGTAGAGATGGGGTCTTGCCGCCTGACTTCAAGCAGTCCCCCTGTCTCAGCCTCCCAAAGTGCTAGGATTACAGGCGTGAGCTACTGCACCTGGCTGTCCAGTGACATTTTTTAGAAAAAAATAGAAATGTGATGTGACCCAGCAAAATAAATAGAAATAATATATTTCTCTATTGGCTTAGTATGGCTACCAGACTACTTCCCATTTTTTCTCTTTGTCAGTCAGCGGTACAAGACCATTGTTTTATTTATATATGAGGGAAATAATTATAATTCCTTTGCTACAATTGAATCATTCTGTTAAGTCTAACAATTCACTTTAAAATCATTATTTTCTCTAACAAGTGTCTGTACTCTTTTTCTCCTTCTGGTTTCACCTTCCTCCATACCTCTTGCAGGATGGTGCAGTAAATTGGCCAGCTGTGTTTTAGAAACACTTATCTCAGTAGTCTGGCAAGAGGCCTTGGGATTATTTAAACGTACAGGAGTAACTTGGTAGGATTGGTAGAATAGAGTGAAATCCTGCCATTTGGTAGGTTGGAGTCCCTCCACCTGCATAGGACATCCGGCTGTTATAGAAAGCAGCTAGCTCGTACAAATAAAAGCAAACTTCAGGTAGATAGGATCTAGAAAAATCAGGGAACACATCTTGTATTTAGCAGACTCCCAAAAGCTTTTTGTAGTTAATAACTCCCTTCTTGTCCCATTTTTCAGTTGGTTTATTTATAGCTTTAGTTTGGTAATAATTTGTGTTTTTAGTGTTCAAGTGAGAGCAAAAATAGAAAAATTGTTCATGTTTAACTATAACAAGAAAGGAAAATTTGGCTGGACGCAGTGGCTCATGCCTGTAATTCTAGCACTTTGGGAGGCAGATCACTTGAGGTCAGGAGTTCGAAACCAGCCTGGACAACATGGTGAAACCCTGTCTCTAAATTAGCCGGGCGTGGTGGCGGGCACCTGTAATCCCAGCTACTTGGAAGGCAGAGGCAGGAGAATCGCTTGAACCCGGGAGGTGGAGACTGCAGTGAGCCGAGATTGCACCACTGCACTCCAGTCTGGGCAACAGAGTGAGACTCTATCTCAAAAAAAAAAAAAGGAAAATTTTATTTGAATTGTACATTAGAAAGATTTGAAAATAAGCTATCCAGTGTATCAATAATAAAGTAAAATTTAACAATTTTAGAGAATTAGGAAAAAGACTAAATTATAGACTAAAAGAATTTGAAGTATACATAGGAACTTTTAACATGTTTCTTAGCTATTTTAGTAAATAGATGGGAGTGACTATGTATACAGGGTCTCAATTACTGGTCTCTATACAAATTATATGAAGATTAATATTTCCAAAGTGGCTGGAGCACATCTTCCAGCGACTTCTTGAGAAAAGTTGTGTATGGGAGGTAAAATGGAAACTATGTGTGTATGAAAATATCTGTCTTCTCCTCTCATATTTAATTGATAGTATTCCTGGGTATAGAATTCTAGGATGGAAATTATTTTCTCTCACAATTGTGAGGCATTTTGAACTTTAATGGATATCTGGGTCAGCCCCTCTTTGGGGAATCCCCAGTGTTAGACCCATTAGGTCTTTCCTTTTGGACTAATTAGAATGTCCACAGATGTCTTTAGGTCTCTTGCCTATACACGGTAAGGGCTGTCTGTGTCTTGGTGTTGGCATTCATTTTGCATGTGGTCCCTCAGTCTCCCTTCTTTCTCTTGGTACCCATGTTCCTATTGTGTCTATTGTCCCCCAACTCAGAATCTTAGTATTTTTCCCTTCTCAGAGGGAATAACTCTCCATATGTCTGCTGGGGTAGGGATGGGCTGCACACCTAGCAGCCAGGTATGTAGAAGGAGATTCTGGCATTTTTAATCCTTATTTTAGTACCACTGCTTTCACTCCCCAGTTTCACAGATACCTGATACCGTCAGTTGCTGAGCCAGTTGCAGATTCTGTTCCGTAAGCTTGTCGGGTTTATTTTCCCCTACTCTCCTTTGTCTGCACCATACTGGTTTAGATTCTACTTTCTTCCGTGTAGGTAATTCAGGTTTTTTGTTCATCTGCTTGACTGTTGTCCTCCCTGTTGTTGTGGGTTTACATCATTTTAAGCACATTTCGCTGTTGTGATTTTAGTGGGGTTTGAGAGGGAGCAACTGTTGGCTCTTCTGTCTTAACACAGAAGCTTATTATTTTAGTGGTTACCCTAGAACAATCATTCGTAGTAGGGCTGATTTCGCCTTTCAGGGACATTTGGTAAAGTCCGAAGACTTGTTTTGGTTGTCACAATGGGAGACGTGCTACTGATCTCTAGTGGGTAGAGGCCAGAGATGCCGCCGAGACAGGATCTTGTTATGTTGCCCAGGATAGACTCAACGCTCAAACTCCTGGGCTCAAGCAGCCCTTTTGCCTCAACTTCCCCAGTAGCTGGGACTACAAGTATGGGCCACCATGCCCAGCTTTAGCATGCGTAGTTAGTCTATGCATAGTGTAAAGTTAATCACTGTCTTCTTGTTCCTTGAAGCCATATAGGATCTATGTGTGCTGTTGTGCTGCTGCTGTCATATGTTGTATTTCAATTTTTAGCCCCTTTGTTGTTGTTGTACATGACTCTTAAAATTAATCCTGATTTTTACCACCTTCTTTTCTCACATTTTCTTCTTCTGTCATAAATATGAGCCTTTTTTGGCAGGAGACAGGGTTTTGCTCTGTTGCCCAGGCTGGGGTACAGTGTTGTGGTCATAGCTCTCACTGCAGTCTCAAACTCCTGCACTCAGCCATCCTCCTGCTTCAGACTCCCAGGTAGCTGGGACTACAAGCATGAACTACCATGCCTGGCTAATTTTTTAATTTTTTGTAGCTATGGGGTATCACTGTGTAGACCAGGCTGGTCTTGAACTCCTGGGCTCAAATGATCCTCCCACCTTGGCCTCCTGAAGTGCTGGGATTACAGGCATGAGCCACTGTGCCCAGCCATAAGTACATGCTTTTAAATTCCTTCATGAGGATCTGTTAATAATAGAATCTTAGTTTTTGTCTGAAAATTTATTTTACTTTTACTTTTGAAGAACATGGGTATATAGTTCTAAGCTGACTGTTTACTTATTTGTTTTTCCTTTGTTCATTGAAGATTTTATTCTCATATTTTCCGGCTTCCATTGTTGATGCTGAAAATTCAGATGTCAATCTGATTGTCTTTTCTTTAAGTGTAGTTTGTCTCTTTTTGTTGGCAGCTTTAAAGATCATGTGTCTATATTTTTACTGTGATGTAGCTGGGTAAAGGTTTTTTATTTTCTGCGAGGGCTTTGTTGAGATTTCCGAATTTGAGGAGTCCTGTCTTTGATCAATTCTGGAAAATTCTTAGCTGTATCTGAATATAGGCTCGCCCCCATATTCTCTTTCTTCTTATTCTAGAACCTTGATTAGATGAATGTTTAACCTCACGCTGTTCATCCATGTCTCTCTGTGCCTCATTTTCAGTATTTCAAGATCCAGCTTCTATTTGGTATTTTTCCCTTTGTCTATGCCTTCATTTGATGTTAAGTCAATCCTTGAATTGTAAAAAAGTATTTTTTTTTATTTGTTTAGGGGAGTTTCCCGATATCACTACTTTGAAAAGTTTTAAACCTTCAAAAATTTAAAAGAACAGTAAAGTGAACATTATATGCCATGTATCATTCATCTAGATTTACCAATGGTTAAAATTTTGCCACGTTTGCTTTATTTCTTTCTCTCCCTTCACCTGCCCAAACACATACACACGTGTGCGTATGAATGATTTGAATCAGATAATATTTTGAATGATTTGAATCAGATGAATGATTTGAATCAGATAATGCTTTATTCCCTAAGTATAAGGACATGTTCCAGCAAAACCACAATACATTTATCATACCCAAGACATATAATATTAGTATGTTATTTCATACATGGCTAATATTCATTGTTTCTCAGTTGTCAAGTAATATTCTTTATAGTTTTTTTTCCTGCAGTGAAGGATCCAGTGAAGACTATATGTTGCATTTATTTGTTGTATCTCTAGTGTTGTTTTCTATTTTTTGTTAGTTTCTATGTATAAAGTTTTAGAGAGTCTGATTATACTGTTTTTCTGCTGACTCTTACTCAGGGTGTTTTGAGAGTGTATCTGTTTTAATGTGAGGTTATAGTTCTTGGAAATTCATAAATAGGAAGTCTTTACTGCTGGGGTTGAAGGTGGGTTCCTTCAGAGGTGAGTCTCTTCTGACGGATGCCTAGAGAAACTATGAATATTTAAAAGTACATCTTTAGCTTTAGTTTTTACAAGCCACCCAGGTAGTATTAATAGTAATTTGGATTTCATGAAGACTCTTGTGGCTAGAAAGTCCCCTTATTTTCCCCAATTATTGGGGTAAATTTCTATGATGTTCCTAGTGTGGAATAAAGGAGCAAAATTTGTTAATGGTTCACCCATAATTTGTGGGTATAATTCTTTGGCGTTTCCAGCTCTGTATTGTGGGATAGCCTTTTAGACTTCCTGCTTTTGGTAATCCTGAGTTCAGTTCTCTAACACTCCTGCGTGGTCTTGAAAACTAACATTTTAGTTTGGGGTCTGGCAAATGCCTTCAAGAAGAAAGCTGCTCTTTTTTCTTCTGCTTGACTGTCTTGATTCTTGTTTCCACTTAGCTTTTGACCTCTGAGGATTTCTTAATTAACCTTTTGTTCATAGATTATTTTAAAAAAAATTTTATGTAACATTTTCAACTGTTTCTGTTAAGATGATCAATTGGGATACCTACCTGCCATTCTTCTATAAATGGAGCATCTACCATAGCCCCCTCATATTTGTACTAGGATACATTTGCTGCAGAATACATCCCAAAGTTACTGAATTGGTTACACCTTTGAATGGAGTTATTAGGTATAGAATAGTTAACATCTATAGAATGCTTGCCAAAAATAATCTTAACTTTAACTTTTACTTAACTGCCATTAAACAACTATTTTCCAGTGGAAGATATCCAGATCTTAAAGCCTGGTTCTGTAGTATAATATAAAACACATGAAGATATTGGAGGTTACTTTTCATGGTAGAACATCATATTTACTGTGCAAAATTTGGAAAATTATGATGAGAATTTTGTTAGCTAGAAAGTCATATCTTTGAAAAAGTGATTCTGTGATTTTGTTTCTTAAATTAATTTTACTAATTCAGTTGCCCTTTTTCTGTTTCTAAAAGTTTTACTGCACTCTTCTCGTCTATGAGCTTGCATTTTAAGTTGCCTCAATTAAATAAAAATAAACTCCTGATTTTTGAATTAGGCTTTCAATGTTTAAAAAATGTTTCTGTTGTAAAACATATATAATTCACTTTATGCAGTGTTTCTGTAAAGCTATGTTTTTGTGAACATATTAATATTAGGCTCTTAGTGTCTTTAACTACAATCTTGAGAATCTACCTATCTTAGTGTTTCAGACCAAATTATGATGATAGAAAATACAGTCTGAATGAGTAAGTTTTACTTGCCGAAACTATTTTATCTAGAGGTGATAGGAAGGGTCATTTGCACATGAGTGCTAACCTAATAAATGATTTTTAAATGAATGACTTTTAAGTGCAGAAAGCAAATTGCCATTTAGTCATATTATGGTGCCTCTTGTCAGTAGGCATCAAAAGTTTCTAAATTTTCCCAGTCTTCTAATTCGCTTCCCTCATGTGTCTGCAGTTTATCATATCATGTGTACCCGTATTACCTTATTTTCTCCTCCCCCTCCCTTTCCCCTCCCCTTCTCCCCCTCCCTTCCTCTCCCTCCCCTCCCCTCCCCTCCTTTTCGCCCCCTCCTTTCCTCCCCCTTCCCCTTTCCCTCTCCTATCCCCTCCCCCTCCCCTCCTCCTCCCCATCCTCCTCCTGCTCCTCCTCCTCCTCCTCCTCCTTGTTCTTCTTTTGAATAAAAATGGAGATGAGGTCTCACTATGTTGCCCAAGCTGGTTTTGAACTCCTGTACTCAAATGATCCTCTGGCCTTGGCCTCCCAAAGTGCTGGGATTACAGACGTGAGCCACCGTTCCTGGCCCCTATATTATTTTCATACAGAATTTTTTATTTGTCTTTCTGTATTGTGTTTGAATTTGCTCAATGTTATTTTTTCTTGTTTTGAAGTTTAGTTTCCAGTAGTCTTTAACAAGCATTTGACTGAATGAGTTAGGAGAATTTATCAATAAATTATAACACAAATTATAGAAAAATAGTCTGAGATATATTTATTGAGCAGGGTTGTTTGCCTTGCATGTGGCTATATGCTTGTGGTACATGAGAAGGAGCTCAGTCTAATGAAGTTCCCTCGTCTCCTCCCTTGTTTACACACAGATATGTGTACACACACCTATTCCTCTCATTTTTAAACTTGATTTCAGCACGAAAGCAGCACTAAGTAACATTCGAGCTCTCCTTGGTCTGAAAACATTGTTTTCAGTTTTATTGTGGTGAATTTTTCTAGGGCTGCACTAATGTGATAAAATAACCACTATTAATTTTACCTCACCTCTTACAATGTACCATTTAAAGACTTATCAATTTATTTTCAAAATCAAATATTCAGATATATTTAAGATATCTTCATACTTATAGTCAAGTAAAATTTATTTATTAGATTTTCAACCAATTCATATTTATATTCAAAAAAGAAAAATCCTTATGTTTCTGACTATTTGTAGCTTCTTTCATCGGAAGAAAACTACTACAGCACTTCTTACAGCCAGTCAGATAGTCAGTGTGGTTCTCCTCCAAGGGGTTGGTCAGAAGAGTTGGATGAACGTGGGCATACCTTATATACCAGTGACTATACTAATGAAAAGGTACATTCTTTTTTTCTCATCTAGTGTTTTTTGGCAGAATTCTCTCATAAAATAGTTGTGTACTGCAGTTTTAGTATTTAAAAAAGAAAAAACTCATGAAAATATTCTTCATTGTAACTTTATAATCATGCCAATTGACAATACGAAAACTCAGTGTAACTACTGATTGTTTTAAACTGCTAAGGATGATAGTAATTTTTATGCTCTTGTACTCATGGAAGACTTTTTAAGAGTACACCTGTTGAATGTCATTTGTTTAGATTTCTTCAGTAGGCATATTTCTTTATATTTTTCTGAGGGAATAGTTTTTTGGAAATGGTTTTCTCTCTGTGCCATTATCATACATCGCCTCACTGCCTATTCTCCTTTTTCTATTACAATCAAATTTATGTAAAACAAAAACCATCAATCTAGTATTTTATGATTAGTCTGTAATGAATATTGACATTTTATGTGTGTATTGCATCTGGTATCATTTGAGAAAGCAACTGTGGGTTGTACATGTTCAGAGAAGATATGCTTGGGAATAAGTGGGGCTAGGCTTTTATCCCTCTTTCCTGCCTCAATTATTTGACATTAGAACATACGGAAGCAGTTTTTTCATTTATGTCATACTCAAGATCATGTGTTTGTATTAGCAATATGTAGTCTTTTTTCCCCTCATATTCCCTGTGTTTTATTGCATGATGTTCTGTTGTTGCTGTTATTTAAATTTTATTGTGTTTGGCCATAGGAAGTAATTCCTAAAGGTTTGCATGAAATGAGCCTTTAAATAGTTTAGTTGTACATTTAATTGAAAAACATTTCTCTTTTGTCAATTTCTCAAACCTGTTTTGAGAATGTGAGTGTACCTGTGTTCCAGTGCATATGTACATCGTATGTTATATGTTGCTTGTTGTTAAGTGGTGCTTGAGCAGCTAGCCAGACATTGGAGGATAGAGAGAGCAAATAAAGCCATGTTTAATAATGAGTATATTTATTCTTACCAAACTTAAAATGCAAGGCTTTTAGTATAATTAGTTAGAAATTTTTGTTGCCGGCCGGGCGCCGTGGCTGACGCCTATAATCCCAGCACTTTGGGAGGCCGAGGCAGGCGGATCACCGGAGGTCAGGATTTCGATACCAGCCTGACCAACATGGAGAAACCCCATCTCTACTAAAAAAACACAAAATTAGCCAGGCGTGGTGGCACATGCCTGTAATCCCAGCTACTCGGGAGGCTGATGCGGGAGAATTGCTTGAACTGCTTGAACCTGGGAGGTGGAGGTTGTGGTGAGCCGAGATGGTGCCATTGCACTCCAGCCTGGGCTCTCAAAAAAAAAAAAAAAAAAAAAAAGAATTTTTTGTTGCAATGTTCTTGATCAAGTAGAATAAAATTCATAAGAATTAAATCTAGTATCTCTGATAGTAGTAGCTTAAACTCACTTTTATTTAAATTTAATAAAAAACACCTGTTCTGTTTTTATAGTGGCTCAAGCATGTTGATGATCAAGGTAGACAATATTACTACAGTGCAGACGGATCTCGGTCAGAATGGGAATTGCCAAAGGTAATAAACCTTGACACCGAATTTCTATTTAAAAATAGTAGATGAAGTAATATCTGGAGATGGTTTCAGCAGATTTATTTTAAGATCTTTATTCTACTTTTACAAAGTAGAATAATTTTTTCAGAATTCACTGTGAATACTGTGAGTAGTGTAAGTTTTCTAAGATGTACAGGTGTCTTCACTATGTGATACTGATTGTTGCTATTCAGAATATCTTTTGGGTTAACTTGAAATTGGCCTTTCCTTATTCTTGGAAATAAGAATTCTCTTCAATACCAATAATGCCATCTTATATCTAGTTGTGTTGAGTATATTGATTTTTCTACATAAAGTTGGTCTTATATTTAATCATTTTTTGAGAGAAAGAAAAGTAACTCAGTATTCAAGTTTATCCTCTTATGTAAATGGTGTGTATGATTGAGCCATTCATTGACTGAGATATAGGCAACATGTGATAAGATGTCCTAGGATTTAGCTGGACGTCTCATTTCCAGACAAGTGTACCAGGGCTGAGTTTATCTAAGGTGGTAGGTTTCAAAGTGGCCATATGCATATCACTATTGGTGCTTGAGATAATTTTAAGTGATATATGAGCAAACATTTGAATTTTAATTGGTGCATTATTTTAATGTTCTAGAAAATAGCCGTAATTAGTGGACAAATATGTGGTGTCAGTTGTTACATATACTTTAGTTTTTAAAATTTGTCTTTTCCCCAAAGTAAGTCAATTTAAAGAAGAATATTAATAGTATAAATGAAACATGGATATAGAAAAAATGACTAGATGTTACTACATTGACTACAAGTTCGGAAACGCTAATCTAGTAAACTAATGTTAATAGTGCTTTCTTCTTTATGTGAATGCTATCTGGCCTTTCATTATTTTATGAAATTCTAAGGCTTGATATGGGTAGGATGAAAATGAAATACATATCCTGTAATTGATTTTTAAGAATACCTTTGTGAGTCTGAGTTGACCAAGTAGCAGAAGAGAGCTCCACTGTAACTGACAGCTTTTACAGTTTTGTAATCTCATGGAACAATGTGTAGGTGGCCATAATGGAAAAGTTCATGGGTGTGGGGGATGAGGAGATAGATAAAGGAAATACTGGTACCTTTGATTAATTTGTTGATGAAGCATAGCCTCAGAATTTTCTTGTAGTTTAAAAAACTTGTCACATCTTCAGATAAGCATTTTTTGATCCTTTATCTCACATTTTACGTAGGTTCTTACTTTCTGTTTGCTCAGCTCAACAGGAAAAACTATTCCATATTTTAAACCACTTTATTGTTTAAATTAATTACGGAGTCATATTAAAATTTACATTTATACAATAGGATTGTTTTTTAAAATACTGTTTTCAGCTTAACATATTAGTATTAGTGAAGATAATTTTTATATTTTAATTATAAGAGCTCCCGTATAAAAAGTTAAGAAGATACTACTATTATCACATTGTGTTTTTACTTCATCAATCATAAAATACCGTGAATGAAAAAGATCCAAATAAAAAGTCTATTGAAAAGTGCCACAAATCACATATTTCAGGGTTGAATGTTTTATCTCATTACTCTTTAAAATTATGAAACACAATTCAATAAAACATTTGTGGATATTTTTCATTTTCATTATTATTAATTTATACTTTTAGAATGTGATTCTGAAGATAAAACCTTATTTATCCTTGAAACTTTGAAGTTGTGCCAAGCACTCAGAACTCTGAAGAACCATAGCTTAGCAGTTGTGATACTCTAGCAAGTTTTTTAAAGTTAAGTTTTATAAAAGTTAAATAACCATTTTATTTTCCAAATATTTCATTGTCTTCCAATAAAACTTATAAGTGGGAAAATGATACCTCAAGCTTAGTACGACTGTTACCAACTTTTAGGGGAAAGGAGATAAACATAATAAGATAAGCAATTTATTTTATTAATGTGCTGTGAAGAAGTAATAGAATACCTCAGATACTGCTCTTCAAAATTGGTACCGTTTATAAAAAAAATTTAGTGATTAATTTAGAAAGAATGATTTTATGGATCATGATGGCCAAAATATGTAATAACTTATATGTTGGGGAAAGAGTATTGTTTTGAGGGATGTAATTACTCAGTATTGAAAACTATGTATAACAGGGATTGGTTCTGTTAGGCTGTTCTAATAAGGGTTATGCTTATAAAATACAAGCTCTGATTTCCACTTGAAGGAACCAGAAGAAAAATCTGCTCAATGTTTAGTTCACTGAAAACGATTTAGGTTATAGAAGACTAATATTTTATTAATACAATAATTAAATAAACATATTAAGTTTTTTGTTCCGCTTGACAGATTTGAATTGTAGCTCTTAACAGTACCTCAAATACCAGTTGAGTTTTTGGAGGAATCATCTGCTGTATCTTTCTTCATAGTGGTTTCTGATTCCCTGGAGTAATGACATCAGTCACAAGGCTGCTTTTGAGTGATTTGTCCCAGGTCAGGGTCCTTTGAAGGGAGAGAGTCCCAGGACGGCCTAATATCAGGAATAATTTGGAGTCTTAACTGGTAGCTAAATACTCCTACTGGGTTTCTTTATAACTCAATTCTATAATTTCCTTGGTCAGAAGAACTATAGGCTGCATTAGGAAACCTATTTACTTTCAGAGATGCCTTTAATGAAAAAAAGAGGAGAGGCAAGAGACTGAATCAAGACCTCAAAGGGTATTTTACAGCAGTGGAAATGGGTACTGATTGTGACCAGCGTTGAATCCTCAGTTTTGTGATACTATTTCATTTTCTGCTGCCATTTGCTGCTTAGCATAAAGTGTCAGAAGGTCTTCACAGTTTAACTCTCAATTAAATTGGATATGGAGAAGAGGTTTGAATTAAATACAGTGGAAATGAGGAAATAAGGAAAAGTGCTGTAGAGTCACTATTTCATGGATTGTTACTGCATGATAAAGACAACTTCAGGTTACATTCTGCACTCTTAAGCAACTTAATACTTACTAGTAAGTCTAAGATAAATCTGTCAAGCTTGTAACCCCCATGCAGATATTAAAATTTAGTTTAATATTTTCTGAACACATCTTTGGTGTTCAGTATTATGTAATATGTTGTGATAAATGCAAATACATAGGACATGGTCTTTACCCTAAAAATTTTTGTTGTAAGTTTGGAAAGAAGAAACATGTTTATATGACAACTGAGTAAAAAAGAATGTATACATAAATACAAACACTCTGGGTTAGGTGTAGGAGAAGGGAACCAGAAAACTATTAGACAGGAAGGAGGATTGAGAGAAAGAAATAAAGGAGAGTAAATGGAGAGAGAGAAAACAAAACATTCCCCACTCAAAATGAAGTCTGCTGTTCAGTATTTCAAATAAAATATGTGAAGAAATCCAATGCTATTATCATAGACATAAGAAGAATCAAAACATGGTATTCACTCCAGATGAAAGTAATGTTCTTTTTTTTTTTTTTAAAGACGAGTCTCGCTCTGTCGCCCAGGCTGGAGTGCAGTGGCGCGATCTCAGCTCACTGCAACCTCTGCCTCCCAGGTTCAAGTGATTCTCCTACGTACCTGGGATTATAGGCGTGCACCAGCACACCTGGCTAATTTTTGTATTTTTAGTAGAGATGGGGTTTCATCATGTTGGTCAGACTAGTCTCGAACTCCTGACCTTGTGATCTGCCCACCTCAGCCTCCCAGAGTGCTGGAATTACAGGCGTGAGCCACCGCGCCTAGCCGAAAGTAATGTTCTTAATAATTTAATAAAGGCTTAAAATTATGCTGTGGATGATCAGAATTAAATGAAGGCTTTCATTTAAAAAGAACAAGAAATTAGGAAAAATAAAAACATACATGAATAGGTAAATATGATGAATAAATTAGAAATCTTCAAGATGAAAAAACATAGTTATTCAAATAAAAAATGCAGTCAGCATAAACTTTAGACAGGGACAGAAAGCTAACAAATATGAAAGCATAGTTAAGAAAAATGGAGGATGAGTTGAAAGTTTTCTATATTCATGTATTAGGAATTCCAAAAGAAGAGAATGGAGGAATGGTGTGGAAACAGTATTTGAAAATATAATTTCTAGGAATTTTCTAAAATTGAAGGAAGACATGAGTCTTTAGAAAATATGCTTTGAATGCTGTCAAGGATAAATAAAAATAAATCAACATGTCAACAAATTTTGCTGGGTCTTCAGAACCCAGGAGACAATCTTAAAAGCCGTCACAGGGGGAAAGGACAGATCACCTACTGCAGTAGATGGCACCACTGGATCCATTCTTACTCTAGTATTAGGTTCTTTGTTGTGTACCTTTGTGGTGGCCTCCCAAATTGTCCTGTCGTTAACTGAGTTCAGCTGTGTGGCTTGCTTTCACTGGGATATGAACAAATATGACACAAGGAGAGTATTGAAATGGGCTTGTAGTCAGGGCTTGCTCTTGCACCTCTGCCATTGCCACGAGAAGAATGTGCCCAGGCTAGCCTCCCAGTCTCAGGAGGGGGATGAGAGACAGACTGGTGCAGATGAGCCCCTCTAGATCAGACAGTTTTTAGCCAACCCAGAAATCTGTGGTAATACATGATCAACATTTTAAGCCAAGTAAAGCACACTGTCTCTGTTTATTATACCTACTCTGTTCCAGGTGAACACCACAAAAGCCTATCCTTCTGCATGATGTGCTGTGCAGAACATGTTATGAAGCCCAGTCAGCCATCCCTAACCAGCACTATTGAAAGAGCACTCTCCCCCTCCCTGCCTGGGCACTATGGAGACTGTGGGGTGGAGCCCTGTTGACTAGACCCACAGTGCATGCAAGGAACCCTGTGATGCATCCTCCCTATGCACTAAATGGACAACAGCAACAAGGCAGCACCCCACCCTATCCCAAGCAGAGTGTGGGAAGAGGATTATGGAGAGGAAGGAACCAGAGAAAGGGATTTCTAAACTGTGTATAAGGTCCTAGACACTACTCCCAGTGGCCTATGCATGAAAACAACCAGAATTAACATAGCAAAATCTTTGAGAACTGAAACATGGTGGGGAGTACTGCCCAGGTTTCAGACTGGCCTCTGGGTAGCACACAAACAGGGCAGATCAGAACAGCAATTAAAAGATTTTTAAAATGAAATTGACATTTGAACTATGGGCCATAAAAGCAGGCTGGGGTTCACAACCTGCTAAAATATGTTTAAATAGAAACCAAAGTCTTATAGTACTCAAAACATCCAAATATGACCTAGAATTACTTGTCATAGCAAGAACCAGGAAAATCTGAACTTGAATGAGAAAAGACAATCAGTAGGTTGGTGACACACCAAGATGACAGGGATGAATGAATTATCTCATAGGATTTTAAGTCAGCTGTCATAAAAGTGCTACAGCAAGCAATTATAAACACACTTGAGATAAGTGAAGAGGTTGGAAGTCTCAGCAAAGAAATAGAAGATATACAGAAAAACCAAAGGGAAATCCTAGAGCCAAAAATCAAGTACTGGATGGCTCAATAATGGAATGGAGGTAAAAGAGAAGAGAATCTATGATCTTGAAGATAGGTTAGTAGAAATTATTTAGTCTGAACAATGGAGAGACAATAGATTTCCAAAAAAAAAAAAAAAAAAAAAAATGAACAGTGCCTCAGAGACCTGTGGGAAAATACGAAAGAGCTAACCTTCCTTTCATTGGAGTTCCAGAAGGAGAAAGGAAAGAGTGTGAGGCAGAAAGATACTTTGAAGAAGTAGTTTGAAAATGCCCCCAATTTGGCAAAAGACAAACCAACAGACTCAAGAAGCTGAATAAACACCAGATAAGGTAAACCCAAAGAAATCCATATCCAGGCTCATTGTATTCAAAATTTCTGAAAACTAAAGACCCTCCCTCCCCCTGATAAAGTCTTGAAAGCCCTTCAGTGAAACAACACTTTACCTTTAGGATAATAATTTGAATGAAGTGAGTGCCTTATCAGAAGCCATGGAAGCCAGAAAGAAGTGGCATAACATTTTTCAAATGCTAGAAGAAAAGAACTGTGAACCCTTCTGCACCCAGCAAAAATATCCTTCAGGAATAAAAGTAATATAAGGACATTTTCAGAATGAAACTAAACTAAGAGATTTATCCCTAGCAGTCTTGCTTTCAAAGAGTTGCTGTAGGAAGTCTTTCAAACAGAAGGGAAGTGATAAGAAAACTTGCAATATCAGGAATGAATAAAGAACAACAGAAAGGGTGAATATCTGAGGAGACTTTTGTCCTGGGTGTTTAAAATTGTCTTTGACATTTGAAACAAAAATTATAACATTCCTGAAGTAGTCCTGATATACAGTAGTGATATTTAAGACAACTGTTTCATAAAGAGTGAGTGAGTAAAGGGATGTAATTTTTGGTAGGGTTTCTATTATTCCACTTGAAGTAGTAAAATGTTGATACTAGTAGACTGATAAATTATGTATATTGTAATCCCTAGAGCAAGCACTAAAAAAGTATAACGAGAGGCTCAAGAAACTGTAGATATATTAAAATATAATAGTAAAAATTGCTCAAGTAGCCCACAGGACGGTAGGAAAGGAGAAACAGACAATTAATGATAAAATGCCAGACTTAAATCCTAACATTATAAATAATCACATTAAATGTAAATGCTCTAAACACACCTGTTAAAAGATTTGCAAAATGGATATTAAATCACTGTGATCCAAGAATATGCTTCTGTAAGGAAATCACTATTCTTTCTTTCTTTATTTTTTTGAGACAGACTATCACTCTGTCGCCCAAGCTGGAGTGCAGTGGTGAAATTTCGGTTCGCTGCAGCTTCCACCTCCCAGATTCAAGCTATTCTTGTGCCTCAGCCTTTTGAGTAGCTAGGCCTATAGCAATGCACCACCAAACCTGGCTAATTTTTGTATTTTTAGTAGAGACAGGCTTTTACCATGTTGGCCAGGCTGGTCTCAAATTCCTGACCTCAGGTGATCCACCCATCTCAGCCTCCCAAAGTGTTGGGATTACAGGCGTGAGCCACCGAGCCCAGATGAAAATCACTTTCTTACAATGACACATTATGCTAAAGTTTATCTATTAAATAATCTGCAGTAAATCTCATACTTCACGGTGAGATTACAGAAGCTTTCCCATTAGAGTTAGGAACTAGACTAGAACATTTCTATCACGCTTCTATTCAACAATTAAGAAAAGGAAAGAAATAATGGAATTAAAAAGGAAGAGATGCAATTGTTTTTTTAAATTATTGTTATTATTAGAAAATCCCAAGAGAACCTATAAACTTAAAACTGATGAGAGTTCAGCAAAGTTGCTGGATATGAAATTAACATGAAACTACCCATTTGTCTAGTAAAAAGTGAGTTTGAAAATGTGATTGCAGTGAAGATACTATTTACATTAGCAGCAGTAGCAACAAGAGTTGTAACTAAGAACATGTTTATTAAAGGTCTGTAAGATTTTAATAAAGAAATTTTCAGAGCAGAATAAAGGAAGACCCAAATAAATAGTGTAGCATACCATCATGATCTTGGATTGGGAGGCTGAATTTTATAACAATGTCCAAATTAATCTACAAGTCCAATGCATTTCCATTTAATATCCCTTCCCTCACTTTTTTGGGGAATGGAACCTAAAATTTATATTTGCAAACAGATATCCATAAAGAGTCAAAATATTCCTGAATAGGGAGTCGTTGGTGGGTAGGGAACAGGAGAGATAGAGTTCCTGCTATGGTAATTAAGTTGGAATAGTAAGGGCACATGTATAAAACTCAGACATGGCATTACAAATCAATGGGGTTAGGGAGACTTTGGCTCTACAAAAAAAAAAAAAAAAAGCCAAGTGTGCTGGCATGTACTTGTAGTCCCAGCTACTCAAATGGCTGGGACAGGAACATCTCTTGAGCCCAGAAGTTCAAGGTTGCAGTGAGCTCTGATCATGCCACTGCGCTCCAGCCTGGGTGACCAGAGAGGGACCCTGTCTCAACAAACAAACAAGCATTGGTTTGTGTCATCTGAGATGCTGCAACAACAACTAAAAAGAAAACAAATCAATGGGGTAAGCATGGACTAAGTAAGAATGTTACTAAGATTATTGGTTTTCACATGATAAAAATGAAAATAAATGTAGATCTTGACCTCACTTCATGCTCAATGATTAATTTCAGTTAGATTAAAGACATAAATATAACAAGTAAAACTTTAAAGACTGTGGAAAGATATATCAAAGAATATCTTTGTCTGCAGAGTAGGAAAGATTTCTTGAACAAGACTCAGAAGCCTACTATAAAAGGAAAGATTGACAGATATGACTGAATTAAAATTAAACAAAACACCTTCTCTTTGTAGAAGATGTAATCAAAGGGGAGAAGATGGGCTACAAACTAGGAAAAGATATCTTCAACTCACATAGCCTAGAAAGGTTTAGAATCCAGAACATGTAAAGAACTTACTAGTTCATTTTGAATTTAATTTTTGGTTTAGGTTTTTAAAATAATGCTTATTTTTGATTTTAGTAGAAGAGATAGAAGTAGAAAAAATAATTTGTCTGATTTTACTTTATAAATTATGATAGTTAATATTTATTGATAATATACTACTCTTTTAATACTTTCTTCTTTAATACTTTGATCTTTATAGCAACTCCGTGAATGAGATATTTCTGTTATATCCACTTTACAGTTGACAAAACTTAGACTGAGGGAGATTAAATATTTTACCAAAGATAACACTACCTTGGTCTGTGTAACACCAGAGTCTGTGATCTTCTCAATTGTGCCACAGTTCTGGTTAAAGATGAGAAAACTGAGGCTGGAAAATTTGTGGAGATGTCATATAATGAACTTCGCCTAACAGTCTTTGTCATTTGGAGCCAAGATGTTTAGATTCCACTTTCATTTCTATTGTTTATGAACTGTTTTTTGTGTTTTTTGCTTTGTTTTGTTTTAGTATAATGCTTCATCCCAGCAGCAAAGAGAAATAATTAAAAGTAGGAGCCTGGACAGGCGGCTGCAAGAACCAATAGTATTAACAAAGTGGAGACATAGCACCATTGTATTGGACACTAATGATAAGGTAGGACTGTTGAGATTTTTGGCAAGTTCTTTGCATTATATTGTACAGTGAATTGTAACTATTCGTACTAATATTTTATGTATTTAGTAAATATTCTTTGCTAAAACATTTGATTTCTTTTGAACTAATTTAAGCTTTTGATCTGCATGTATGTTGAAATGTTACTACATTATTGTTTCTTTTACCAAATTGCATACTTTAGTGACTACATTTTTATGTATTTAGCATCAGTTTGTCATGAAGTAGGTTTTGGTTTTGAGGGTTTTGGTTTTTGCACAATAGACTGACTTATCTGTAGCTTACTGATGTGTGTACCTTGATACATTTGATCCCAGTAGGTGACAGATTTTTCTTGCTTACCTTATTTTAAAGTCACATTCTGTTATCCTTTGTCTTCAGTCTCTAGGAGGTTTCATAGGGAAGACATTTAATTAATTTTCCTCATCCCAGGTAATATTGGAATTCTATTCCCTTTGTTTCTCTAAATGCTCTCTGCAGAAAGCACTTCTTTTATCAGTCTGAGGAGTAATGTCCTCTGTTTCAAAAACGGGTAAATTTTAATGCAAACATTAGAATGGATGTTTTAAACACTTCTTTAGAGGTTACTTATTCACAGTGTAGCTTCATTTTGGGGATAAGTTGGGAACTTAGTATGAATTTGCAGAATATTAGGTATATTGATTTTGAAATGTAAAGGTTTTTTAAATCATCAGGCTTCTTGTAGCATGACTAACAGTTTTTCTGTAATTTTTAGGTGTGTTCATGAAAACAGAATTAACTATCCCTATGGCATATTTCATTATGTTTGGATACTTTCAGTCCTAAATTCCTTTATAAATAATCTCAATTTATCAGTCATAACAAGCATAATATTTTGGTACTACAAGTTACTATAAAATTGGTCTTTGTTGAATTTAAAGGTGTAGTGTTAGAAACAGCCTTCATACATGTGTATAAGATGGACTAATAGAAAACAACGAAAGTAACAGACCAGTTTCTAGTTTCTAGTTTGTAAGGATCTTGTGTTGAATATAGAGACCACATTAAAGGAATGACATTCTGGAGTCTGTGCTATTGAAGATATGCTTGAAAATATATTAGTGTTGAGATTAATCTAGGTAAGAAAAATACCTAGAGATTTCTAATAGGAAAAATTCACTCAACCAAGAACCAGATTACAATTCAGGATAAATAGGAATCTCCCAAATACCATATATACTGTTCTAAGTCAAACCATTGTTGAACCAACTCTACCGCCTCTTCATACCAGAACAAATAGGATGATTATTTTGATAATTTATGCTTAAAATTTCTTACTCCTTTTTCTTTTTTTCGACATCATAAAATGTCAAACAATCTTACTCCTTTTTAATCTCTCAATTCATTTTTTAAAATTAATTTTCAATCTCTTGCTTTAAATAACTTGCATGCTTTCATCTCATTGTCCCAGAGTTGCAAGAATATGATTTTTTTGCGATTAGAGATTTACTTATTTTTGGTAGAAATGTCTTTTTTACCCTCTACCTTACCCTTTGCAAACAGATGCATAAGTTTCTTAACATAAGGCAGTATTTTAGGTTTTGAAAAAGGGACTGACTACCAGAACAAACTAGCTAATATGTGATAAGGGATGAAGTGTGTATAACCTGAATTGTAATCACAGCAACCTAATACAGATGCTCTGCAACTTAGGGTGAGGTTATATCCCAGTAAACCCACATAAGTTGAAAATACCATTAATTGAAAATACCACAAGGTGAAATGCATGTAATACACCTAACCCACTGTACATCATGGCTTAGCCTAGCCTACCTTAAATGTGCTCTGAACATTTACATTAACCTACAGTGGGGCAAAATCATTCAGTAACATGGTACACTGTAGAATATCAATTATTTACCGTTGTAATCTGTTTACCCTGGTAATCAGGTGGCTGACTGGAAGCTGGGGCTAGATGCCTCTGTGCAGCATCATGAGAGAGTGTCATATTGAATATTGTTAGCCCAGGAAAAGATCAAAATTTCAAGTATGTTTTCTAGTGAATGCCTATCACTTTCCCATCACCTTAAAGTTGAACAATCATAAGTCAAGGACCATCTATTATTGTATAGCAAATGTTGTTGTGATGACATAGGTCCTAATTCAGTTTACAGATAACCTTGGAAGGGTAGCCGTATGTCTGTGTGTGTATGTGTGAATGCATCTGTTTCTGCCTTTTTTTTCTGTTTTTACTAAAACTATTCATAGATGTATAAGGTGTATATTTATATGCATATATCTAAATATAGATAAATGTATACATGTAAAATTATTTCTTGTTTATAATAGTTATAATTGTACATATGTTATTACTGTATTTGTGGTTTTTATTTCTGTGGGACTGAATGTGCTATGAAAAATATAATTATCATTTTATTCAGTTACTTATTTTCTACTTTATGAATCATCAGATCTTCCATCTTTCTCATACTGTTTTACTATCAGACAGTCTTAGGAATCAAAAATTGATCTGAAGTTGTCAGAAAAAAATACTTAAGTGAGATTTGGATCTTAAGTTAAATTTTTTTGAAGTTTTTTATTCAATGTGATTTTAATATTTTCTCCATTAATAGTACCTTGTTTGATTTATAAACTTGTCCCTTCAAGGGCTTCCATGTAAACTTTCACTGCTACTAGTTTCTGTATTTACAAATTGTGTGGGATATAAACCCGAAGACATTTTTCCAAATCAGTAAATGTTGAGTTAATAGTTTTTTTGCAAGTGTTACTTAAAACAAATTCCCAGGTTGGTTGACAGCACCTTCTCCAGGTTTATAGACATAGAAAACTAGAATGATACCTACGTGGAGATGAATGTTCAAAGGAACTTTTTGGTTTGATAGAAACAAATTAATAATAGGTAATGGTGTATGATTTAAAAAATTCTCTTTTTCTGAAATTATTCAAAACATCTAAGGAAATGGAGAAAATTTAAGTGGAGGTGGGCTACTGCTACCAAAAAAAAGTTTTTCAGTCTTACCCTCCATGAATAGTCCTATCAACATCTGTAATAGAAATCATATTCTGTGTTTTAATATTGACAAAGCAGACTGCTTAAAAAAAAAACACGTTATTGGTTTGGTCTTATGATACTCTTGTAGGCTTAGACATTAAAATTTTTTTTTCTGGGGAGTTATTAATATTTAAATCGTAGGTTTCTTTCTTGAATTTAAAATATCTTATTTCTAATTTTTGGAAAGTTTTCTATAAATTACCTTAAATACTAATAGCAATTTAATTTCTTATATAGCTTTTGACTAAAATTAAATTCTCATTCTGGCATTTGCTAAGGTATTTCTGTGACCTTGCCTAATCCTGGGTATTTATACTTACCATACCAAGAGCAAGTTAGTATCATGATTATAACTTATTTATCCAGAAGTGTTTAGGTTTTACTTATTTTAATATGGTTAATTCAAACTGATATAACATCATGATTTTAAGGCAGCTTGTATCATTTCTTTTGAGTAATTCCATATGCATTATTTAAATTTAACTGTAATTGCTATAAAAAGCACCATATTTTATAAACTTTTAATAACGTTTGTAGTTTTAAAATCATTACCTTATTAGCTTGGAGCTGAATATAGAACGAAAATAACGAGGAAAAAATTTGTTATTCTCTCTTACTAAGCTCTCCCACTGTGAGTAGAGGCAGAAATATAATTATATAAAATAGAGTAACTTTTTTCATTACTTATTTCTTGTAGGAATCTCCAACTGCCTCAAAACCCTGCTTTCCTGAAAATGAGTCTTCTCCCTCCTCACCAAAGCACCAAGATACAGTTAGTATGATAGAAGCATATCTTATAATGTAGTCCAGTTATTTCAATCAATTTTAGCAAGTTAATTTACTCTTAATGTAATGTTTAAATGAGCTTCTATTAAATTTCATTGGTTTTTCTAAAAAATCACAATCAAAATAAGTTTAACAATCAGATTTTATTGATTTAAAAGTCCCCCTTTTGTTTAAAATATGGTATCTTACATGATTAAATTATATACCATATTTTTAAGTGATGAACTTATATTTGTTTTTAAAAATAAATATAAAATTCCCAGACAATACTATGACATTATACTTTACTCTTTTTTTCCTCAGGCCAGCAGTCCAAAGGTAAGAAGCAATCCTCTCCTTCTTAATAGGCATAGACACCTTCATTTTCTATGCTGTAAAATATATTGCCAAGTCTGTGCCAGATGAATATTGGAAATAATATAGCTTAACTGTAAGTTCTCCTAAACTGGAAAACCTCCATGTGACTTCTGTTAAGATACCTGTCTTAACTCTGATGAAATTTTACTTAATTTCTGTATTTATACTCATTCCCAGTCTTTTCTGTTGCTGATCATGCTATTCCCCTTCAATGGCTTCTGGGTTTTTTTTCGTTACCGTTTTTTAAATAGAGACATGGTTGCGCTCTGTTGTCCAGGCTGGAGTGTAGTAGAACCATCATAGCTCACTGCAGCCTCAACCACCTGCCCCTCCCCCACCAGGCTTAGGTGATTCTCCCGTCTCAGCCTCCCTAGTAGCTGGGACCACAGGCATGCACCAGCACGCTCTGCTAAATTTTTTTTTTTTTTTTTTTTTGAGATGGAGCCTCACTCTGTTGCCCAGGCTGGAGTGCAATGGCATGATCTCGGCTAACTGCAGCCTCCACCTCCCAGGTTCAAGTGATTCTTCTGTCTCAGCCTGCCGAGTAGCTGGGATCACAGGCATGCGCCACAACACCTGGCTAATTTTTTGTATTTTTAGTAGAGACGGGGTTTCGCTATGTTGACCAGGCTGGTCTCAAACTCCTGCCCTCAAGTGATCCACCCACCCTGGCCCCCCAAAGTGCTGGGATTACAGGCATGAGCCACTGTGCCTGGCCCGCTTGGCTAATTTTTTAAAAATTTTTATGGAGATAAGGGGTCTTGCTTTGTTGCCCAGGCTGGTCTTGAACTTGTGGCCTCAAGTGATATGCCTGCCTTGGCCTCCCAAAGTGCTGGGATTACAGATGTGAGCTACCACACCCAGCCTGTTTTCTTGTAGAATGAAGCCCTAAAATTCTTAATGAGCATGACAAGGCTGTGCATGCTCTGGCTCCTGAGTGCCTCCACCACCTCATCTCATATTTCCTTTTCCCTTCTTGCTTGTTGTCCTACCACACCACCCTTCTCTCAGTTCCTCAAAGGAGCCTGCCTTTCAGATCAGGGTCCTTGTGTGTGTCATTTCTTCTGCATGCTGAAACATTCTCCCCGACATCTTTGCCTGGTTAGCTTCTATTCATTCATCAGGGCTTAGTTTGAACTTTTATTTCCTCAGAGAATTTTATTCTAATTCTCTAGGTTAGGCAAAGTTTTCCTATAATACTCTTCATAGTATTTGATTATATATTATTCGATTACATAAAATAACTTGTCATTATTTATTTCTTATAGGAACCTCCAACTCTCTATTAATGTCTGTCTTCCCCACCAGACAGAGTAAAGCTTCATTAGAGCAGGAACAGAGTTACCCCATTACCTCCCACAGTGCCATATAATAGCTGCTCAGTAAATATTTGTTGAATAAATAAATGAAACCTTAAAGCTTTTTAAAAGACAAAATTTTATTATGGCTTCTCTAGTTTATGAAATTATGATACACTGTTATTTATTAGGATACTTCAGATTTCCCAGAGGTAAAGATTTTCACAGATACTGTTTCATTTTTCTAACTCTTTCTCCATTCCCTAGTGCAATCTGGTCTTTTTGGCACTAATCAGGGGTTGTACACATTTCCTTCTGATGTTGGCTTAGGCAGTACCCCTGCCTAGAGTGGGCCTTGCTTTTTCTATACATAGTTAAATCCTATACCTCCATCAAGATGGACCCTTCCAGAAAGCTTTGTCAGACTAACGTAGCAGAATAATGTTCTCTTCTTTATCTGAACTCTCAAGTCACTAATTGCATTGAATAAGTGCAAGTTATTATATGTACTTCTAGTCTCCCTACCAGGTTTTAAATTCCTAAAAGAAGTTTAAATAGAGGACAGATAGAGACTACATGCATCTACTTATCTTTTGCATTATTTGCACAGTACTGGGTACATAAACATTACATAACGATAAAAGTGAACATTATTTTGGTGGTTTTGGCAAGAATTGCCATACGAATCTAAGGCACTGTTACTACAGTACTCTTAATCTGTCCATCTAGAAAAGTAGGAAACCCTTTAAAACTATTTTAAATGTAGGTAATGCACAGTTCCCACAAAGATCTTTTATACATTATTTTCATTTTGTTAAAAGAGAATTCCTAAGTAATCCTAGAAGCAAAGTTTTTAAATGTTGCACATGCAGTTACAAGGACTGTTTTCAAATTATTTCACCACCCATTTATCCATTTTCTGAAGTTTGACAGCAGCTAGACCATGCCGGACTCACAGTACCCTCTGATGGCCATCACAGGGAACTGCCTCGCCAATGTTTCTTCTGTTTCAATCTTTTTTTACCTTTAGGTGAAAAAAACAAACCGCCATGTTAATTCTACCAGAGGTGGTTCTGTTTTTCCATCACCAGATGGCATTCCTTTTTTCCTGAATGCTCCATCCATGCTGTTGTGCCCTCCCATGGAGGTTTCTGCCCTCTGTGACATCTCTTCACTCCCTCTGCCCTCTGGTTCCTCCTCTGCGCTTGCATGGCTTCTGGTATTCTTGCGTCTCTTTCTCACTCGTACCCAGTTACTACAGGGAGATATTTCCCTCTTTCTTTGCGAGTTAAAATCTGATTGGTATAAAGGCTTAGTGATAAGAAAGAAGGAAGCTGCAAATTTAGAAGTGGAAATGATACCATCATCATTTTCAGTTCTTAATGTCACCTTAAAAATCCCTGCAGATTGCTCATCTATCTCCTTTAATCACACCAGATTTAAAATTTCGTCCCTTAATATAAATTTTAAACATGTTAACTTTTTCTTTTCTAATTTTTAAATGATTGTTACTTTTTGTAGTCCCTTTAAATCTGCTTGAAATAGGCAGTATATACATTTTTTAAAAGTCAATAATATATTTGTCTACAATTTGACTATAATATGGATTAAATAGGTTTTTGTGGGCTGATCTAAGAAGCTATTCATTATATGTCCCAATGTACCTATGAGAATATGCATTTTAAAATTCCCAATTACTGAATACTGAGTAAAGTTTTAGAATATGCATTTCAGAAACTTGAGCTTTGATATTGTATGTCCACTTATGGTATTAATATGCATTAATCAATTTAGAGAAAAAGACATTTTAAAATTTAATGATTTGAAGTATTAATGGACAAGTTGCTTATTTTTTTCATTGAATATTACTATTCTAAGGCCTTTTTAAAAAACATGAATGTTTAATTCTTTTTATATCCATTGACTCTTTAAAAATTTTATTTTTATTCAGATAAAACTTATGTAACATAAAATTAACCAGTAACCATTTTAAAGGGTACAGTTCAGTGGCATTTAATATATTTACAACGTGTGTGGCTATCACCTCTGTTATAGGACTTTTCGTCACCCCAAAATAAAACCCATACCCATTAAAAGTCACTCCCCATTTCACCCTCCCCAGTCCCCTGCCCTTGATAACCACTAGCCTGCATTCTGTTTCTATGTATGGATTTACCCATTCTGGATGTTTCATTACAGTGGTGTTTTTTCAATGCTATAGGTACAATTGTGCAAGTTTACTTATTCTATATTTTTAAAATCTTATTATTACA